>NC_000016.10:71835227-72138257 GCF_000001405.40 Homo sapiens | reverse complement strand
TCCAGGACTTTCCAATCCCAGAAAGTTGGTTGAACAAGGGATCAATATTGAACTTTGTAGTTCTTCCTTGGACATCTGTCAATATTTATTTTAAAGATCAGTTCCATGTTATTCACATCCTGACCTAGAGCAAAAATCTCATAAGACTCCATTTTTTTAGTGATACAAACTTCCCCAAGAAGCAGAATACACCTTCCCCCACCGCATTATGTTTCCTTTCCAAAGCCCTCACGCTCCCTGGGGCTCCATTAGGAATGAGAGACCCACGCCAGCTTTTTCCAGCAGGCCTCTCCTCCCCTCGGCAAGTGTGGCACAGTGTGGGGCTTTGAGTCCCTGCAGTGCCCACTCCTGGGTCCTGCAGTGGCTGCCCTGAATCTCTCCAGCTGTCACCTCCTGGCTTCCTGCTGCTGCCCTCCCTCCTAGCAGCTCTGAAATCACACAAATAACTCTCCCCAATATCCCCGATGCCAGGCAACGAATTGCTCCTCCCCAGCCACATGTTCCTGCCTTCTCTTGGTGAGGAAGGCATCCCCTCTCCTTCAGGGTAGAAGCCAATGGTCTTGCAGAAGGACCCCAAGCCCCAGGTGATGTGACCACCCAGCTCCTCACCTCGTCTCCTCCAGCTCTCCCCATTGCCTGCTCCGTGCCAGCCGCACTTGCCTCCTCCATGTTCCCACCACAAGCGTTGTCTCTGGCTGGTCTCCCCGCCTGAAAGCTCACCTCCAGCAAGTCTCAGCTGGGAGGCCACCTTCGCAGGGAGGCCAGCCCATCCTCCTACTTAAAATTGCAACATGCGCCTCCCCCGCCCATGCCCCTCCATTCCCCTTCGCTCTTCTGTTTCCCCCATAGCACTTATCCACTGTTAACATTTTCTATAAGTCACTACTTATTATGCTCTTCATCTCACCCCACTAGGTCAGCTCTGTGGGGACAAGGATTTGTCTGTGTCTTTTGCTCCACATTATTTGCTTTGAAAATATTAATGGAGCCATGCCCAGCACCCAGGACAGTGCCGGGCACACAGTAGATTCTCCATAAACAACTGTCTGTCTCAGGGAGGAAGGGATACAGGGATGGCTGCTTTTATGTGTATTCCGTGTGAGCCTGAGAAGTCTGCAATATCCTTTTGTTTTATTCTCTTTTTTAAAAAAATTTCATTGGGAGACAATGGACAAATTATAAAATTCACCATTGGTTTTTAGTATATTCACAAGGTTGGGCAATCATCACCACTACCTAATTCCAGAACATTTGTGTCACCCCAGAAGAAACCCTGTACCCATTAGCAGTCACTCCGCACACCCATCCCCTGGCCCCCAGCAGCCATTACTCTGCTACTTTGTCCCTACTTACTGTTGACTGTGGATGCTGGGCATTTTAGAAAGCACTCTCCATTGTCTCTCATCTCCTCATCCTGCCCTGTTCTTCCATCTGCCAGATACTGAAGCACTTGCAGGAGCAGAAAGACAGCCAGTGCCTGCATGTGGAGGAGTACCAGAACCTGGTGAAGGATCTGCGCGTGGAACTAGAGGCCGTGTCGGAACAGAAGAGAAACATCATGAAGGGTAAACTGGGGCTGCAGGCTGTGGCAGGGGAGCCAGAAGGAAGCCTAACTCTCCCCTGAGCATAGACTCTGTCCCGCCCCATGGTAGACATGATGAAGCTGGAGCTGGACCTGCACGGACTGCGGGAGGAGACATCTGCCCACATTGAGAGGAAGGATAAGGACATCACCATCCTGCAGTGCCGGCTGCAGGAGCTGCAGCTGGAGTTCACCGAGACCCAAAAGCTCACTTTGAAGAAAGACAAGGTAAAGTGAGGAACTCTGGTTGGGGTTCCCAATGGGGCAGGTGTGAGGCCATGTCCTGGCATTAACCGGTTCTGCCTTCACCCACCATTATTGCTTTGGGAGCCTCAACACAAGCACAGTGAGATGGTGGCTCTTCAGGCCCAGGCTCAATTCTAAGCACTTCTTTGGTATTTCTCATCATACATAATAAATGAATCTGATTATGCAGGGACCAAAACAGAGGCACTGACTTTTCCCAAGCCCCGCAAGGTAGCAAGAGCATTTGTGACACACTTACTTGCATTGTTCCCTTATACTCTTCTTATGCTTGATAGTGGAAGGAAATGATATAAAATAACAGGTAGCCTTACTAAGAATTTCAAGTGAATTTCACTTTTAAAATTACAAATATCTGCCTGGGCATGGTGGCTCAAGCCTGTAATCCCAGCACTTTAAGAGGCCAAGGTGGGGAGATCTCTTGAGCCCAGGAGTTTGAGACCAGCCTGGGTAACATGATGAAACCCCGTCTCTACAAAAAATACAAAAATTATCTGGGCATGGTGGTGTGCGCCTGTAGTCCCAGCTACTTGGGAGGCTCAAGTCACAGGATCACATGAGCCCCTTGAGCCCAGGAGGTGGAGGTTGCAGTGAGTCGTGATCATGCCATGCACTCCAGCCTGGACACTAGAATGAGACCCTGTCTCAAAAAAAAAAAAAAAAAAAAAAAACAGAAAAATTAAAAATATCTTATGAATATGTAAATAGGCAGTTTGAAAATATTAATGGAGCTGTGCCCTAAAAGAACTGTTACTGCCAACATAAATCAAATTCTTGGAAAAGCCTAGAAATGGAACCAAGAACAGAAAGGTGGTGAAACCAATGCAAGCTTTTTTAATCAGTACTATTCCGACTCTGAACTTCCGTCAGAGCTATTAAAAATAATCCAGCTGACGGCCGGGTGCGGTGGCCCACGCTTGTAATCCCAGCACTTTGGGAGGCCGAGGTGGGTGGATCACTTGAGGTCAGGAGTTCAAGACCAGCCTGACCAACAGGGTGAAACCCCGTCTCTACTTAAAAAAACAACAACAACAAAAAAAAAAAAAAAAAAACACACACACACACAAAATTAGCCAGGCATGGTGGTGCACAGCTGTAATCCCAGCTACTTGGGAGGCTGAGGCAGGAGAATGGCTTGAAGCCGGGAGGGGAGGTTGCAATGAGCCAAGATTGCACCACTGCACTCCAGCCTGGGCAACAAGAGCGAAACTCTGTCTCAAATAATAATAATAATCATCATCATCATCCAGTTGATAGACTGGCTGGTCATGAAAACCTCCTGTTTCAAGGCACAGAGGAGATATGCCCGTCAAAACAGAGGTATTTGGAGAGATGATGACAAGGCACGGAGTCTGCGTAAACAGTTTTGAGTTATTCGTATATTCACTCCACAAATATTTTTGAGCCCTAAAATATGCCAAGCACCGTCCTAGTCACTAAGAATATCACAAAACCTGCAACATGCCTCTTGTCATAGAGCTTGCACTCCTGTGTAGGGAGACAGCCGGTAAACAAAATTAATATATAATACTGATATACCCACATCAGACACTGATAAATCCCTCCAACAGCTTGATGGCGGTTGTACACAGGGTGATCAGAGAAGTCCTCTCTGATAGGGTGACATTTGGGCAGAGATTTGAATGAAGTGAGGGAGCCACCCAGGCAGAGGTCTGGAGGAAGAATATTCCAGGCAGAGGGAATAGCAAGTGCAAAGGCACTGAGGTGGGGTCTGCTTGGAGTGTTCCAGGAGCTCAGCAGAGGCAGAGAGTTGTGAGGGTGGCAAGGGGTGAGGTCAGACAGGTAGCCTAGGACCAGACCATGGGGTGCTTGTAAGGACTCCCTCCTTTTTCTAAGAGATGGAAGCCAGTGGAGGGTTTTGAGCTGAGGCAAAAGATCTGACTTGCACTTTTAAGATCCCCCTCTCTAGCTGGGCGCAGTGGCTCATGCCTGTGATCTCAGAACTTTGGGAGGCCAAGGTAGGAGGATCACTTGAGCCCAGGAGTCTGAGACCAGCCTGGGCAACATGGCAAGACCCCATCTCTGCAAAAAAATGTTTAAACTAGCTGAGTGTGGTGGCACACCCCTGCAGTCCCAGCTACTCAGGATGTTAGCAGTGGTAGTTATCCATATGGGTCTGTAGCAACCTCAGATCTTGCCTCCTCAGAAGAAAGAATTTGACTGAGGGGCAGAAGGCAGAAGGAGAGACTGAGGCAAGTTTCAGAGCAGGCAGGAGTGAACATTTTTTAAAAGCCTTAGAGCAGTAATGAAAGGAGGGAAAATATACTTGGAAGAGGGCCAAGCAGGCGACTTGAGAGACCAAATGTGCCATTTGACCTCTTGATTGGGGTTTTCTTACTGCAACCTCCCAGGTTCAAGCGATTCTCCTGCCTCAGCCTCCCAAGTAGTTGGGATTACAGGTGCCTGCCACCATGCCTGGCTAACATTTGTATTTTTAGTAGAGATGGTGTTTCACCATGTTGGCCAAGCTAGTCTCTAACTCCTGACTTCAAGTGATCCACCTGCCTCGGCCTGCATACTTCCGGGGTCCTGCATTACTTCTCACCACTCTCCCAACTCCTGAGACCTTACCCAGGAGTCTGCTGATCACCAGTTTCAGGTGTTTTCTATCTATTAGGACCCTGCCTTTCCCTGGCATGGCCGTGACCAATTATTACTTAAAGTGACAATTAACAACCTCCTGACCATCACCTGATGGTCGCCCGACAACCCTGGTGTATGTGGCAGGGGAGCCCTCTCCTGCCCTGCTCACACCTGACTAGCTACCTGCTGTAACAGGGAGACTGAGGTGGGAGGATCGCTTGAGCCTAGGAGGTTATAGCTGCATTGAGCTACGATCGTGCCACTGCACTCCAGCCTGAGCAACAGAGTGAGAGTGCCTCAAAAAGTAAAACTAAACTAAGATAATAAACGGCTGGGTACGGTGGCTCAGACCTGTAATCCCAACACTTCGGGAGGCTGAGGCAGGTGGATTACTTGAAGTCAGGAGTTTGAGACCAGCCGGGCCAACATGGTGAAACCCCGTCTCTAATAAAAATACAAATATTAGCCAGGCGTGGTGGTGGACACCTGTAATCCCAACTACTTGGGAGGCTGAGGCAGGAAAATGGCTTGAACATGGGAGATTGCAGTGAGCCAAGATCATGCTATTGCACTCCAGCCTGGGCGACAGAGAGAGACTCTGTCTCAAAAACAATAACAATAATAATAATTATAAAGACTCCCTCTCTCAACTGCGTGGAGAATAGCCTGAGGGGAACAGGAGTGGAGGCAGGGAGGTTCGTGCAATGTCCAGGCAGGGGATGCCAGTGGCTTGGATGAGGGCTTGAGACAACCTCTCATTGCCTTCACCCACTGCCACTCAGACCTTTCCCAGCATTTGCATTTTGCTGTCTTCAGTTCCTCCAAGAGAAAGATGAGATGCTGCAAGAGCTGGAGAAGAAACTGACACAGGTTCAGAACAGCCTCCTGAAAAAGGAGAAGGAGCTGGAGAAGCAGCAGTGCATGGCCACAGAACTTGAAATGACAGTCAAGGAGGCTAAGCAGGACAAGTCCAAGGAGGCGGAGTGCAAGGCCCTGCAGGCTGAGGTCCAGAAGCTGAAGAACAGTCTCGAAGAGGCCAAGCAGCAGGAGAGGCTGGCTGGTGAGGCCCCTGCAGGTGCTGTCCCACCACACTTTTCTGTGGGGCTAGAGCAGCCCTAGAGCAGCCACCTTCTCTCTCCCAGTGGCCACTTCCCCTCGCCCTCCTCCAGTGTCTCACTGCAGACCTTCTCAGGGCCTCATCCTATACC
The DNA here is from genome assembly GCF_000001405.40 of Homo sapiens. NCBI lineage: Eukaryota > Metazoa > Chordata > Mammalia > Primates > Hominidae > Homo > Homo sapiens. The sequence goes on along the minus strand of NC_000016.10, from coordinate 72,132,599 downwards.
TCACAGCAGTGGCCACCGCCCTCTTGAATTCCTTCACCCACTCCCAAGCTCACCTGCCCTCTGTAGTCACCCACCCACCATTCTCCCAGCAGTCTTGCCTGAAGACCCTGGCCCTTCCTGGCCACAGGGAGGCAGGGCTCTGTCCTTTGCACCACAATCCTCTCCATCTTCTTCAGGCCCTCATCACACAATTCACTTCACCCTTCCCTGGCTTTTTATTCCCTTTCGCCTTTTTGCCCCCAAATACATTTCTCTTCTGTGCAGCTTGCACTGTGGATGATGTCCTTGTCCCTCCACAGAGCCTGCTTTCTCAGAGGTCACCAATAGCTTCTTCCTTGGGTACAGGGTTTCTCTGGGGGTGATGAAAATGCTCTGGAATTAAATATTGGTGATGGTTGCGTGACTTTGTGATTATCCAAAAAACTACTGAATTGTATACTTTTAAAGGGTGAATTTCCCAGGCACGGTGGCTCAGGCCTATAATCCCAGCACTTTTGGAGGCCAAGGTGGGCGGATCACTTGAGCCCAGGAGTTCAAGACAGCCTGGGCAACATGGCAAAACTTTGTCTCTACAAAACATACAAAAATTAGCCAGGCATGGTGGTGGGCACCTGTAGTCCCAGCTACTTGGGAGGCTGAGGTGGGAGGATCACTTGAGCCTGAGAGGTCAAGGTTGCAGTGAGCTGAGATTACGCCAGTGCACTCCAGACTGGGCAATAGAGTGAGACTCTGTCTCATAAAAAGTGGGGTGGAGGGGCTAAATTTATGTTATATGAATTACTTATCAATTTATAAGATAAGATCCAAGCTTGGCTTCCTTCCTCACCCTCCTTTAATGCTGTGTTCCTTGATGCTGTTGGCTACTTATGCCTCAAAGTTTGTTTCTCAGCTTTGGAGACATCACGGGTCCGTCTTTCTCCCACAAACCTCCCCATTGTTCTCTTTTCTCTCCTGCTCTGACTGTAGTCATCTAGAGACTCTCCTCCCCTTCTTACTCGTTCCTCAGTGAGCTCCCTCCTCTGTGTAGCTCCCTTTCTCTACAGGTAACTCCAAGACTTCAAGCCCCAGCTCTAACTTTGTAGCTGCCTTCCCCTCATACCCAGTGGAGGCAAAGGCGTGGGCTAGAAGGATATTGCTGGAAGTTTTTCTCTATTCTAATGTATTCCAATTTTCCTGAAGCAGTTTTTCTTTTATGTCAGATTCCTGCTCAAGAACCCACTAAACCACATCTAAGCATTTCTCTTAGGCTTCCAAAGTCCTCCAAAGCCCCACTCATCCATCCACTTACTCAACTCTATCGCCCACCATTCCTCCCCACTTCCCTTTCCAGTCAAACTGGTGTCTTCTACCCTCCTCCCACACACCTTCCGCATTCTCCTCACCAGGCATCTGCTCTAACAATCCCCGCCCCTGGAATTCCCTTCCTCCCACTTCTTTTTCTACATCTCAGCTTCTGTTCCTCCACTCATCCATCTCCAAGCGTTCTAACCCATGTGGATCTCTCTTCCTGAGCCTAGTTGGTGCGAGTTTAACATGACAGTGTTCTCTAGGACGGTGGGCCAGTAAGCCTCCCTCAGGAGCCTCTAAACTCCAGAAGGGTCAGGATTTGTCCCCAGTGACAGAATGAGTCGCACAGGAGTTGCTGAGAAATTTCTACCAGTTTGTTTAATTTTAGTCCAGAAGGTGTCCACATCTGAGACAAAGACAGATAATTTAATAGAGCTCTTTAGGACTGATCATGAAATGGAGAGAAATGAGGACAGACTGGGAACTGAAGTAGGGCACAAAATGAAAGGAAAAACTCTTCAGCCAGGCTGATAAGAGTGTGATCTTCATACACCCTCCCTTCTCACATGGCCATCTCCCTGCTTCTGCAGCTCAGCAAGCAGCCCAGTGCAAAGAAGAGGCTGCACTGGCAGGCTGTCACCTGGAGGACACCCAGAGGAAACTGCAGAAGGGTCTCCTCCTGGACAAGCAGAAGGCAGACACCATCCAGGAACTACAGAGAGAACTTCAGATGCTGCAGAAGGAGTCCTCGATGGCTGAGAAGGAACAAACCTCCAACAGGTGCCCAGGCTCAGGCTCCCCTCCAGAGAGAGGTTCTGTCACTCTTGACCCAGCCGGGCCCTCTGTGGGCAGCTGCCCAGGCGTGGGAGAGCAAGGATTTCCCATTGGGTCAGCTCCACAATCTGCCCACATGGGCACTGAAGTCTGTCCTCCTGTGGCTGTTATTTTGCTTTAGAAAACGGGTGGAGGAGCTGTCATTAGAACTCTCTGAAGCCCTGAGGAAGCTTGAAAATTCAGACAAGGAAAAGAGGCAGCTTCAGAAGACAGTGGCTGAGCAGGATATGAAAATGAATGACATGCTTGATCGTATCAAGCACCAGGTATGACGGGCAGGCAGATGGCCCATTCAAGTGCTTGCTCTGCTTAAGATAAAACACAGACTAGGAGCAGTGGCTCACACCTGTAATCTCAGCTCTTTGCGAGGCCAAGGCAGGCAGATCACTTGAGCCCAGGGGTTCCAGACCAGCCTAGGCAACATAGCAAGACCCTGCCTTACAAAAAAAAAAAAAAATACAAACATTATCAGGGCATAATGGCACATTCCTGTAGTCCCAGCTACTTGGGAGGATGAGGTGGGAGGATCCCTTGAGGCTGGGAGATTGAGGCTTCAGTGAGCTGTGATCGCACCACTGCAGTACAGCCTAGGTGACAGAGTGAGACCCTGTCTCAAAAAAAAGAAAAAGATTAAACATATCAGTCATTATTTGGGAAAGATATCACCACCAATCCATGCAAATTAATTGACCAGAATTGTGTTAGTATGCTAAGCCAGCCACTCAGCACCAGCTCCCATTACCAGTAAGAAGCATTTTCAATGGTTAACCTTAAAATTAATCAAATGACAATGTTGTTCTTTCTAGGATTCAAAAGCTATTCTTATCAATTTATTTATTTTTTAAATAGTGCCCAGCAGTAGGAGATAATTGTCAGTCAATTTAAAGTCTTTGATCTCTGAGTTACTCTTTTTGTTCTCTTCTAAGATTTTTTAAACTTCATTCAAAAAGGTTTTTGATAAAGATTTGGAATCTTCCTAATCTTTGGGAAGAATTGGTAAGAAAGTGGGAGAGAAAGCTGGTGCTTAGGAATTAGATCAATAAATAAAATAAATTGGTATATCTGACTGAACAAAGAAAAAATGTTACAGGCGTTGGAGGAAACCTTTTATTTTACATATGCTATATAACTAAGGAATTGTCTTCTTCTTCATCTCAGCCATGCCCTGTGTGCAATTGTCTGTATTTTTCCCCCAAATATAATATAGTCTAAGACAGTCTTTCAGCTCAGTCTTTATTTTTTCAGCACAGGGAGCAAGGCTCCATCAAATGCAAGTTAGAAGAAGATCTTCAGGAGGCCACAAAGCTTCTGGAGGACAAACGGGAGCAGTTGAAGAAGAGCAAAGAGCATGAGAAGCTGATGGAGGGAGAACTTGAAGCTTTGCGGCAGGAATTTAAAAAGAAAGACAAGACGGTGAGTGGGAGAATCCCAGGAGAGCTGGGTCAGGAATCCAGAGCGGGACATGACCCCACCTGGGCCTCCAGGGATGCGGAGGCCCTGGATGCTCAGAGCTTAGGAAAGACGGGAGGGACAGTGGGAAAGGCCAGCGAGGAGGGGAGCGAGAATGCCTGAGCTCCCGCAGGGTGGAGATAGAGCTGGGTGAGAGGGAGGGTGGAGTGGGGCTTTTATAGTTATCTGAGATTAACACCTCTTTGCTGTGCTTTGTTCTTTAATGAGGGAACAGTTGAAAGAGAATTCCAGAAAGTTGGAGGAAGAAAATGAGAATCTCCGAGCAGAGCTACAGTGTTGTTCTACACAACTGGAATCCTCTCTCAACAAATACAACACCAGCCAGCAAGTCATCCAAGACTTGAATAAAGAGGTGAGTAGACAGGAACCCCAAGGGAGTGAGGAATTTGAACCCTGTGACCCTTGACCTGAAATCTGTACCCACCTCTCCTCCACACAGAAATGCAGCTAACTGCTCAGCCAACTGCGGATCCTGGGCCACCTACAGCTCTACTTCCCTCCCCATTGGCACCTGGTTGCTGAGCCAGAGAAATGTTTCTTCCATATGTGGAAGGTCTCATCTCATATCTGGTGGAGCCCCAAGCTATTTGGGCTTTGGCATCAAGTCTTCCAATGTTACATTTTAGACCAGAGTTGAGTGAATCCATTTTGGGGGGCAATTTGCTAGGGAACACTTCCAAAACTTGTCACAAAGCACAAAAAGGAGATGAAAGGGGGGACAGTTATTTTTCATTACACAAGTAAAAATGACAGAAAGGAGTAAATAGCATCTGACATATGCTAAGCACTGTGCTTGAATTCAGTCGTCATTTATTTGTCGTCCACTTAAGCTCTTTACATGGCTTCCATCTGCTTTACTGCCAAAAAGAAAGACATGATAGAGGAAAGAAAGATGGAGGGCCAAAGTCACTGACCAGCAAGTGATGGAATCAACCACTATTTGAACCTGAATTATCCAGCTCTAACACCTGTTCCCTTTCTCCCTCATCATAAGCAGCCATACTTTCTCCAGCTAAATCCATTCCATCTTTCTGGGCAAGAGAAAAATATAACACCTTGGTAGTTGGTCTCTTGGGCTACAAATGAAAGGCCAAGCAGCCCTTATTCCCTCATAATATAAAAATAAATCTTAAAGTAGTATGACTTTTCTAAGTATAAAAATAGCACTGCCCAGTAGAACTTGCTGCCTTTCTGTGATGATGGAAAAGTTGTATGTCTGAGCTGATGGAATGAATGTGAGAGAAAGTGAGGAATCAATGATGACTTCATGAAATTCACCTATAAAACCATCTAGACCTAATACCATTGACAGCAGAGAGAGTAGGTCTTTTATTAGAACTTTTACTAGAACTTCTTGGTTCTATAATTTACATACTTCTATATGTAGATTTTTAGAATCTTTCTCCAAGCTAAACCACTCATGTTAGCAAAAATTTTTAAAGCTTCCATTTTAGCTTCTAGCTTCACTGTAATTTTTTTTCACCATCCTCAGTTTTAGTGTCTTACCTCTATACTGACATTTCTCAGTTCAGCCATCATTTATCAAGCATTGACAGTGAATTATAGTTTCTCCAGTGATTCCTCTGGTTTACTGGGCAGACCCTGCTGACTCCATGTTTTTCAGAAGTCCCCAGAAAAGATGCACTTCTGTTTTCAGAAGACCAAATTATTTCATCTTTAGGAATAGTTTCACCACCAGGGCATGTAAAATATGGTGTCAGAAGTCCAATTTACCACTTTTCATCTCACTAATTCCCAGGGCCAGAGGTACTCAAAATTGTATCTGAAAAAGTAATAAACTTGAAGCACTGATCAGTTACTGGAGATAAAACAAGAAAACCCAAAAGAATGTGTTTCTGTGTGCATGGCCACTTTCAGATGCAGGTGTGCTAGAATACCAAAGAATACAAGTCAGGCATATGAATTTCTGAGGTCTCCCTCTGGCTTCCAGACTCAGAAGCAGATCTCTGTCCTGTACTTAAAGTATATAAGAAGGCTAGTTTCTGTGTGTGTCTGTGACAGTAACTCATAGTCGTATAGTAAAACAAAGCCCTTTTTACACATATCACCTCATTTGATCATCATAAAAACTCCACGAAACAGTTAAAATGATTTCAATTTGTGGAAGCAGAAACTGAGGCTAGAGAAATAAGTAAATGATAGAACCTGGACCTCAACCCAGATTTTTCTGACTCCAGATCCCAACTTCCTTTTAACTATACCATGAATACTCATTACGATGTTGAAAACAGACTTCAGTTTTTAAACACACTTCTACCAGAACTACATGTTCCCTAACATGTTGATCAATTGATCCCTAACTCCAAAAATGCAATATTTCACGTGACAGAACAAAGACCATTTTTGAGCATTTCCTGAAACTCTGTCATGTGCCATGCCCTGAGTTACAGCAATGGGGAAACAGCAGGAAACAAAACACAGGCACAGTCCTGCTTTCTGGCACATCAAGTCTAGTGAATTACATCAGGAACTAAGTGAGGCATAAAACACAAAGGACATGTTGTTATCATGTCCACTAACCTCAAATCGGATTCCAGGTCTTTATCAAAGGCTGCAGAGTATGTGAAAGGGACTTTTTTGTGTACTTGGCATATCATGCCCCAGCACCGCTGGTACTCCTGCTGTTTGAGGGAAATGCTAACTAGAAAGAGAGATGTGGCTGAGGGGTGCAAAAGAGCCTGGAAAGACAGCTCTACCTTTTACAGTGGTGAAGTGAAGATGTGAGTGTTAACACGGACTCTGCAGGTTGCTGCAGACAGGAGAGAGCTTGGCTCTTGTTCATTTCCTATAGGCACAGAGAATGCCTCTATGACCCTGACCTGGCACCCTGACAGTTCTGCTCTCCCTCCTTAAAGATAGCCCTTCAGAAGGAGTCCTTAATGAGCCTGCAGGCCCAGCTGGACAAAGCTCTGCAGAAGGAGAAGCACTATCTCCAGACTACCATCACCAAAGAAGCCTATGATGCATTATCCCGGAAGTCAGCCGCCTGCCAGGATGACCTGACACAAGCCCTCGAGAAGGTGAGGCCACACCCTCTAGTCTCCAGGGCTGTTTTCAGGCAAGGAAACGTCAAGGTAGCGGGAGAAGCACAGGAGCCAATTTCCTGCCTATTGACTGTCAATGGGGCCATCTCAAACCCTTGTGTGGGCTGGGATGTCTGTGCAGAGAAGGCCTGCTTCCTCTTTGTGAGGCTTGGAGTTGGGTGGAGGGCGGAGGAAGAGGACAAAGATCAAAACCAAATCTAGCAAGCCTTTCTGCCCATGGGTGACTCGGGGGCAAGGTTTTCCCAAAGTCTGGATTGTCAGGGAAATTCATGCCCCATCCTGTGCTGATCATGGCTGGCCCATCAATTCATGGGATTGGAAAGAGAAGAAATGGAGGGAGTGGGTAGGAAGGAGAAAGCAGGGTGCAGAAAACCAACCACTGTCATTTCCCACCCCTCTCTGGGAGACTAGGCAAGGTGACCGTCCGTGTCACCCTGGGCAGAGGACAGGAAGGGACTGGAACCCTCCTCCATTCAGGACTCAGCAGAGAGGGTCAAAGTCTCTGACAGCCATTCGTCCTCTTTGTCTTTTCCGGAAGCTCAATCACGTGACCTCAGAGACAAAGAGCCTGCAGCAAAGCTTGACACAGACCCAAGAGAAGAAAGCTCAGCTGGAAGAGGAAATCATTGCTTATGAGGAAAGGATGAAAAAGCTCAATACGGAATTAAGAAAACTGCGGGGCTTCCACCAGGAGAGTGAGCTGGAGGTGAGGAGCTGCCAGGGGCTTGGGCTGCCTTCCTGGTAGGGGTCCACAAGGTCACCTCTTGCATCCAGAATTATTTAGCACTAAGTCATTCCCTTGGGCTGCTAGGTTCCCTCCACTTTCTTGGCTCCCTGAACTTCAGACAGAGGCAGCAAAGATCGGAGCATGGGTGCCCTCTGCTGGCCACTGAGAAGAAAATACCCCCAACACGTATCCCAAGGCCCAGGAAGCACCCTCTGGCCTTGTGGGTCCTGCGGTCAGGGAGGCCAGCTGGAGTCCCCCTCCTCACTTTGCTCTCCTGAGTAGGTGCACGCCTTTGACAAGAAGCTAGAGGAGATGAGCTGCCAGGTGCTGCAGTGGCAGAAGCAACACCAGAATGACCTCAAGATGCTGGCAGCCAAAGAGGAGCAGCTCAGGGAGTTCCAGGAGGAGATGGCCGCCTTAAAAGAGAACCTCCTTGAGGACGATAAGGAGGTGGGCATGCCTTGGCTTCTGCGTGCCTCCTCTCAGTGCCTCCAGGCACATCCTATGACCACCCAAATGCCAGACAGCCCTTGGTGGGGGTGGGAGAGCCTGGGAGCAAAGGAAAGGTCACCCCCTCCATTTAGCACAAAGCAAGAGCCACAGCTGCTGGTTCAACCCACCTGTGTTCTTGTGGCTTTGTTGATAGATACTGAGCAGAGCGAAGGCCCCATTCTAGAGAAGAGACTGTCAGGTACACCAGCTACCCCTGACCTAGTCCACTGGGTCCCCTTCCAGAGTACATCCTGACACTTTTGGCAGCCCTGGACCCTACAGTAGAATGGACTAAGTGACCTTCTGGGCTTGTCCCAGGCCCACCTCCCTGAGCAGTGAAGTTCATGGCAGGAGGCCGCAGGACAGCTCAGGTGGCCACTGGGCCTTTGCTCGAATTACAAAGAAGGCATCTTAGGCCGGGCACAGTGGCTCATGCCTGCAGTCCCTACACTTTGGGAGGCCAAGGCAGGAGGACTGCTTGAGTCCAGGAGTTTGAGACCAGCCTGGGCAACATAGCAAGACCTCATCTCTACAATAAGTTTAAATGTTAGCTGAGCATGGTGGCCTATGCTTGTGGTCCCAGCTACTCGGCAGGCTAAGTGGGAGGATAGCTTGAGCCGGGGGGGAGGTTAAGCTGCCATGAGCCGTGATCATGCCACTGCACTCCAGCCTGAATGACAGAGCAAGAGTGTCAAAAAAAAGAAGAGAGAAAAAGAAGGCATCTCTTCCTCTTCCTCCAGATGTTTTTCTTCCATCTGTTGGAAAATTGGCTTAGCATACTTCTTTTTTAGGAGTCACTTTAATGCCTTCACACTGAAAACCGTGATTATAAGTGTACAAATCTACGTGTCTCTGCCATAAATGGTGCCTTCTCAGAGATGTCACCTTTGTGTGAGATGCCACCCGCACAAGCCAGAGGGGGAGGTCTGGTGGCAACTCCACAACTCTGGCCTCGGGTTGGACAGCAGAGTCAAGTTTTCTTTTCCCAGGGAGATAGAAGAGGCCTGACTCGGAAGGAGGGCTGACAGGCCTGTGCTCCCACCTCTGACTGTCTCGTTTTCTTCTTGTACCCAAGCCCTGCTGCCTGCCCCAGTGGTCTGTGCCCAAAGACACCTGTAGGCTCTACCGAGGGAATGATCAGATTATGACCAACTTGGAGCAATGGGCAAAACAGCAGAAGTGAGTATGGGAGGAAAAAGGGAGGCAGGGTCCGAGGCCTGGACTGAGCCGAGGAGCCACATGCGTGCCAAAGATTAGTCACACACACCCCTGCACTCCTGGAAAACAGATCCAGTCTCAGCCCACACCCAAGGGATGGAAATAAGATGGAGAGGAGGGCTCAACCCTTCAGGCAGGCCTGGAAAGCCCTCTGCTGAGCTGGAAACAGCGATGGCAGGAAGGAAGGGGTGCTTTGCTCGGCAGCAAGAAGGAAGGGGGACATTGGCTCAGATATCCTCCTCCCATCCCAGGATCCAGCTTCACTGCCTGGCCCCCTTGAACTCATTCCCTTGAACTCACCTGGGGCTCACAGGATTTTGCATAGGAGTTGAGTTCAGAGAGTCCTCTGAATCCCCAGGTGCTAGGAAGGCCTTAGCTCTGCGGACGGGGTGATGCGTGGGGGACGTGGGATGCAGCAGCAGTCTTGCTGAGAACCCAGCATCCCATTCAGCCAGCTGCACCCTTGCTCGCGGGAGGCTGGCGACTGGCTGCTGTTTTCTCCTGTGATTTTATTACAGGGTCGCCAATGAGAAACTAGGAAACCAGCTCCGAGAGCAGGTGAAATACATTGCCAAGCTGAGTGGCGAAAAGGAGTAAGTCATCTTAAACCACCCTGGCTGCTTCCTGGGAGCTGACAAGAAGGGTCAGCAGGGAGCCAGGGCTGGCTTTAGCCCTTGATAGGGGGATCAGCCCAGGAAAGGCCTGGTGCTTTGGAAAGACCCCCAGGTCTCGAATCTGCATCTATGTGACCTTGGGTATATCACTTGACCTCTCAGGGCCTTAGTTCTCTCACCAAAAATCCAAAGGGAGTTTAGTAGTCTTTTTGCTCCTTCCTGCTCTCATGGTTCTCAGAGGTCAAGGGTGCTAAGCAGGGAACAGGCACTGAAAGGCAGACTGGATTATTTAGGGCAGGGGCTGAGATGCTCTAACAGATCCCAAGTGAAGGAACAAACAAGGAACATCTCTTCATGAAATCATCAGGTGAGCAGGCCAGGTTGGAGGAGCCCTTCTGTTCCACCTGCTCATCTGGGGGCCTGTGGTCTTGCTTCCCCTCATGGTCAAAGCTGGGTCCACTAAGAGGGAGGTATGCGAGGAGTGTTACCAGTTTGAGAATGGAGGTGAAGGTATGAAGGCCTAAAACTGAGATTTTGGAGGTGGCAAAGTAACAAGTAACAACAAGCCTTAGGACAGCGCTTCCCAACCTTTTCTTAGGGAACACTTAGAAAACAACCATGCCTTACGTAACACCATGGATACTATGCAGCTATCAAAAAGAATGAGATCATTTCTTTGTGGGAATATGGATGGAGCTAGAGGCTATTATCCTTAGCAAACTGACACAGGAATAGAAAACCAAGTACCACATGTTCTCACTTGTAAGTGGGAGCTAAATGATGAGAACTTAGGAACACAAAGAAGGAAACAACAGACAATGGGGTCTGTCAGAGGGTGGAGGGTGGGAGGAGGGAGAGGAGCAAACAAGATAACTATTGGGTACTGGGCTTAATTCCTGGGTGATGAAATAAAATGTACAACAAAATCCTGTGACATGAGTTTACCGATGTAACATGTACCCCTGAATCTAAACTAAAAGTGAAAATAAAATAAAAGTGAAAAAGAAAATGACCACAGTTTAGGATCACTTGAGCCCAGGAGTTTAAGACTAGCCTGGACGACAGCAAGGCCCTGTCTGTATAAAAAATTTAAAAATGAGCCTAACCAGGCATGGTGGTGCACACGTACAGTCCCAGCTAATTGGGAGGCTGGGGTGGGAGGATTGCTTGAGCCCAAGAGGTTGAGGCTACAGTGACCTATGTTCACACCACTGCACTCTGGCCTGGGTGACAGAATGAGACCCTGTCTCTAAAAAACGATGAAAGTAACCACATTTGTTTGGCATACTTGTGACAAAGCTGACCAAGCAGTGGCTGCCTCAGAGCCTGCCCCCAAGGGCAGGCAGGCATCTCCAAACACCTGGAATCCATTCGTGGCACCCCAGGTGGAAAGCCCTATTCTAGGCTTTGGCCTTAGGTACATGGCTGAGTTGAAGAGAAGGATGAGACCTTTGGAATAAGGAGGCCAATGAATTGAGAAGTCAGGATGTGGATGAGCTGTATGGGATATTGAAGGCTTTGGGGATGCTGACAGGAGGGAGCCAGAGAGCCGGGAAAGGAGGGCACTGCTGAGACCCCCTCTCCAGACCCACCAGCACTGGGAGTGAGGGGCTACTGGGCGGGGGAAGAGGCGACCTCAAGGTTGGCCAGCTTTGTAGAGAGCAAAAGGGTAGAGCATATGCCCACAGAAGAGGTTGAGGATGAATTCTCTACTTGATTTCCTCTAGAAAAGACCACGAAACTTTTTACTAGGGTGTAAGTAAAAGAAAAGTTGTCAGATTCTCAAGGTAACAGATAACTTCAGTCTTTTTCTTCTATTGTGCCAAGTCCAGGAAGTTCTCTTTCACAAAGAACTCACTCTTGAGTTCTCCTGTTCTTATTTGAAAGAAAACCAACTTTTAATGATGATAGTAGCTCAACTAATACATATTATTTGCTGTGTGTGAGGTACTAAGCGTTGACACATATGAGCTCATTTCATCTTCATAAGACCTCCTGTGTTCAGTATAGTCATGATCCCCATTTATGGATGAGGAAAGAGAGGACCTGGGAAACTAAGTAACTTGCCCCTGGTCTCAAAACTAATAAGTGGCAGAGTCACAATTCCAACGTGGGAAGTCTGGTTTCAGAGCCCACCTTCACCCACTGCCCTCAACATTAGTTTGGAGACACACAACAGTGATAATAAAAGTTGCTATTTATTGAGCCACGGGGAATGCGCTAAATTATCTTTCCTCTCCTCTACGTGGCAGCCTCCATTTCCTAATCTGTAAAATGGGGATGAGTAACTCACCCAAGTTCTTGACAGAGCTGGGATCTCCTGTGCTCCCGACTCTTCAGCAAAGGGGAGCGGAGAGAATGCGGGCTTTGGCATTGGTGCTGGGTGAGAGTGTTTCCAAGGCACGGCCATGAGAACCCGAGGACACATGATCACAGTTGTCCCTACCAGCCTTCTGGCTCTTCAAGTCAAATTTCTATCATTTATCAAACCAGATCCTCGTATGAATCCCATCAGTCAGGCCAGGCCTGACTGTCCCCGTCTGACAGATAAGAAAACAGGCCCAGAGCTGGCAGAGTTGGGCAGGAGTACCAGCTCCTGGTCCACTCAGACCCCAGGCCTGGGCTTCTTTCACAGGACACACGTAGGCTTCCATTTCTACAGAGCATGTGTAACAGGCCGGCTCTGAACAGACCTGGGCATCTGTGCTGTCTTCCCTGTGACACCTTTATCTGTCCTTTCTAGCAGGGAACCAACCAGAGCCAGCAGCCCCAACACAACCCGTCCTTCCTCTCCTTCCCACAGCCACCTCCACAGTGTAATGGTCCACTTGCAGCAGGAAAACAAGAAGCTGAAGAAGGAGATAGAAGAGAAGAAGATGAAAGCCGAGAACACAAGGCTATGCACCAAAGCCCTAGGCCCGAGCAGAACGGAGTCCACACAGAGGGAGAAAGTGTGCGGCACCTTGGGCTGGAAGGGGTTGCCCCAGGATATGGGTCAAAGAATGGACCTCACCAAGTACATCGGGATGCCCCACTGCCCGGGTACGTCTGCCATTTGTCAAAAAAATAAGTGTGATTTTTTTCTTTAAATCACTGGATTGAGAATTCAAGTAGGAAGAAGAAAATAGGCCTTTTGTGGCCTCAAGTCATTTTCTTAGCGACTTTGGACCAAAGATCGTTGTTTTCACATCTGTAAAGGGAGGAGGCAAATTAAGACCCCTTCTGATCTAAGAACATCTGAAGCATACCCAAGTGCCTCACATCTCAGACCTGCCCCCTCCCCTGACCCAGACCCATTTTAGGGAACAGGTAGAAGAGGCATCTTCCTTCTACGTCTGGAAACCCCGTAAGAGCACCCCAGCCACCTACCCAGCCTGGGTCCACAGCCGCCTTTCCTGCCACCTGTAAACTCCATGTTACCCCAGAGGCAAGAAGTCACCCTGCAGCAGAGCTGCCTGGCCATGCGGCCAGCCCTTGAGGAATCACCTCGTTAATTTCTCCTCGAATCAAAACTCTCATTTCCTCCCTGTTCCCTCAGGTTCCTCATACTGCTAGAATCCACATCTAGCCCTGAGCAGCATTTCCACGGGTGTTTCTTCAGAGGACAGTGAGTTCCCAGCCCTCCCTCTCTCTTGACCTGGATCAGCTCTTACAGGAGTATATCACGGTCCCAGCCTATTTTGCAAGACACTAACTTTTGTTGAGTTTTGTCCACTTCCTGCCATGGAGTGAGCTTTAGAACCATACTACCATCTCCAGGCCCAAACTCTGAAATAAAGACATGAGCATGAGCACAGCAGTTGTGGTGAGCTGTTGGCGTCTAGCAGACATTTCTGCCCCGCAATCCCCCAGCAACATGTTCATCCTGTTTTCTCTGAATTCTAAGAGATATTGGTCTCTTCCATATACAGGGAAGCCATAATACCCAATGCAAGCTTCTGGATTCGTTTTTAAACCAACAAAAGTGATAAGTAGCTCCTTTTTTTTTCTTTCCATTACTATCTGAAACTTAAAAAGAGAAAGTCTAAAAACTCCAAAGAGGAAGTAATCCTGAGACCCCAAAGAAAGGAAGAGCAATAAGGGCTGTATTTTCCAAGTGGGGGAGCAAGAGCACGCCACCTGCCCCCCCGCCCACCACCGGGCTCCACATTCCATTCCTCCTTCTAACAATTTTATTTTCCTCCCCAGCCACCTCAATACAAGTGAAATTCCATTATGACAAACTCTAAGGACAGCTAATATTTTATTCTGGTAGGATTTTGTTAAACTGAGTACATGTCTAGAATTTATATTTCTAGTCTATAGGAAGTGGAGACAACTCACTACTAGGGTAATATTAATATAAGGGAAAGAAATGAAAGATCTTACACTTCTGAGGGGGGCAGTAAAAGTGAAGGAAGAAACCCACTGGTTAGCAATGATTCTTCAATATTCTTCCTGGGCCTAATAAAGGCCAAGAAAATTCACTGCTAATAGGAACACTAACATATTACATAGGATGCCCCTGACAGAACTTGGGAAGGGCAGTTCCAGAAATGCAGTGTGAGCTAGGAGTGACAGGCATCTCTGGTAGTTTCTGTTATGATAGTTGTTGTCTGTTTAAGCTCTTTGAACTACGTTCCCCCATGTGGTTTAGAATATGGGTTTGTTTTCTAGAGAAAACAAAGATTGAAAAATCTAGTACTCATCTAGCCTGTGGCTTGCTTTATTCAAACTAAAGTTCAATGCCATTAAAATCCCCAGCCTAGTCTACTAAAAAGGGATTTTATCTCTATAATTTACCAAAATATTTCATATACGTTGGCCAAAATGACAATCTCTGGTTTCTTTGAATGTTGTACATCTTTCCAAAGTTATCTTTCACTTCCTGTGGAGTGATTACACCAGAGCAAAGCAGGTAGTCAGTTATGGAGAGCTAATTGGTAGCAGAGCCAGAAAAACATCGACATATTACCCAGCCATCCGACTGTGACAGCCCAGCTAGGCAGAAGACCTGGCTGAGTACAGGGGATGGACTTAGAGAAGTGCAGTTTCTCTAAAGACAGGAGGAAGGGCAGGGAAACTGAGTGTTGCCTGCCTATAATTTGTTAAGAAATAACCAAGGAATTGAGCTCCTAAAAAGTAGTTCGAACAGCTGATATTAAAAAGAAATGGTTACAACAACACTCTTTTATGAATTTTTTAAAAAGCATTCAACAAATGAGGATTAGAAGGAAACTACCTCAGCAAAATAAAACCACATATGAAAAACCCAGAACAAACATTATACTCAATGGTGAAAGACTAAAAGCTTTTCCTCTAAGATCAGGAATAAGGCAAGAACACCTGCTTTGCCACTTCTATTCAGCATCGTACTGGCAGCTCTAGGCAGAGCAATTAGGAAAAAGAAATAAAAGGGATTCAAACTGGAAAGGAAGAAGTAAAATTATCTCTGTTCACAGATCTTATATGTAAAAAACCCTAAAGACTCTACAGACCACCCCACCCCAAAAAAGAGCCTGGTAGAACTAATAGTGAATTCAGCAAAGTAACAGGATACAAAGTCAACACACAAAAATGAGTTGCAGGTTTATATAACAACAATTAATAATCTGAAAAGGAAATTATAAAAATAATTTCATTTCATTTATAATAGCAAAAAAAATAAACAAATACCTGGGAATTAACCAAGGCAGTAAAAGACTTGTACAATGAAAACTATAAAACATTACTGAGAGAAATTAAAGAAGACATAAACAGAAACACATCCCATGTTCATGGATTGAAAGACTTAATATTAAGATGTCAGTATACACAAAGTGATCTACAGATTCAATGTAATCTCTGTCAAAATCCCAATTTTTTTTTTTTTTTTTTTTGCAGAAATAGGAAAACTCAACCTAAAACTCACATGGAATCTTAAGGGATCCCAACAGCCAAAACAGTCTCAAAAAAGAAGAACAAAGCTGAAGAACTTACTGACTTCAAAACTTACTACAAACCTACAGTAATCAAAATAGTGTGGTACTGCCATATAAATCAAAAGACAGACATACAAACCAATGGAATAGACTAGAAAGAATCCCAGAAATAAACCCTCACATATATGGTCAAATAATTTTGACAACGATGCCAAGACTATGAAATGGGGAAAGGATAGTTTTTGTTTTAGTTTTCCAACAAATGGTGCTGGGAAAACTGAATATTTGCATGCAAAAGAATAAAGCTGTGCCCTTACCTAATACCTTATACAAAAATTAACTCAAAATGGATCAAAGACCTAAATGTAGCCACTGAAACTATAAAACTCATAGAAGAAAACATGGAACAAACCCTTCATGGCACTGGATTTGGCAGTGATTAGTTCACCAAAGGCACAGGCACGAAAAGAAATAATAGACAAATTAGACATCCTGAAACTTTTAAACTTTTGTGCATCAAAAGCAACATCAACAGAGTAAAAAGGCAACCCACAGAATAGGAGAAAATATTTCCAAATCATATCTCTGATGTTAATATCCAGAATATATAGAGAACTCCTAAAACTCAAGAAAACAAACAACCCAGTTCAAAAATGGGCAGAGCATATGCCAAAGAATGAAACTGGACCCCTATCTTTCACCATATATAAAAATTAACTCCAGATGGATTAAAGATTTAAATGTCAGACCTCAGACTATAGAAATTGTTATCGCCTGTAATCCCAGCACTTTGGGAAGCCGAGGCGGGTGGATCACGAGGACAGGAGATCAAGACCATCCTGGCTAACACGGTGAAACCCCGTCTCTACTAAAAAAAAGAAAAAAAATTAGCTGGGCATGGTGGTGGGCGCCTGTAGTCCCAGCTACTAGGGAGGCTGAGGCAGGAGAATGGCATGAACCCGGGAAGCGGAGCTTGCATTGAGCCGAGATCGCACCACTGCACTCCAGCCTGGCAACAGAGTGAGAGTACTACTCAAAAAAAAAAAAAAGAAAGAAAGAAAGAAATCATTATCAGGCCAGGTGTGGTGGCTCACACCTGTAATCCCAGCACTTTGGGAGGCCAAGGCAAGTGGATCACAAAGTCAACAGATCGAGACCATCCTGGCCAACATAGTGAAACCCCGTCTCTACTAAAAATACAAAAATTAGCTGGGCGTGGTGACACACATCTGTAGTCCCAGCTACTTGGGAGGCTGAGGCAGGAGAATCGCTTAAACCCAGGAGGCGGAGGTTGCAGTGAGCCAAGATCAAACCACTGCACTCCAGCCTGGCAACAGAGCAAGACTCTGTCTCAAAAAAAAAAAAAAAAAGAAATCGTTCTCAACATCGGCTTTGGCCAAGAATTTTTGGCTAAGTCAGCAAAAACAATTGCAACGAAAACAAAAATTGCTAGGAGGGACCTAATAAACTAAAGCGCTTCTACACAGCAAAAGAAACTATCAGCAGAATAAACAACCTACAGAGTGGGAGAAAACAGTCACAAACTACACAGCTGACAAAGGCCTAATATCTAGAATCTATAAGGAACTTAAACAAATCAAGCAAAAAACAAATAACCCCATTAAAAAAATGGGCAAAGGACATGAACAGACACTTCTCAAAAGAAGACATACAAGCAGCCAACAAACATATGAAAAAATGCTCATGATCACTAATCACCAGAGAAATGCAAATCAAAACCACAATGAAATACTATCTCACACCAGTCAGAATGGTTATTACTAAAAAGTCAAAAAATAACAGATGCCGGCAAGGCTGGTGAGAAAAGGCGACACTTATATACTGCTGGTGAGAATGTAAATTAGTCCAGCCACTGTGAACAAAGGTTTGAAGGTTTCTCAAAGAACTTAAAATCGACCTACCATTTGACCCAGCAATCCCATGAGTGGGCGTATACCCAAAGGAAAATAAATCATTCTACCAAAAAGACACATGCACTCGCATGTTCATCGCTGCACTATTCACAATAGCAAAGACATGGAATCAACCTAGGTGCCCAGCAATGGTGGACTGGATAAAGGAAATGTACATACACACCATGGGGTACTACACAGCTATAGAAAAGAATGAAATCATGTCCCTTGCAACAACATGGATGCAGCTGGAGGCCATAATCCTAAGCTAATTCTTGCAGGAACAGAAAATCAAATACTACTTCTTCTCACTTATAAGTGGGAGCTAAACATTGAGCACACAGGGACATAAATATAGGAACAATAAACACTGTGGACTACTTGGTTGGGAGGAATAGAGAGAGGGAAATGGGTTGAAAACATACCTGTTGGGTACTATGCTTACTACCTCGGTGATGGGATCCATACCCCAAACCTACCACATCACACAGTATACCCATATAATGAACCTGCACATGTACCCTCAGTATCTAAAATAAAAGTTGAAATTTAAAAATTTTTAAAAAGTTACTAATGCAAAAAAAAAAAAGCGGGGGGGAAGAGGACTTGAGACATTTCTCCAAAGAAGATAAACAAATGACCAATAATAAGCACATGAAAAGATGCTCAACACCACTAAATACTAGGGAAATGCAAATCAAAACTGCAATGAGATACCAGCCATTAGGATGGTTACACTAAAAAAATACAGACAATAACAAGGGTCAGCCAGACTCAGGAGTCCACAACGGGGCCATGGTGCTAGAGACCATGTCATAGGTATGCTTTTGTACCTCTAGAAAAACAATCAGTTGCCATCTGAAGAAAAGACAGTGAGAATCAGAATATTAAAGCTCGAAGGAACTTTAAGGAAGATCGGAATGGAAAGGATCTGTAATTTAAAAAAACACTGGAAACACAGGAAGAGACAGAGCCTTGAGCAGAAGCTCCAGTACCGTGGCAAATTCAGGGGGAGCTGCTGTGGGCAGGGGACCCCTCCATTCCTCTTGTAGCACCCACATGTACCAAGTATCCTTTACCAGGTGTTCCTTGCTTGTAAATACGATGGTTGAGTTGGACCCATTGTTTTAATAGCCTCTCTGACCTTATTTTTTTATCTAAGGGACTTAGTGAGTTTGTGACCAAGGTCACAGCTTATTAATAATAACTGTTAAGTAGAACCTCAATCTTTTTCCTACTCCATTGCCTGATTCTGTAAATAGGTCACACATCAGCCAACTTCTAGTCCTCCAACCTAGGGCCAAGATTAGAATGCTTCCTAGGCAAAGTGCTGGCAGCCCTCTCTTCACTACAGAGCCCTGAGAAGCCCATTTCCACCTGCATTCCCCCAAGGGGGCTAGAGGGAAGAATGGAGGCAGAGGTGGTAGCTGGTGCTGGCTGGCAAAGCTAGGCTTCTGAGCTCACCCACAAAATTGACTTACATTTTAACATTTATTGAGTTATAAAACATGGAAAGGCAAATCCCAGGAACAGAGGGAGAAAGGGATCAGAACAGCACAGCAGGCCACGCACCACAGGGCTCACGCCGGCACTGGCCTGGTATCAAGGTGCTTCCGAGCCCCAATCCTGTCTGTGACTCAACCCCAACACAGAACCTGCCAACCAGCACACCTGGCAGAAGCCCAGCCTGGAGGAATCACAACATATACACCATGGTTAGTGGAAAGGGCCAAACACCCAAAAAGCCACCTCAGCAGACTTAAGAGACTGCTTAAAAAGAGAAAAGACTGGTGATTCTGGTGTAAGGGTCACCTTTTACGTGAAAATCAATAAGCAACATTTTACACTGTTTTTCAGTCAATGGACAACCCTTACCCTCTGCCATCCAGAGCAATCACATGGACCTCTTTCAAGCAGCCAAACCACCCCAGGGAAGGCTGGGGTGGACTCCTGCGCACTTCCCTCCCATGACCTGGCCATCAAGGCAGACCTGCCAGTGCCCCCCAGCCTCAGGAGCAGCTGGGCACCCTCAGAGCTTGGTCTGCCTTGTGCAGAAATAAGGGCAGAGTTCCAGGACGACCCATGCAAAGGAAGTCAGGGCAGGCTTCTGCACCCCCCACCTTTATTACATGATTTAAGAGGGTGAAGGAAAAAGTCAGACATGCAGTCATGTTTTACAAATAATAAATTTATTTCCAAATCCTGAATTATAACCAAATTACAATTCCCTTTAGGTCTTTTTTGCTGCTTTACACAAGGATTAAAAAAGACAGCCACAGCCAAGTCACGCATACACCAAGTGTCCTGGGCCAGTTTTAGATGCGATGGGTCCAGCCACCTCCCGCTGCCCCGGCAGCACCTCGGATACTCTGCAGCCCCGCTCCCGCCATGCCGTGCTCCTGCATGGAAGAACTCCACCTCCTCTGCCAGAGAGTCTGGTCCAGCAGGAACTGCCCTGGGGGGCCGTGATATGCACAGATGAAAGTCCTCAGATGAAA
Source organism: Homo sapiens (assembly GCF_000001405.40). Taxonomy (NCBI): domain Eukaryota; kingdom Metazoa; phylum Chordata; class Mammalia; order Primates; family Hominidae; genus Homo; species Homo sapiens. The sequence continues at coordinate 72,112,581 of NC_000016.10, read as the reverse complement.
GGGCTTTGTCCGCAGCCTCAGGGCTCCCGCCAGAAGGCTGAGGACCCAATACCTGCTGCCATCCTCTCTGGGGACAGCCTCAGCTCACAGACCAAAGCGGGCTGGCGTGCGGCGAGGGGTCATGGGCTCCCCTTGCTCTTTCCGGCCTGGAGTGTAGATCTTCGTAGACCTGGAGACACAGCAGGAGAGATCAGGAAACACCGTGCCCTCACCCACAGCCAGGAGGGCAGGAGGATGCAGAGCCCCAGGACTTACTGTTCCTAACCCATGGTGGGGAGCTCTGGGCCGAGGGATCTCCTCCCCGGCACATTCTCACTCCTCTGCCGTCCCCATGTTCGACTGGCGATGTAATCAAGGAAGCTCACTCATTCCGATATGCTTTAGATCGGATTTTAACAACTCCTCCCACAGTCCCTAGGGGAGCTACAAAAGCAGCTTCCCTCCACCTCACGTGCGCCACTCCAACTGTGTAGCAGCCTGCCTTTGTCCCCAGTGCCTAGGAGCCAACTCTAAACCCTTGGAATTTCCCAAGTGACTGGAGTGTCTGCTATTCATGGGGGCCCCTCAGCCCTCGTTTGAGAGATTATGCTAATGAGGTGACTCTTGGTGAACCCCTTGAGTTTATCTAACAACATGACTCAAGGCAGGCTGGCCTCTCTGCCCCGGGGTTAGCACTGGTGCTCTGAGCCACGTGCTATCAGCCTCACCTCTGGGGAGGAGGGGGGACTGGAGGCTGAGCTCTACCACATGACAATGATTCAGTCATTCATGCCTAAGTAACAGAACCCCAATGATAAGAACTCTGGACACTGAAGTTCAGGTGAGCTTCCTGGCTAGCAATAACCTGTCATACTGTCATGCATCAGTGTGCCACGGGGGGACGTGGTCCTGAGGACAAACGAGGCTTCGCATTTGAGACCCTCCCAGACCTTGCTCTATGCATCTCTCCTTTTGGCTGGTTCTAATTTGTACCTTTTTGGTATAATAAAGCTATAATGGTAAGTACGGCACTCTCCGGAGTTCTGAAAGTCATTCTAGCAAATACTGAACCTGCAGGGGTCCATGGGGACACCAGTAAGGATGGTGTCTACACCTGCAGCTGGTATCTGAAGTGAGGGCGTTCTCACGGAGGCCTGTGCCTGCGACCTGTCAAGTCTGGCCTAACTCCAGGGACCAGCACAGACGCAGAAGCCCAAGGCGCACTTCTCACCACTGCACTGGGGTTTCCAACCCCCTCGCTCATGAGTAAAGCTGTGAAACCCATCCTGCTACTCCAGGCTGCCTCAGGCCCTGAATCCCTGCAGGTGTACTGTCGCTCCTTTAAAGCTGTCAGGAACTCCTCCCACACATCCATGTGACCACCAAATGCACAAGCAACTTCTGTCACCAGTTTGCCTTCACACATGCACCTTCCCATAAATCCTGACCCTGCATCAGGGCCTGGTCTCTGGCAGCCTCCTGGGATGGGTGCCACCCCAGCCAGAGCCCGAAGGCCGGAGCTCACCTGACACTGCCCAGGGGGCTGCGCTTCTCCTGCTCCTGCCGCCGGGCTCGCAGCTGCTCCTCGGCCAGCGCCATCTCCTCCTCCATGGCAGAGGCTTCCTCTTTGGCCCGACGACGGTTCTCCTATTGAAGAGGGACAGACCTGGCTGAGCCTACTGGGGACCACTAAGGAAGGAGGCCTCGTCGGCACCCAAGTCCCTGCCACAAACCAGGTGCTGCATCCACCAGGCCAGTGCTCCACATGGCTGCCTGCCCCAGTACCAAAGCCGCCTTCTCTTCTGCAGCTGAGGCCTGCTTTTTTCACTGACTCAAGACACTGGACAATCAGTCCTAACTCAGTCATCCCTCAGTCCAGGAAGTACTTACATTTCCTTCTTTTTTGAAAAATCAAGTTCACAACTATGCTAGGAAGTACAGAAAAACAGGGAAGATGTGATTACCTGCTGGCTGGAAGAGACAGGCATAAGATGCAAGGGAGCCTGGTATGGGGAGAATTATGCTACGAAAAGGGGTAAGCCAAAGCCCAGCACCATTTTGCAACCCTAAATATGGATCTAGGCAATGGCCATCAACAGACGCTAAAACCTCAAGATGGAGGAGCAGTGGAAACCTATCAGGGAAGAGGCAGGCTGCCACCACTGGGGCCCCTCATCCATCCTCCCATCAGCAAAGGTGGGGCCACCAGACCTCACATGCCTCCTGAAGGCATCTAAGAGGAGGTTCACAGTGCCACATGCAGGCATCTCTGCCACACGCAGCTCAGCCGGGATCTAATTGAGCGGTTGGACTCATCGCCAGCTTACAGCAAGTGCACGAAACACAGGCACAGGTTAAACACCGCTGTGAGCAAGCAATGAGGCAAATACATCATATGGACTATTCGACAGGACAAATGACCTGGCTGCTCCAATAAATCAATGTCATGAAAAAAAGCGTGGGGTGGAGCCTGTTCTAGAATGAAACAGTTAACACACATAAGCAGTTGCAATGCCTGGATCCTAATTCAAGCAAATCGATCATAAGAAGTTATCTTTGAGATAAATGGAGAAATCCAAATGCGGACTGGAGACTTAGGTGACATTAAGTATTCATTTTTTTATGAGTGATAACGGCACAGAGGTTATATTTAAAATTTTAAGTCCTTTTAGTCAGAGACACATACTCAAGTATTTATGGATGAATAATGTATGAGATAAGCTTTAAAATATTCCAGAAAAAAAAAATGGATGTGTGTGGAGTGGGGTAGGAATAGTGAAATTGAACAAACGTTGACAATTATAGAGGCAAGGCAACGAATTCATGGTGGCCTGTTGTACTGTTTTTCCCACTTTCATGAATATTTGGACTTTTCAATAATGAGTTTTTTGGTTTTGTTTTTAAAGGCTCAGCCTACCAAACAACTGGAGTGGGTGGTGGGGAATCAGACAGACCCAGCCTGCTGGATCACAGCCTTTATGTTTGCAGAGAGAAGTAAGTGGGTTGGATGACCGCAAGTCTTCAATACCAAGCGGAGGGAACACCGACCCCACAGGCAAACAGCACCCCTGCGAAGAGCACAGAATCCTCACCTGCCGTGACTTGCCCGCCTGTTTCACGCTATAGAACATGGGGCCCAGCTCCGCCAGCCACTCCCCGTCCACAGCGGTCACACACTGCATATACTCCTGCGGGCAGAAGGGCAGGGAGGCGAGGGTCACAGGAGGGCCAATGTCCCTCCCAGAGTGGTTCCACAATTAGGAGCCACATGGGAAGGGCCCAATCCCTGGCCCTGCAAGGCTGAAAAAAGGAAAGGAAAAACCCCAGATACTCCCATCCAAACTCCTCCACACTTGAGAAAATGCCCCCAGTATCTAAAAGAAAAGGCCCAACCCCTCCGAAAATCCTTCTAATGACACCAAGAGGGGTTGCTCATCCCAAGCAGCAAGTGGGGAACAATCGTGCCCATGCAGCTGAGGTCAATGCAGTCTAGAGGTCAACCCTGTGCAGAGCTTCCCCAAGTCCCCAAATGAAAACCAACCTCACATGCCCCGCAAAACAATGCATGTGGCCTCAAGGCTCCCAGGCTAAAAGCTCATGCCAGAACGCAGTGAAGGGTTTCAAAGCCTGGCCAGACAGGGGGCCTGCATTATGCAAGTGCCTTGGAAAAGACTCACCTTGGTGGTCATGACCAACTCGTGATACACTATGTAATCTGGGGTGTAGCCCATTCCAAAAAGGGAGCTGGTGGGGTGCAAGTGGCAGGGCATCCCTGTGCGGATGTTCACGTACTCCCCGATTCCCTAGGGAGGAGACACAACAGGCAGCCACATCAGGAAAACAACACCCATTTGGGCAGCGACCCCATCCCTTAACACTCTTGACACAGCCTTTGGCGGAAGCCCAGATCTGCAGAACCACACCAGGACAAAGGAAGAACTTTGCCCTTATACAGGTATCAGGCTGGGAGGGGCTCACTGGGCTCCTGGGTTCACCTTGAGCTTGGCTGCTTGGTGGAAATAGGCAGCACAGATGCACTTCCTGACGATGTCCCAGTCAGTGCCACACGAGGCCAGGCTCATCCGCTGCTGCACCATGATGTCCTTGAGTTGAGCTCGCACCTCCCGGACCTAGGGCAGGAGACGGAGGCACCAGGAGGGAGCCCTCCTTTCCTCTCGACCCTCCCCTCATCCCAACATCCTGCTCATCCACCACTCTACCTTCCGCATGGCCTTAGCATGGATGAAATGATCGTTACACCAGATGGTGGAGTAATTATTGTTCTTCCACTGCAGGTAAACATTCAGGTAGGTCAAATGATCGCTCTCAGGAACAGCGAACTTCTCCCGGATTTGATCACTCTCCTCCTCTCGACCCTAGGAAGGGAAAAAGAACCTTCACTCTAAGTACAGGGGGGTCCAGGCCCACTGAGCACATCCCAGAGGTTCTAACACTACCACCTACCCACACATAGAACTTCAAACATGTCAATAGGTTGCCCTGACAATTTGAGAAAAATTAAAATAATTTTTAAAAAGGTCTACTCTAAAACATGAGGGCTCAAGAGCAACCATACTAGAAGATAAAAAATGCTCTTGCAAATTTCCAAAGCATTCCCTGAGAACCACTGGCCCAGCCCTTCCTTTCCCCTACCCCAACCTGCTTAACCGAGAACAGCAAAATCATTCTTCAGAAACTCTGATTCTGCCCTCTGTTCCATTTCAGTAATACAGAGAGAAGCCATTCCCCTCCCCAACACTTCCTCGAGCCCTCCGGGGAGAGGGGAGCCAGCCGCTGCCCCACCTTGGGCCTGTAGAAGATGGCTGGGACCGAGAGCATGGAAACGATGAGCAGGATCTCGGAGCTGCAGCCCATGTCACAGGACACGATGAGCATCTTGGACAGGGCAGGGTCCAGCGGGAACTCCACCATCAGCCGCCCGGTAGAGGTCAGACCACCTAGGAGAGATGAGCAAACCCGGATATTTGACGGGACAGTAGAGGAAAGAAGGAAGTCAAGCGCCAGCACCCATGAGGCTCCCGGGGCCGCCTCACCTGTGTTGTCCAGGGCCCCGAGGATCCAGAGCTGATACATAGAGTTGAGCATGTTGTCCTCCGGGGGCGGGTCCATGAAGTGGAACTGCAGCAGGTCCTGCACCCCGAGGGACTTGAGCAGCAGCACCACGTTGGCCAGGTTAGTCCTCTGGATCTCGGGCACTGTGGTGGTCAGGAGCTCATTCTTGTAGGCGCTCTGGGTGTAGAGCCTGCCGGGGAGAAGACCCCATCTTCTCACCACAAGGAAACCCCACAGCAGCCAGTACAGATGAAATCCCACAGGGAGGGAGGAAATTCTCATTTCTTCTCCCCACCCACTACTTCAGTGAATCACTGACTTCCACCTATTCAAAACTCCAATCTGCCAATTTAGCCCTTCTTCTGGAGCCTCTTACATGTTTCATTTCTTTTTTTTTTAGACAGAGTCTCACTCTGTTGCCCAACCTCTGCCTCCCGGATTTAAGCGATTCTCCTGCCTCAGCCTCCCGAGTAGCTGGGACTACAGGCATCCGCCACCACGCCCAGCTGATTTTTGTATTTTTAGTAGAGATGGGGTTTCACCATATTGGCCATGGTGGTCTCAAACTCCTGACCTTGTGATCGGCCCGCCTCGGCCTCCCAAAGTGCCAGGATTACAGGCATGAGCCACCACACCCAGCCATCTGTTTCATTTCTAGAACCAATGGGCCTGGGACTAGAATCATGGCTGGGTTTTATTTTCTTGATATTTTTCTATATTCACTAACGCTCTATAGTGAATACATTAATTTTTTTAATTGGAACAAAAAAGGGGAAGAGAGCCAGGCAGAGTGGCTCACACCTATAATGCCAACAGTTTGGGAGGCCAAGACAGAAGAATCGCTTGAAGCCAGGAGTTCACAATACCAGCCTGGGCAACATAGCAAGACCCCATCTCTACAAAATATGAACAAATTAGCCAGGTGTGGTGGTGCCTGCCTGCAATCTCAGCCCCTTGGGAGTCTGAGGTGGGAGGTTCACTTGAGTGCAGGAGATCAAGGCTGCAGTGAGCTGTGATTGCACCACCACACTCCAGCCTGGGGTGACAGAGCAAGACCCTGTCTCTAATTGGAAAAAAGAAAGAAAGAAAATGGGGAAAGAGAACAATAGAAATAAAAAGAACCAATGGCATCATCTGTCCAGACCTACCCTCTGAAGGGAGGCAGGCTGTAATTACCTGCATGTGTACCTACATCCACGTAGGTTGGCCTCAGACCTCTGAAATCCCTGGAAAGCCACTCCTTCCTTCCACTCAGTAGCATAGGATGAAAGGACTAACAAGTGGCAGCCCTGCCAGCAGCTTCCAGCCTTGGGGACCAGCTCTAGAGCCAGCATCCTGCCCGCCCCCGCCCGGGCTCCACGCTCAGCAACCCCAGCGCTGCCCCAGAAAGCAGGCTAGCACAGGGCTCCTACCTGAAACACTGACCTGGGCCCGTCCTGCCGGCTCGCCCTGACCGCTGGTTGGCATTGGCCTGGCTAATGGGATAGATCTGCAGAGCATCCATGCCAATCCTGGGGTTGAAGACCTAGGAGGGGACGGCAAAGAGCTGACGAAGGACAGAGTGAGGGGAAAGTGGAAGTAGGCCTGAGACAAAGGCAAGCCCTGGTTGCTACACATGGCAGAGGAAGAGCCAGGAGGCTCTAGAAATGTTCTCATGAACACCTGAAGAAGTCTTCCCCACAAACACCAGCTCTCTGAGCTCTACTGTTAAATTATCTACCTCATCGAGTATTACAAGGGTTAAACAAACCAAGCACAGTGAGTCAATGTGAGCCTCCCACCACCACCACCACTTCCACGCGCTCCCCACATCCCAGGGCCAGGAGCGAGGCCCTGGCTTCCCACCCCGCAGCTAAGTTAGCTTCTGGTGAACACCCAGGCCTTGCCTCCCATGTCTTCTCTTACCTTTAATTTGCAATAACCAGAATCGATAACAAACATGATGCCGTCAACAGTGAGAGACGTCTCGGCAATATTGGTGGCAACGATGCACTTCCGAACGCCATCTGGAGCCTAGAGCAGGACATACAGGAAGGGAAAAATGAGTCCCTCGAGACAGGAAAGGCTCCGCGAGGGGGAAAAGCCTACCTCCTAGCCCACCCCCTGCCAGGACAGTCACATCCCCTCTCGCTTCCTTTAGAGAACTCCAAGAGCCACTCCTGGACATTCCTGCTGACACACCTTCTGGAAGATTTTGGCCTGGAGGTCAGAAGGCAGCTGAGAGTAGATGGGCAGCACAGCCAGGGCAGGCGCGTTCTCCAGTTCCTCCAGATGCTCCACAATCTGGTCTGAGGTCACCTGAGAGCCCAGGGAGGAGCTGTGAGACACTGGAACCCTAACCTCTCATATGCAAGACACACCCGCTCATCACAGTCGTGACCAAGGCACGCACCTCAATGTCCTCTTGGCCAGGCATGAAGATAAGGATGTCTCCAGGGGCCCCCGACAGGTGCACCTGCAAGGACTGCTTCACTGCAGCCTCCACGTAATCCTCCTGTGGGGTCTGCAACAGCAGTGGGGACACAGTCAGAGGGAGGTACTAGAAGCGCAGGCCGGGCATCTCCTGGGAGCCCAGTGGCCCAGGCACTGCTCTGGAATGGAGCCATGGACTTTGAGGGCCACCACACCTCCACATGGGCCTGACTGCGAGGCCTCTACAAGAGGGCACAGTGCCTCCCTGGGCCCTGTACTTCAGCCTCAAAGAAATAATGAAACAAAACCTCACCCAGAGCAGAGTCCTTTGTCCCCGAGTCCCAGAGCTGCAGGCTGCCCCATTTGCCCCATGGTCCCCAGGAAATCTTCTCCAACCCAGTCCCCTACCCACCCTCCACCCTCCAGCCGGCTTCGCATCAGAGAAGTGCGTGGCATGGAAGGGTCAGTTCGTAACATGGTGGCCTCAATACCTTGCTGAAGAGGATGTCAACAGGGAAGGTACGGCCAGGGATGTGGAAGATGGGGACATTCCCAAAAAAGGCAGCAAACTTCTCCGCATCCATCGTGGCTGATGTGACGATGAGCTTCAGGTCTGAGCGCCGAGCCACTACCTGAGAGAAGAGGCGGCTCGGAGGCCCCCATGGTGGGGACCCTTGGCTCCTGTCCCCCAGTCCCATCAGCACCACCCCCGAGGAAACACAAGCCAAAGCTGACAAATGGGCCTATTCAATTCTTACCAATCATGAAGACTGAAGCAATGGAGCCACTGCCCAGAAAACCCCAAGCCACCCTCAGCAGAGCAAGAACAGCATGAACTACAACCCGAGTCTGAACTGCAACCAGAGGCCTCAGGAACCTCTGGCCTACCAGAGACCCCCTCAGCCCACCTGGAGCAACCCACTAGCTACTGGTGGTGCACTGGTCAACACCCCATGCGCAGAGAGACCAAACCACACAGCCCTCACCTCCCGGAGCAGCCCAAAGAGCACGTCAGTGTTGAGGGAGCGCTCGTGGGCCTCGTCCATGATGATGGCACTGTAGTGATCCAGGTCGGCTTCCCGGAGGGACTCTCGGAGCAGGATCCCGTCAGTCATGTATTTGATCAAGGTGTTCTCTGAAGTGCAGTCTTCAAAGCGGATGGCATAGCCCACCTGGAGGTCAGAGAGATGGCTCAGATGCCCTGGCCACCGGCTCACCACCAGCACACCCCGTACTGGGGTCCGAGTCTTAGCAGATCACACCCTTTAGCAAAAATGGGTGGAAGCTACTAGGGAATAACTACATGGCTCAGCCCCCACGCCCACTCACCTCCTCGCCAAGGTTTCCCCCCATCTCTTCACTGACTCTCTTGGCCACTGACATGGCAGCTACACGCCGGGGCTGGGTACACCCAATCATCCCATAGTCCGTGTAACCATCTTCATGCAGGTACTGCGTCAGCTGAGTGGTCTTACCACTCCCCGTCTCCCCAACCACGATCACGATGCTGTTGTCTCTACAAGGACAAGCAGGCAAAGGGCTTATCAGCCGAAGTGGAAGGCCAACACCCAGCCTCCAAGAAGACTCCGCTACCTCCTATCCCCATGACTAGCTATCCAGGGAGCATGCCGGTTTAGAAGGGAGAATTTCACTGGGACAACAGCCTCTTACTGAGATAACACCTGAAACATCTGGAATACGGTGAGGTTTAAACAGGTGAGCTAAAACAAAATGGTGCCATCCCGTTACTTTGTGCAGTGTACCCCAGGCATGAGGTCAGAGGAAAAAAGTATTTCCCTTCTCCACTGGGTGCAATGCACAAAAGAAAAAGAGCTCCTGGGTAAACATGGGAGACCAAGGGCACCCCTGACTTGACACTAGATTCCTGGGCCCCGGGTGAAGTTACCTGATAATAGTGAGCAGCTCCTGCTGCACTGCAAAGATGGGCAGGTACTGCCTCTGCTCCAGGATGGACTTCTTCTTTGCAAATTCACTGCTGGCTTCGCTCTTTCTCTTCATGTGATCTGCAAACTTCTGCTCTGTCCTAGGAACACACAGCAGCCTAAACACCCTGCATGGTGCCCCATGCTGTCCTTCCTGATTGGGTTGCTGCCCTCCTTCCTACGCTCAGGAATGAGGACTTCGGCAAGAGTCTGAGACACCAAAGCAGCCAGGGAATCTGAGATGGTTCTCATCGACCTCAGGACTGAAACTGCTACTTGAGAATCCATCATCCACAACACACTCGACACCACAGGGTCCAACAGAGCTAGCTGAACATGGATCGGAGGATTTACAGATCACCATATTAGCAAACCCTCTAACCAAAACAGAGTGAGCAGAAGAGGAGTGGAAATCAATCCCCAGGTCACTAACTTGTAGAAAATACCCTCGGGCAATTTCAGCACAACGTCTAAAGGGCTAAAATAGCCACACAGGCCTTGTGAGGAGGTAAGGGTGCAGAGCACGGGACATGGGTCAAACTTCCTCCCTCCTCTTGGCAGGACAGCAGGAAAGCATAGTCTGTACGGTTTTGTTTTCAAAGAACTGTGAAAACAGCCCCACTAAACAGTAACCTGCAACCTCTACTGAAAGCTCTCAATGTCTGACACATGTACACACCCGAGATGCAGAGCACTGTCACTTTCTCAAGGCTGCCTGGCAAAAAGACACCAGTTCAGTGCTCCACACAGTCCACACACCCCTCCCCAACCCCCTCCCCAGAGACTTCCTGTCTGATGTGCCGCCCCATGCTCTGCTGAGCTTCCTATTTCTAATTTCACCCAGTCCCTCCTGGTCACCCAATAACTAATACCTGAGGAATTAAGTTAACTAGAGAAGAATAAGGGCTGATCAATAGTACCAACTTCTCGTATGGACATTTCACACAGGAGTGGAGAGAATTATTAACTCAGATGACCGTTCAGTAGAACATAAGGGCATTCGAAGGATGAGGATCTTAAGGGACAGATAAGTCCAGCCACCTGCCCAATGCAGGAATCCCAACTCAGCATCTGCTTAGATGCCTCTATGAGCAGAGAAGTCACTGGCCAATAAGATAACCCTTTCTATTTTGGAACCTCTTTTAAAAATAGTTCTTATAGTGAACTCAAATCTAAGGGACTAAAACCCAGCTGCCCATGCTGAACACCTGGGAGGTACTTCAGCAGAGTGGCTCTGATGTGAGACGGCCTGGGTCTGATCCTAACTCCCTCACTGACAAGCTGGGTGACCTCAGACAAGTTACTTAACCTCCCTGGGCCTCCTTCCTCTCACAACACCAGCACCAGAGGAAGCAGTGTGAGGGAGGAGGAATCACATATAGGAAAAGTGGAGGACAGTGAAGAGACCAGGAGGAAGGGACCAGAGAGAATGGAAGATGCAGAGAGGTATCCTAAGAGTCTCCCACTCAGGAGCCACAAAGTCGATGGGTTCTGCCGCAACTGCCCACATGGGCCCCCATCTTTGGAGCAAGGCTGATGTGCTGCTGGCTGAGGCTGCCCACCTGTAGTCCACCTTCCCATCCTCCGTCACAGCTTTATCTGGCTCTTCCTCCTTCTTGACGCCCATTATATCTCCCAGTTTGGTCCCCGCCAGTTCCCAGTGTTTGTGCTGAGCCTGAAAAGGAAAAAGGTCAGTCTGCTCCATCCTGCCACATGACTGCGAGCAATGGAAAATCAATCCCACGGGAGAGCAGACTTCACCCCGCAGGTGGTAAACTCCCCCAGAGTGCTGGTGGCACCGAGCCACATTCCAATCCTCAAGCCTCCAGCTCTCCCAACACCAGGCCCCGCAGCTGTCGGGCCTAAGGACTTGATAGAGGGGACTCCTAACTTCTATCTGTGGGCCTAGTAAGACTTATGAAGAGAAGAAAAAAGAAAAAAATACACATAAACTTCCCAGCCACGAAACCAAGAAACCAACCTTCTTGCGCTCCTTCTGCTCCCTGTGCTTCCGCACTGTCTGGCTGCCTTTCCGAGCAATGATGGCCAGGTCAGAAGTAGCATCCTTCACTGGAATCACCGGCTCCGGCTGCAGCAGTGGGGAGAAAGAGCGATGCCCGTTAAAATCAGCAAGAAGGCCATGTTCATAAGATCCCTACTTGTGAAAGGGACTGCTACCCTCTCATGGTACAGGGCTATTTTCTCCCTTCTCTTCTTTCTGTCTCCACATCAGGCCTTTTTTGTGTGTGAGACAGAGTCTTGCTCTGTCGCCCAGACTGGAGTGCAGTGGTGTGATCTCTGCTCACTGCAGGTTCTGCCTCCCAGGTTCAAGCAACTCTCCTGCCTCAGCCTCCCGAGTAGCTGAAACTACAGGTGCCTGCCACCACACCCGGCTAATTTTTGTACTTTTGAGACAGGGTTTCACTATATTGCCCAGGCAGGCCTTGAACTCCTGGTATCCAATGATCCACCCTCCTCAGCCTCCCAAAGTGCCGGGATGACAGGCATGAGCCACTGCACCTGGCCCACATCAGGTCTCTCTGAGCTGTCTTGTCCCTGGCCACAGAGGAGCCTCACCTGCTTGGTGAAGACAATGCGCCCATCCAGAAAGGGAGGCACCAGATTGTGCACCATCAGATGCACCTTGGCCGCGTTGTCCTCTTCAAAGTCCTCATCCACCTCCAGCCGATGGACCACCCCACTGGTGAGCATGCGGTTTGTCTCCCAGCGCTCGTTATCCTGTGAGGACACAATGGGAGCCACACTCAAATTGCCACCCCAAAGGTCGTCCTGAAAGGTTATGAGGTAAGTCCACACATCAAGTCCTGACAGAAGGCCACTGGTAGCTGCAAAGATGTCACAGGCCTCTACCCACAGCTCCAAAGACAGAAGAGGTGCTGATCCCAAATCACCTGCAGGAGTTTGTTCCAAGCAGCAGCACCTTTCATCTAAATCAGAACCTCTAGAGGGACACACAAATGGTAAGTGTCCCTAGCCCACATCAGAGACACAAAGAACACAGACCACAGAGGCAGGTCCCAATGCACCTGTTCCCATCAACAGTACTTCCCCTCAAGGAAGTACTGCAAAAGAGAGAAGTACGAGCCGGGGCTTTCCTTAAGCTACTAAAAGGCTCATCACCCACTCCTCTTCCACCTCCAGAGGATCTGGGCTTCTCGGCAATCAGGGGACAAGCTGTGCTGCCCTCACTTGGGGATAACCTGCTGCTTCCCCACGTGCTCTACCTCCAGCTCTGAATCTGCTCCAACTTCTGCAGGCAGCCTCACCTCATTGATCTGTCTCCGCTGAGCTGAAATGCGCTTCTGCTTCTGTTTATGCAGGTGCTGCTCCCGCCTCCTCACGTAGTCCTCGGAGGAGTAGGCCAGCGGGTTGTGGAACTCGTCATAGCCCTCGTCCATCATGTACCAATCCCGATCGGCTTGCTGCAGGGCAGGAGGCAAAGCAAGGGAGTGAGGGACAGATCAAGTTTATGCACGAGACATGGCCAACAGAAGAAGGGACGCTTGGTAGGAAGTCACTACTGCAGTGGAGCTACCCTTGTGAGGGGTGCAGGAGAGGCCTCCCTGCAGACACATGCCATCTGGAGGAGAACCACAGTGGGCAACTACACAGGACTGGAGGGCAGCCCATCACGATAGCACTTCTTAGATTTACCACATGGTGGCACCAACACATAACAGAACAGTTAGGTCAGCCTACTGCAGTGAGTGACAGGGTTCACCGTGCCGTCTATGCCTCTGCAAAGAGACTCCAGGGCATTGGGTCTGAACAGGGCTCAGGTGTACCCTCATCAAAGCCCAGTCCTGCTAGAGGGTCACCCATCTACAGACGGCCACCAGCCCCGATCAGCCCCTCAGAGGTATAAAACTTTACCCTCTGGTCATCTTCCCACTGCTGCCGCTCCTCCTCCGTGTCAAATGAAATTCCTTCTTCGCCCTCCTCACGTCTTCCTGGAGGAGCACAGGAAGCAGGTCAGTCCATGCCCTGGCCTGTCCCCAGCGGCCCCAGACAGATCTGCAGGGCCATGCAGCTCCAGAAGGGCAGCCCCTGCTCATCCTCGCTAGGGCAAGCAAGCCTGCTCTTCTGCCTGCTGCCCCACAGGCCTCACCTCGGCCCCTGGACAGACGCGGGGTGGACCCCAAGTGTCTTCTGTCATCGGCCCACTCGTTATATTTGTAGGAGGGAGTTGGCAGAGGCGTGTCATCCGAGTACTTGCCCCTCACAGACCTGGGAACAGCAGCACCAGCATCACAAAACTGTCACTGAGCTAAGCCACGTCCTCCTGGCCACCATCTGCTCTCCCTGCCGAGGCTCCTTACCGCCCACCCAGCGAAACTGGGCTGCTCTGCCCAGAACATCACCTGTCTCGATCTCGAGTGGACAGCCGATGGCTCCGCTCAGAATCCCGATAGGAAGGCGTCGGGGAGGGCGATTCCCACTGTGAGCGCCTTGAGGAGCCATAGCCACTGTCCTCTTCCTCCCAGGTAGACCTTGAAGGGGTGGCTGCATCTGGGCCACAAAAGACACATCCACAGGAAACATCTCACTTAACCATGACATGGTCTAGAACCAGTTGCCAAAAGTCAATTCCCCAAATTTACTCCTTTTACTATTTCTAAACCTTGCATGTATCTATAACGGTTAAGATCGGTTTTGACAGTTTTTAAAGATATCTCAATTTTTAATGGTCCAGGATGTATTTTTCCTTTTTTTCTTTTTTTGAGACAAAGTCTTGCTCTGTCGCCCAGGCTGGAGTACAGTGGTGTGATCTTGGCTCACTGCAACCTCTGCCTCCCGGGTACAAGTGATTCTCCTGCCTCAGCCTACCGAATAGCTGGGATTATAGGTACCCACCACCACCCCAGGCTAATTTTTGTATTTTTAGTAGGGATGGGGTTTCACCATGTTGGCCAGGCTGGTCTCGAACTCCTGACCTCAAGTAATCTGCCTGCCTCAGCCTCCCAAAGTACTGGGATTACAGGTATGAGCCACTGCACCTAGCCAATGGTCCAGTTTGCATTCTGTGTTTATGACAACATTTTAAGGGATATTTACTTTATCTCTACAAACACACCCTTCTTGGATATAAGTAGTTCTTTTTAATAAACACTTCTTCTACCTCCAGCTCCCTATTCTTTCCTACCATTTGGAAAACTGGCCATTCAGCAAACCAGCCTCTCACCTTACAGGAACCATATCCACCCCAAGTGCAGAGCTGTGCCCACCTGACTCAGAACCAACTATCCCAAGATGTTCATGGTAGAATCGGGAATTCTGACTCAATGCCTCAGCAATCTCACTGAAGACGAGAGTCACTCACTCTGCCTTTTATACACTTGAATCCTCACAAGCCACCAAAACAGTGAGTCTACCTTTAGGTCGATGTCGTGGGCTCTCGGGTTCATTTCTTCTGCTGCTACGCTCTGACCCTCCATCTCGCTCTGATCTGCTGCTGTGCCTACTTCTATCCCGCTCATCTATGAAGAGTCACACGAAGCTTAAAAACATGCATCCCATCCTAAGGTATACACATCTTCACCCTAGAGAAAGGACAGGCTGCCCACTCACTCACAGGTGCAACCTGCACTGCTCGAATGTGATCCGTGGACTCCTGAAACTCACCTATCCCCATTCTCCCAAGGGGGAAAAATAGTTACTGCCTAGAAAATTTCAAACCCACAGTAACAGTTATTTTCCAGCAAGAATTCAAAAAATACTAGTGCGAGTTTACAGTGAATCATTTTTTTTAATAGTTACAATTCTATCAGCTATAAAACTTAATACTGAGCAAGGACAGCATTGGATTTTTTTGTCTAGCTTTGTTCCATAGCACTGTCCTTTCTCTATCACCAATACTATTAGAAATGCTGGTCTCTTATACATATTTACCCATTATCTCCTTTATCATCAATTTTCATAATAAAACGAAGACCACACACTCAAGGAGAGCAGCTATGTTACAGGCAACAGCTCTTTTCTTAAACTAGTATTCCCAATCCCAGCAGGGTCAAAACCACTCAGGCGGACATCATGCAAATAGGACTCCCTAACAAATGGGTGTTGCAAAAACTCCTGCAACAAGAAAAAGGCTGACACATTTATTCGAATGCTAATGGACAATAGGAACTGTGCTGGACAGTTTACCTCTGTCCCTCTTGCGGTCATAGTCTCGATCCCGCGATTTCTCCTTCTTCCAATCCTTTTCTTCTTTGGACGAGGCATAGACACCATGTTCCCGCCGCTCCCGCTCTCTCTGCCGACTGCGTTCCCAAAACTCTTCGCTCACACCACCCGGATGGGATGGAGTCTCTACCCGAGCAGACCGATAATGTCTGAAACAGGGAGAGCAACTGGTAAAGGCCCCTCCATAGGAGAAAAACTCTGCCCTAAAACCTTTGGCTGTCCAAACAAGTGATCTGTCCTTTTCCACTTTCTCTCCCTGGGACGCAGGCTCACATATGGCAACAACCCAAGGCATTTCTAACCTCTACCATCTCGTCTTTATTCACCTTTGTTTTTCCCCACAAATTCCTACCTACCTTCAGTATTACAGAATCATAATAAAATCATAAAGCTCTAAATCTCCAACAGGAAAACTGAGAGATAAACATGAGCTGTTATTTTCCAGCCTCCGTTCGCTTCCCTCTGGGCTAACCCATACTAAGGCCTTTACCTGTCTTTCCGGATATTTTGGCCAGCCTGGTCACCGCCCTCTTCCTCAGCATCCTTCTGGTCATCCTTGCTCTCTTCCCAGTCCTTGTAGGAGGAGACTTTGGACTTCTTCTTGTCCTCCCCATCGTCCTTCTCCTCTCGCTCTCTCCGTTTCAGGGAAGCCAGCAAGTCCAGTCCGAGTAATGAAGGGCGGGGAGCAGGAGCCTTGAAGACATGCTGCTCGCTGGCCGCACTTTTGGACTTGCAAATAAGACCACCAACCTGACAGTCCAGATCAGTGCCTTCCAATCGATGGATCGAGGCATCCTCACTGGTGTCCCCCATCACAGGATCTGGGATTTCTCTGGAAGGAAGGCAAACCATTTGGTACTAGAGAAGGCTCAGCTCTACTATATCCCACAATAAATGCAGTTATGGTTATATGTAGGTGATTAACCTTCCCCATCTCCCCTTAAGACCAGGACTACTTTTGCTCCCTCTCTCCAAGACCTTTCCATCAAGTCACTGCCTATCTCCAAAGATTCTCCTATTCCAACCCCCAATAAACACCAAAATAGATACACACACACACACACACACACACACACCCCATACATTCCTCCCCAGCCCCCACAAAGATCCAAGAGGCAATAAAAAGTCTCACTAAGGGACACTTTCTAGAGCCTGATGTCAGCAGCTGTAACAGGGATGTAGGGAAAACACCACTAAATTTGAATCAGAAACCTCAATTAGAAACCAGGCTCTTGACACTTTCTACCTGTATGATGGTAAGCAAATAACTTAATCTTTGTTTAGCCATAATTTCATATCTATTAAATGGAAAAAATTTTTACCTTATCTAATCCATGAAGCTATTGTGAGAATCAAACAAAAAGTGTATGTGAAACCATAAAGAGTAGCTCTTTATGTAACCATAACAGTTAACATAAATGTAACTGCTACATTGTATTATTTGCTATCCTCCTATATACTGTTGGTCCCTCACCCATTTTTTTACATGAGTTCTACCTCTTCCTCTCTTTAAACAACAGGTACAGCAGCACAGAGATGGGGCAGAAGGCTACCGTCCATGTTCTCCATACTTTAGTGGCTTTTCTTGGCCTAGCTGCGTTTTACAGAAAACAATTTACTCACAGCAGCCAAAATCAGTTTAATAACAATCCATGTTCACCAAAAATATTTATGAGAAACACCAGGTTAGGAAAAGGTGTTACTGAGAAGTATTTAAGTGGCTACAAGACTTCTGGCACTCAAGTTGGAACAAGCTCCTCTTTACCTCTCACTACACATCTGCCACTCATCAACATATATCAGTTCTGGATGCTTGGATAATTCCTCTCATTCCAACAAGTTAGCAAAGCAAAGGAGATGCCACCAGAATCCAGAATTGTTTACCAAACTCTAATTAAATGCACAGCTCTACAGAGTATTGCCAAACAGACTGGACACATAATATTAATGCAGAAACAAGAGTTACATTTTGAAAATGCCATCAGGCAGAACAGAAAAAAAGAAAGCTGCATATTGGTGACATCTGTGCGCATGTGAGGAAATCCACACAAGAAGGTAAAGATATACAGGCTCTACTCAATAGTTGTCTAAACTAGGAAAGGTACCCTGGACTGCCATTCTACGCAGTTGAGAGAACACTGGATGTGTTGTTGACTGCTGTAGCTCAATGTCTAGCAAAATAAGCGTTTGATAAATTAAAAAATGAATTAATTTAAACTTATTAAAGGAGGACAGGAACCCAAACATTTCTGGAGACAGCAAGGGAAGATTCCAGCAACACAGGACAAGGAGACAGCCAGAGAGAACTTCATTAGCTGCTGAGACGAACAAATAAGGAGCTAAAGAGCAAGATTCTTGAGAAGGATTAATGGCAAAGAAACTACAAGGCGTACGAGAAAGCCAGGGAAGAAAGAACCTGGATTCATTCATTCAACAATTATTCACTGAGGGTGTCCCTGAGCCAATTGCTGTTCTCGGCGATAGCAACAGAGAACAAGACAAAAATCCCCGCCCACCTGGAGCTGACATTCTAGTAGAAGAGATCGCCCACCAGATTGCCTGGTATAAATGACACTGTGAGAGAGCAGAGGAAGACACAAGGAGTCCTACTCGGGCTCGGTGACAGTCTGGGGTGGGTTAAAGCGGAGGCCTGGGAGAGGGACCAAGGCCACTCCAGGCAGCATCCCTGGATCTCAGCGAGGCCGCTCCAGGCAGCAGGATTTGACCAGAGCAAGGAGGAAGGCCAAGGCGGCCAGGACGGATGCAGCATCCCTGAGGTGAGTAAGGCAAGGTGGGTGACAGGGACGACAGAGGAACTCCCCAAACTGGGGCCCGGACCTGAGCAGGGGACCAATATCCGCCGCCTAGAGCCGCCATGATTACAGAAGGGCAGGCCAGGAAGGAAGAAGGGACTCTCACCTCACCAAGCGCGACTCTTGGGACCCTTCTGTCCCGGATTCTGGGGCGCCGGCGCTGCCACCCCTCGCTCAGACAGGCTCAAGGAGCCAAAATCCACACCTTGAAAGCGGCCATTATTGTCCCTTAATACTTTGCGCGCCCCCTCTATCCGCCCAAAGCTACCATAGAGAGCAGCCTGGAACACGCCCGATTCCTGGATCCAAGTGTGGAACGGTACGCCAACAGGCTCTCAAGGCCTCCTCTGGGGCTCTGATCAGACACTTCCGAGTCTCCTTGTGACCAATCACTCTTAGCCTAAGAGACTACATCCCGCCTCTAGTCTGGGGGCAGGAAAAGGAGGGGAAAAAGGTCGACCATCTTTAATACGGGCGGAGGTGACGCCTAGCTTCCGGTCAGAGCCGAGCAAGGTGGGCGGTGACTAGAAGCTCTTCCGTTTATTGGGCTGTTGAGCGGGGGCCGACCGACGGCCAGGAGTTTCTTTTCTGCGCTTGTGCGTTTTCTGTTCGGTTTCCTTCCCGCTAGCGGGGCCACGAGGGTTGCTAGGCAACAGCCCCTGGGTGACTTGGTCTTAGGGTCCTGTCCGGCTTGGGGCTGATGAAAGGAGCTGTCCGCGCCCGGGCTCTTCCGAGAAGTGGTTGCTGACAGCCACAAAGTGAAAGGGAGTGAGGCGGCGTGGACGAGTAAGGTAAGTGCTGGGGTCCCTTAGCGCTTGTGGGCCAGGAGCAGCGCAACACAGGTGACTTTAAATATGTATATCGGATATTTTGGAAAATGGAGATGCGCGCCCGGCTGTAAATAAAAATCACCCATGCGTTCACACGCAGAGATGACCACTGATTTCCAGTTGTTTTTCTGGAATACATTGTAGTAAGATTCTGTACAAAAGTGAGTTCAAGCTTTTTTTCTTTTTTTGGTGTTTCTGCAGTTGTGGCGCGCGCCTGAGGTTCCAGCTACTCGGGAGGCTGAGGCGGGAGGATTGCTTGAGCCTGGGGAGTTGAGACCAGCCTGGGCAACATAGCGAAACCCCGCCTCAGAAAAAGAGAGGGAGAGAGGAAAGCAGTGGAGTTATTGGTCAAAGAGTATGTCAGTTTTCTTTCCAGAAAGGTTTTGTGTCTGCATTCCAGCAGGAACTCCCTGTGCCTGCCCCTACCACTATCTTGTTTAATTTTTGCCAATTCAGTGACTTTGTAAACATATGTTTTAATTTGCTTTTCTTTGCTTACTGGTAAAGCTTAACTTTTTAGTTTATTTACTGTCCATTTGTACGTCTTCTTTTGGGAATTCTCTGTGGGTATCATTTACTATGGACATTTTCTTAGATGTGGTCTCAGTTTTCCTCTCCTGCTTCCAACGTTTGTCCAGTTGCACCCCTAGCCTCACCACTAACAACTTTGTTCTCCCCTTACTTTCTCCTTTCGATCAGTAACACGGAGGAACTGCTGTTTGTTTGAATTCTAGTGGGACAGATCCGTCTTCTCTTTGACCTTCCCTTTCATTGGTAATTTGTTCTGCTGCTCACATCTGATGACGTCCCTTTGGGCCATCAATGTCCCTGTTTAAAGTATGACCTATAGCTGGAACAATCTTATTTCCTATGTGAATTTTAGTTAAATAATTCCTTTTTTTTTTTTTGGAGACGGAGCTTCGCTCTTGTTGCCTTGCCCAGGCTGGAGTGCAGTGGAGCGATCCTAGCTCACTGCAACCTCCGCCTCCAGGGTTCAAGCAATTCTCCTGCCTCAGCCTCCTGAGTAGCTTGGATTACAGGTGGCATCTGCCACCACGCCCGGCTAATTTTTTGTATTTTTAGTAGAGACGGGGTTTCACCATGTTGGCCAGGCTGGTCTCGAATTCCTGGCCATAGGTGATCCACCCTCCTTGGCCTCCCAAAGTGCTGGGATTACAGGGGTGAGCCTGGCCTAATTCGTATCTTAAAATGTGACTTGTGACAAAAAAAATAGGAAAAGAAATCCTCCCTTTTCATATTTGGAACTGAATTCAAAATACCGACCATCTCAATGGAGTCTCTTATAGATGACCACAAAACTAAGCTTCTTTGTCAAAGAGTTTCTCAAAAATGAAATTTCTACCAATCATGAAAATAGATTATTGTAGTAGAAGGACCCCTGGACTAGAAATTTGGTGGCCTGTATTCTAGTCCTTGTCATTGTAGTAGAAAGTGCAACTGTAAGCAAGCTAGTTTGTAAAATGACGGGGTTGTATTAGGTCCCTTGTACCTCAGTATTTTATTATTTGTTTATGGTATTGTAGTTTTCACACACACTCTTAATTGATCTGTTTGCCGTGTAATGAGGTGCACCTAGTAAGGTGCACACGAAGAATCTTTAAGCCAGGACTTGT
The DNA here is from genome assembly GCF_000001405.40 of Homo sapiens. NCBI lineage: Eukaryota > Metazoa > Chordata > Mammalia > Primates > Hominidae > Homo > Homo sapiens. The sequence goes on along the minus strand of NC_000016.10, from coordinate 72,091,693 downwards.
AATAATATAAAGTATACAATAAAGGACTGTTTAAAAAGTGTAACACATGCAAGAAATAATATGCTGCCATGACAGAGAATATGGATGTTCTCTATATAGAGATATGGGGCAATCTTCATAGGTTAGGTTTGAAATAATGAAAAGTGCTGAAGAGTAGATAAAGTGTGTGTGCTGAACATCTGCCATTGGTCCCTCCACAGCCATTCTTCATCCTCCTCTAGACTGCTCTGGGACAGGGAGGTTTGCCTGCCTCAACAGGCCCCTGCCCTCTGGTTCCAGTTGGAGTCAGCCGGTGGTTGCATGAGCAAAGGTCAGAGGGAGGGAGGAGAGTGGCTGCAACACCTAACAGCAGGCTGCCCTCCTATACACTGTCCTCTCCACTCACCTCTTTCTGCCACACAATTCTTATAACTGCTTCCTACCGTGGCTTCTTCCTCCCATGGCCTAGGGATGGGTACAGCATCCCGCTGTTACTAGCCCCAAAGTAGTACACTTTACCGTATTGTTTTTCTACACCTGCCTTAATTAAACTGCCTTCAAATTACCAAAGTTGAGAGTGTCATCGCTTTCCTGCTGGAACACTGATACAATAGGCTATCTTTTGGGGGTGGGGAGAGAGAGAAAAAAAATATCGGAACGCATATTTGTATTTTTTGGTGAATGCATAACAAAACTCTGAAAGATACATGAGAAACTAATGAAAGCAGTTATCTGGCCCGGGGGAGGGAACAATGAAAACTGGTTCCAAGGAGCAGGGACAAAGAGAGGGAAACTCCACAGTGTTACCTTTCTATGATGTTTCTTTCATACCATGTGAATACATTAGCTACTCTGTGAATTAATTTTTTTTAATGAGGGCTCACGCACTTAATCTAAACTGTCTTTAAACATTGCACCTTTATTTCAGGAGTGACAGTGAGGATTCACATTTGGGTTATTTCAAGATGAGCTTCCTACTGCCCAAGCTGACTAGCAAAAAGGAAGTAGACCAGGCGATAAAAAGTACTGCTGAGAAGGTGTTGGTTCTCAGGTTTGGGAGAGATGAAGATCCTGTCTGTCTGCAGCTAGATGATATTGTAAGTGAATGTCTAAAATAATTGGTTTTTATTAATAATCTGTATATTCTCACTTCAGCATCTGAGTAGTACATGAGAGGGAGTAGTCAGGGTTGGGTATATAGCTGTTCATTTGTTAGTTCACTAAGAGCTGATTGTGTGCCTGCCCTGAACCAAGCCCCCAAATCTGTGTGTGCTGAATCTGTCTTGGATGTCCTTACCCACTAGAAGCTGTCAATGCTGTTTCACCAACAAGGTGATGGAAGAGCAGAAAACTATTAACAAGCATCTGTGAACACTATCTTTTCAGTGCTCGCAATAGTGGGATAATAGTAGCCCCATTTCCCAGTAGGAAAAAAAAAACCAGAGAGGTCAAGTAATTTCCCACAGGTGCAGATCCACTATATTGCAGAGTTGAGATTTGAACTCAGTTTTCTGTAGCTGCAAATAATCTTTTCTAGTGTGCTGCCTCCAGTATGTGCCTGATGCAGAGAGAGACCTAACCCAGAACTAAGACCTCTTACCGCCATTTCTACTGCTACCATCCCGTGTAAGAGCTGAGCGTACAAATCCTCATTTCCGTGGTTACAATGAGGGTGTGATGTGTTAGCTTGGGGAAAAAAGGACCAGAGGATTCTACCCTCAGTCATAAGCAGGAGGAAATACCACAGAGGTCAGTGATGTAGACACTGAAGCCACACTGCCAAAGTTCAAACCCCAGCCCTACTGCTCAGGAGCTGTGTGACCTGGGGCAAATTACTTTACCTTCCTGTGCCTCAGTTTCCCTATCTATAAAATGGGGACTCTGATAGCATATACCTTATAAGAATGATGTAAGGATTAAATGAGTTAACAAATGTTAAGCACTTAGGACAGTTACCACATAGTAATGTTATATAAGTGTCTGCTACTAATTATCGTGGTTTTCATTTCTGGGAGGATTGGGAGGAAGGAGACGTTAGGGAATTTCAGTATCCACATAACATATTTCTAAGTTGTGTTGTTTTAAATGAGCATGGGCTACTTTTATAAAAGCATTCAAAGAAAGAAATTAAAGGAAGAAATAGATTCACACAGTTTTCCCCAAGGATTTGTATGCTCAGCTCTTAACACGGGATGGCAGCAGTAGAAATGGCGGGTAGAGGTCTTAGTTCTGGGTTAGGTCTCTCTCCACAATGAATAGACAGGAATACTCCCATGCTGTCACCCTCCTAAACTCACACAGTTTTCCCCAAGGTCCCCTTCTAACCTCACACAGTTTTCCCCAAGGTCCCTTCCTAACCTCATACAGTTTTCCCCAAGATTCCCTCCTAACCCCGTTGCAGTGAATGAGACTCTGGAGGATGGGGTTATGCTTTGTCTAATGTGGGAGCCACATGGGCTGCATTGTTGGCCCAGGAGTTTTTTCAAACAAAACACTCTGTTGTAGTAACAAGTTTCACAGAAGAAACATTAAGCTGCCTCTCATATTGTAACCTTTGTCTCTCTCGTCATTTGCAGCTTTCTAAGACCTCTTCTGACTTAAGTAAAATGGCTGCTATATACCTGGTAGATGTGGACCAAACTGCAGTTTATACACAGTATTTTGACATCAGTTATATTCCATCTACTGTCTTTTTCTTCAATGGGCAGCATATGAAAGTGGATTATGGGTAAGTGCAGTTGATCTGAAGTTAATTGCAACCTTGTAAGTTTCCTTGGTAAGCATTTTCAGTAGCTTGCCTATTTCCATGTGATGTTGGCTCTGTGAGTCTTATATCAGTACTGTTTCCCCAATTGACGCACTCTCTAATTTTTTATGCAAAACCTTGCTACAAAATGAGAGTGCTTCTGGTATGATTGTCAAATTTTATTTATTTTTTTAATAGTGCATACACATGGTTTGTCAAATTTTAATTTCCGACTTAAGTATGAAGAAATAGTACAGGTGGCAAAGCACTACCATCCATAAGTCTATAAAATATAAAATAGCCATATTAGCTAAATAAAGAACTCTTAAAATTTTCCCAGGAATTTCATTTGAAACAAAACATGTAGTTTTTCTTAAGCTTTTGGACTGGTAAGTGGCATTTATGAAAGAAACATTCCTTCTAGCAAACTAAGATGTGCTTCTCTCTTGCAAAGTTTCCTGCTTTTCGCCATTGAATTTTAAATCATTCTTCAACAAAGCCTGTCAAGAATAAGTAACATGATGTCCTCTTTAGTGCCTTCCACTCCATCCAATTACCATCTCAATACTTAATATTGATGATTGGGTGCATCCATGATTCTGATCATTTCTTACTGTGGTTGATGTGTCCACTTATCTAGATCTGTGTACCCTTTTTGTCTTTATTTGAAAGTATGTGAAATATTATCTGTTTTAAAGTGTTTTAGGCTGGGCATAGTGGCTCACGCCTGTAATCCCAGCACTTTGGGAGGCCAAGGCAGGCGGATCATTTGAGGTCAGGAGTTCAAAACCAGCATGGCCAACATAGTGAAACCCCATCTCTACTAAAAATACAAAAATTAGCCAGGCATGGCCAGGCGCAGTGGCTCACGCGTGTAATCCCAGCACTTTGGGAAGCCGAGGCAGGCAGATTATGAGGTCAGCAGATCGAGACCATCCTGGCTAACACAGTGAAACCCTGTCTCTACTAAAAATACAAAAAATTAGCTGGGCGTGGTGGCGGGCGCATGTAGTCCCGGCTACTCTGGAGGCTGAGGCAGAAAAATGGCATGAACCCAGGAGGCGGAGCTTGCAGTGAGCCGAGAGCGCGCCACTGCACTCCATCCTGGGCAACAGAGCTGCCGTCTCAAAAAAAAGATTAGCCAGGCATGATGGTGGGTGCCTGTAATCCCAACTACTCAGGAGGCTGAGGCAGGAGATTCGCTTGAGCCCAGGAGGTGGAGGTTGCAGTGAGCAGAGAACGCACCACTACACTCCAGTCTGGTGACAGAGCAAGGCTCCATCGCAAAACAACAACAACAACAACAAAAAAAAAACACAAAAGTATTTTAAAGCTGTTTATTCTACTGGAACACATTTGATGTAAGTATTAATTTGGTACAACCTTTTATGGGGGCCAGTTCAACATTATGTATCAAATAGTTTAAAGTTTTTAAACTTTTTAACCCAGTAATTACACTTCCAGGACTTTAATATGATGTTGCAGATGCACATTTAACAAATGAAAGAAATATATGTCAGCTAGAAAAAAGCATATTACTGAATAATTTGTATGACATAATTCCCAATGTTGGGAAAAAAGAAGTTTGTATCTGCACATACACACACACACACACACACACACACACACACACACACACACAAGATTGGAAGGATAGACACTGAAAAGTGACCTCTGGCCTCATCCGTGATTTTATTTATTTCTTTAAAATTTTTACAGTAACATACCTGGTGTTTGAGATACTTTTCTAAAAAATCAATTTTTTAATACCTACCACTCAAAAGGCCATGAATATTGAATGGGCTTTGCACAATGCCCAGGCAAAAGCAACAACAGCAAACGAAGAAACAATGTGCACTCCAACACTTGGTGAAATCTGCTTGATGATTTGAGAAGTGATAAAAATAGATTTTGTGATTACAATAGCTTTTGAAGCTAAAGCTTTGCACATGACAGAGCTTTCATGCTAGTGGCCCACAGCACTGGGTTGAGTCATTTACTAAATGGAAAAAAATGATTGAAAAATTAATGTTGGGCTTTATTTCTGAAGTCTCATTGACAAGAAGAAAATAACAAAGCTGTTTTTCATTTTGTTTATCCTGAAAGTCTTCAACAAGTGATTACTCAAAGTTCTTAGAGCAGTTGTTTCTCTTCTATGCTGTCTAGATCTCCAGATCACACTAAGTTTGTGGGAAGCTTCAAAACCAAACAAGACTTCATAGATTTGATTGAAGTAATCTATCGAGGAGCAATGAGGGGGAAGCTTATTGTCCAAAGTCCTATTGATCCCAAGAATATTCCCAAATATGACCTTCTCTATCAAGACATTTAGTACATTAATTGCTGTCAAAGATGAAGAAGAAGGCACATCTTGACACAGTACCTGAATCCAGCTGTGCTGTGTTTCTGGAGTCCTTTGGAAACATGTGTCCCAGAGGAGAAGAGGTTTGACTTGCGTGTAGAAAACCCGGCCCCTGAGGAAAAGACCCCACTGGTTCTCTGATGACCTGGGATGCCTAACTGTCTACTCCCTGCAAGCCTCAGAGCAGCCAAGTCATTGGTGTTCATTTTCCCCACAGTGATTTTTGTAACTTCTCTTTCTAATGTTTTTCTTTATCCCTTTAATACAGAACCCTCCCAAACATTGGCTAGTACAACTTGATTTCATCATGTTCATTTGATACACAAGTGAACTGGAAAGTCACTTCCCATAGAAGCAAAAGTACTTATTTTCTACCCTAGCTGGGTGCATGTGTGTGCACACACACACACACACACACCCCCACACCCCTTTGCCGGTTCCTCGACTCATACATCCCTCGTGCTTTCCCATCTCCAGTCTGTATTACTGTAGGTTCTCTTCAAATAATTAATTGAGCAGACAAGTTTGTTTTATTTTGGAGCCTTTTTGGCTCTGGCTTTTAAACATTGTCCTGGTTGGCTCATTTAATTTTTTTTTTTTTTTTTGAGACCGAGTCACTCTTGTCACCCAGGCTGGAGTGCAGTGGCGCGATCTCGGCTCACTGCAAGCTCCACCTCCTGGGTTCATGCCATTTTCCTGCTTCAGCCTCCTGAGTAGCTGGGACTACAGGCGCCCGCCACCATGCCCAGCTAATTTTTTGTATTTTTATAGAGGCGCAGTTTCACCGTGTTAGCCAAGATGGTCTCGATCTCCTGACCTCGTGATCTGCCCTCCTCAGCCTCCCAGGTGCTGGGATTATAGGCGTGAGCCACCGCGCGCACCCCATTTAATTATTTTTTATGTTATAAAATTTAATATGGAAAGTGAGAATTTGAACCTTCACCATCCACCACTCTATTCAGGTAAAACAATGAATGAGCCACCTTAGCAGGAGCAGATTTTTCCCAGAAGCTGCTGCCTCTTCCTGAGGCAGAAAATTGGATTACTAAGGCTCAAAACTAAAAGAGATGTCAGCATTGTTGGATAGAAATGTCACCTATATGGGATTTGCCTGTTTTAATAACTTTGTAAGGAATTCTTGCTCTTCTAGGGGTGCCTGGCGCAACCGTGGGCAAGTTACTGCTCCTCTTTAAACCTCGTGGTGGTTATTGAAACAGATTTATTAGAAGGAGAGGGTAGGTGCAGAGCTGGAGAGCCATGGGTGAGGCAGCTTGTGACCTGCCTAGCAGCCGCTGACCACCTCTCCAACAGAAGCCTAGTCCTGTTCAGAGCAGCACTGTCACTGCAAGTCCAGCCCCCTTTGCCAGGGGCTCCATTCCACCCCTTTCCTGCAGGGAGGGGTGCCATGAGTCTTGCTTTTGGCTCATACAGGAGAGAGGGAAGGCTGCCAGGCACTGCTTGTATCCCTGCTGATAAGAGGAGGGAGTCACTCCAGGAATAAGACAAAAGGAGAGGAGGAGGCCATCACCTCTGGCCTCTTCCATCGTACACTTCCTGTCTCTGGTTTAATCATGATGCATGGAGCTACAACAGCCATCTTAGGTCCCCGAGGTGCCCAGCATCACGTAAAACATCGATATGCTAAGAAGAACAAAAAGAGCCCAATCTCTGATGTTATTGAGCTCCTGCATGAACTCTGGACCTGCCTGCCTCAGACTTCTGTGAAAGAATAAAATTTCTTTTTGCCTAAGTCACTGTTAGTTGGGTTTTCTGTTCTTCAGCCCAGATCACACAGTATTTGCGGTATGGTAAGCACTCAGCGCACCAGCCAAAACTCAGAACCTGCGTGTGCAAAATTATCATGTCTTCTTCCTCCTGTTAGAAATAAGTTCTCTTATTTCTGAGTGCCGCAGAGGAAGAGGAGCACTCAGAAGAAAAGTTTCTCAGCAAGGCAAAGTTTACTTCTGCAGAAGGGTGCTGCCCGCGCCTATAGCAGTCGCAAAAGCACACCTAACAAAGGAGAACAGGTTTCTAACCCTAACGCAGTTCCTGCTTCTTTGTCTTTCCCCCATTGGCTGGGGTTGGACCGCACAGTCTAGGCTGACTCCAATTGGCTATGCGCTTGAATCTTTCTCAAATAAGGCAGAGGGTAAAGGTTACAGGTTAAGGTTTGGAGCAAGGCGGTTTACAGCCTATGACAAGAAAGTTGGATCTTTGAAGAGGAACCTTTCTTTTATTCTGACAATTTCCCCCTTTTTGTTGTTATAATTCTTCCTCTTCAAATTATTTTAGTAAGATTTGGCTTTGTTGCTCTTCTTGATTGTCTAGGAGTAAAAGTTGGTCTGAATATGGAGGGGGAGAGACAGAGAAGGTTTTAGTGCAAGCCATTTCTATGAGTCTTTGAACTAACCCACAAACACAAGGTGTGATGCAACAGCCTACAAGGATGAGTGCACTTGTAACAATGGCAAGGGAAGTGAGGATAGAGGCCATAAGTCCTTTCCATTTACCAAACCATCTTTTGGTTAAACCTGTGAAGGGGTCATCTATTCCAGAATTTTCAGCCAGCTCATTTGCTAGGGTGGTGAGGCCTTGTAGAGCCTTGGTAGTGGTTCCATCGGGAGCTGTGTTATTTGGGATCAAAGTACAACATTGGGCTCTGATGATTACACAAACTCTGCCGTTTTCTGCTAATGTCATGTCAAGAGCTATCCTGTTTTCCCAGGCCATTTGGCTGGTGGGACCAAATTGCTCGGCTATCCCCAAATGGTATCTCTGGTATAATTAACAAATCCTTGTTGATTGTAATATATATAGTTTATCCAGTCTACGTTTTTGTTTATAGTAGACCACCAAAATAAGACTGACTCAAACCTGGCAGCTATTTGATTTCGAGCTTTAAATTCATTGGCGGCTACTCGTGGTACTCCAATTGCCTCTATATAGACATGGGGGTCAAAAGACCCTTGAGGAGCTTCTCTTTCTTCCCAAGAGGGTGACTTTTTGTCGGACTGATGAAATGCCAGGGTGAAAGAGATGGCCAGTTGGATTAGAGTGCAAGTGCTGCTCCAATTATTTGGCAGCATACCCAGTAGAGGTCCTCCACAATACCACCAAACATCTGCTTGTGGATAGACAAGGGCAGTCTGATTGGTGAGCTCTCGAAAAGGCTCGGATTCACTGCATCCCGTTAGATTCCTGAAAGATGTAAGTTTTCCCCGTCATGAGAGACAAGAGGTAAAATTGGCATCAGAGGCCAGGAGCCAGATGGCCCTTGGGGGCTGACCCACAGGGAAGTCTTTGACTTTTGGGAAAAGCAGTGAGAGACTGGTGCATGACTTATTACCCCAGGCTGTGGGGTGCTGGAAGAGAGCTACTGTACAGTCCATGCCCGGTTGGTTAGACCATCCAAGCAGGAAGGGAACTATTTGGATTTCTGGCCTGCCCATTGCACAGGCATAACAGTCGCTTTTATTTAAAGTGCAAACTGAATATTTGATCCATTTCAGCCAGGCATTCATTTCTTGGTGTCCGGTCTCGATGGCCAGGGTTTGTTTTAGGTCTTTGACTTCCACTATGTGCACTTTAGTTTTGTCATTAGGTAGTGGCAAGATAGTTGTTTCATTTGGAGGAGATCTTCGGGAAGGAAGGGGTGCTGGAGGGGCGACAAAACGAATCTCAAAGGACCCTATGGGGTCTTTCCCGCTAACATCTGCCCCATACCATAAAAGCGACTTAGGGTGGGAATATGGTTAGTGGAGGTTGAAGTAGTAATAGAAATATGCACCAGGTTACATCGGAGGTGTTGGCAGTTAGAGGAGTTATTTTGTTTAGTAAAATGGATATAAGGTTTTAGGGAGGTGCAGCCTGCTGAAGAAGTCCAGCCTTGGGACTGAGTGGTCCAGAGAATATCGTACCAGGAATGGCAAGGTAGCCAATTATAGGGAATCTTGCAAGGATCAGATTGAGGGTGGGGTGAGTACCAAGGGCAAAGATACTTTTCTGAAGAGGCTAGTTGCCTTTGACTTTGTAGGTCTCTGCAAGGTATGACTAGGCAAGCATCAAACACAACAGCTTGAGGGGAGGCTGACCTGGTTACATTAACAATGAAATGCGGGCTGGGCACGGTGACTCATGCCTGTAATCCCAGGACTTTGGGAGGCCGAGGCGGGCAGTTCACAAGGTCAGGAGATCAACCATCCTGGCTAACACTGTGAAACCCCGTCTCTACTAAAAATACAAAAAATTAGCCGGGCATGGTGGCAGGCACCTGTAGTCCCAGCTACTCGGGAGGCTGAGGCAGGAGAATGGTGTGAACCCAGGAGGCAGAGCTTGCAGTGAGTGGAGATCTTGCCACTGCACTCCAGCCTGGGCAACAGAGCGAGACTCCATCTCAAAAAAAAAAAAAAATGAAATGCCCCTGGGCAATTAGGGGGAAGAAGAGACAAATTAGACCTTTTTGAATGTTAATTTTGAGGGAGTTGGTCCTGGAGTGATGGTCCATGATTCCATAAGGGGTGGGGTCCTTTTTACCCAAGTGTGATGAGTCCACCCCTGTTCAGCCGTTCGGGCTGCTGTTTCAGTTGTTAGGAGTATTAGATAGGGTCCTTCCCACGATGGTTCGAGTTTTCCTCCCTCCAGCTTTTGATGAGCACATAATCCCCAGGCTGATGTGGGTGTACTGGAAACTCTAGAGGCGGCATTTGTGCTAAGAGGCCTTGGGTCCTGAGGGAAAAAAGGGTGGAAGATAGACCACGTATATAGTTTTTAAGAAATTGATGTTTTGTTTCAAATGTAGGGATGTCAGTGGTGGAATTTAAGCATGGCAATCTGTAGAGCGTTTCATAAGGGGACAGGCCGATATCTTTTCAAGGGGCGATACGAATTCTTAGTAAGGCGACAGGGAGGTACTTAGTTCATGGCAGTCGGGTTTCCAAGATTAGTTTAGTTAGGTGATTTATTTATTTTGATTCATTCTTTCTGCTTTTCCTGATGAGGGTGGGTGCCAGGGAGTATGATATTCCCATTTTATCTCTAGTGTCTGGGTTAATCCTTTAATGACCTGTGCAGTAAAATGGGTTCCATTGTCTGAGTCAATGTTCTCTATTAATCTGAATCTGGGTATGGTATCTTCTATTAGTACTTTAACTACATTATTGGCAGTTGCACTTGGCAGGTGAATGGCTTCCACCCAGTGAGTGAGATGGTCCACTATAACTGACAAACATTTGAGGCAGCCTATTTGGGGCATTTCGGTATAAGTCAATTTGGACACTTTGGAATGGCCTTAGCCCAGGATTTCTTCCGCCGAAGGGCAGTTTTCTTAAAGTTTGTTTATTGGTTTTTCTGCATACCATACAACTGTCTGTGACTTGCCTGGTGAGGGTATAAATCCCTGTACACCCATAGGTTCTAAGGACTGCATCACACATGGCTTGGGGACCCCAATGGGTCCCTTGGTGAAGTTGTGTTAAGATTTCTGTCATTAGGGGTTTGGACAACATTTCTTTGTTATCTGGCAGTATCCGTTTCTCTTCTGAGTTTTTGTTAGCCCCTATTTTCTTTAATTTTTCTTTGTCTGCTTGGGAGAAGATGGGGGTTGCAGATGGGGAAGGGAGACAAGGGGTTCAGTGGAAAATGGGTGCTTCTTGGGAAGTAACTCTTGAAAGAGAGACCTTTATGGTGTCCTGGGACATGAACAATGGCTATGTCCTCTGGTAGCTGAAGGTTTTCTAATACTTGCATGATTAACTCTTTGTGGACAAGGTTTTGGCCCTTGCTAGTAATAAGGCCTTGTTCAGTCCAAATCTTCCCAAAGGTATGGGCCACTCCAAAAGCATATTTGGAATTGGTGTAAATAGTCCCTTCTTGATTCTGCAGCTATTTTAAGGCTTGATTTAGTGCGAACAACTCACATGTTTGGTTAGACCAGTTATTGGGAAGTCTCCCTGATTCTACTTCTGTGAGAGTTTCTCCATCAACCACTGAGTAGCCATTATGTTTTTTCTCTTCAATTACCCGAGAGGAGCTGTCTACAAAGAGATGGTGCCCTGTTTTTAAAGGGGTCTCACTTAGATCAGGCCTTACTTTAGTTTGATGATTAAGTCTAAACATTTGTGCTTGGGGTCTCCAGCGTTTGGATTTCCTGTCAGGAAGGTGGCGGGGTAGGCCGGGCACAGTGGCTCACGCCTGTAATCCCAACACTTTGGGAGGCCAAGGCAGGCAGATCACCTGAGGACAGGAGTTCAAGACCAGCCTGACCAACATGGAGAAACCCCATCTCTACTAAAAATACAAAAAAATTAGCCAGGCATGGTGGCATGCCTGTAATCCCAGCTACTTGGTAGGCTGAGGCAGGAGAATTGCTTGAACCCAGGAGGCAAAGGTTGCGGTGAGCCGAGATTGTGCCATTGCACTCTAGCATGGGCAATAAGAGTGAAACTCCATCTCAAAAAAAAAAAAAAAAAGGAAGGTGGCGGGGTTGAGCACATTGTCAGTGGTTAGGGTTAAATCACCTTTTTCTAATAGGATAGCTTCATATTTTAGGATTCTTGAATCTGTAAGCCATCTCCCTGCTTTTTGGCTAAGAATGGTTTTAACCTGATGGGGTGTGCTTAGGATGAGACTTCCCCCAAAGGTTATTTTTCTACTTTCCTCTGTCAATAAAACAGTTGCTGCTGTAGATTGGATACATTCGGGCCACCCACAGGTTACCACGTCAAGAATGTTTGACAGAAAGGCTGTGGGCTGGCAATGGCCCCATGCTTTTGAGTGAGTACTCCTATAGCTGCCCCATTGCTTATATTAACAAAAAAGTGAAATGGCTGTTCTAAGGATGGCAGAGCTAAGACAGGGGCAGTTATAAGTAGATGTTTTAGTTCCTCAACTTGCTGGACTTCTTGTGGGGTCCAAAGAAGGGGGTCAGGCCCTTCTTGGGTAAGTTTTAGATATAGAGGTTTTGTTTTTAAGGCATAAGAGTCAATCCACAGGCAATAATTTCCAGCTAGCCTGAAGAATTTTCTAAGTTCTTGTTTTGTCTCAGGCAGTGGCAGGGATATGATCCCTTCCATTTGTTCGGGCCCTATCTTCGGCTTACCTTTGCTTATTAAGTGCCCCATGTGTTTTACCTCAGGTTCTACAAGCTGGAGTTTACTTTTTGAGACCCGTAACCATTGTTCCCTTAGGAAATTTAGAAAGCTAATTAAAATTGCGGTTACTTGGTCTTTGGTGCCTCTGGAAATGAGCAGGTCATCCACATATTGGAGTAGACATAAGGATGATGAAAGAGGGAAATTCTCTAGGACTTGTTCCAAACTTTGACTAATAGGTTTGGAGAGTCTGTAAACCCTTGGGGTAGAACTGTCCATCACTACTATTGCTTCCAACTGGAATGAGGGTCTTCCCATTCAAAAGCAAATATGTCCCAGCTATCCACAGCTAAGGGGCAAGCCCAGAAGTCATCATTGAGGTCTATTACTGTGAACCACTGGCAGTCATGAGGGATCTTGCTGATAATGGTGTAAGGGTTAGGAATGACAGGGTGGGTGGTCTGGACTATTTGGTTAATGGCTCGAAGGTCTCGCAGTAGCCGCTATGACCCATCCGACTTTTTTACAGGCAATATTGGAGTGTTGTAAGAGGACATATGGGGTTCAAGAAGTCCTTCCTGAAGGAGACCTTCGATTATAAGTTATAAACCTATTCTGCCTTTCAAGGGAATAGGGTACTGTTTTCTCTTTACAACTTCCCCAGGATTTCTTAATTTTACATGGATTGGAGAAACTTGTAATTTTCCCCAATTTCCTTCCTATGACCAAACGTCATCAGAGTGGATTTGGCTCTCCTCTAGGGTGGTAAGTAAGTTTAAGGAAGTAGAGAATTTTCCTTGATTAACGTATAGACCTATACCTAATTTTGTCATTAAGTCCCTCCCCAACAGGTTTGTCCCTGCTTCTGGAATTAACAGGAATTTGATGCTAGCTAATTAGTCCTGATACCTGACTTTGCAGAAGCCCACAGGCTGAGGCCAGGAGGTGGTGCTGGGGAGGAAGGCAGAGAAGATGAGTGATCAAGAGAATGCCAGAACTTTTCTCTTACTGTTGTTTTACCAGAAGCCACTTAATACAATCAGACAATTCTTTAAGAAAACTGCAGAGTGCCTTGTTCTTCCAAGAAACTTGGTGCTGAAGAGATCTAGGAAAATGTGTAAGTGACTGTGTTCTAAGAGGCATTTTTTTAAAGAGTTTGACTGGTGTTTGCCAGTTTCTGGCTATTATCTCTTTCACAGGTTCTAGAATATAGGTCTTATTGGCCTACTAGCGCTAACCTGTTGAAGTTTATTGATGAATCTGCAGGGTGCCTGTGAGGAGAGCTTCACAGAGATGGCCAGACCCTGGTGAGAGAGAGTGACATCAGTGTCATTTTACACCCTGCAAAGGAGGGGCCGTATTTTCGCATGAGAAGAAGGCACATTGGTGATTGGTGGTATTGAAAGCTTATAGCAAGAAAAAGTTCTGTTAGAAGAGCTTCTGTTTCTCAGAGCTCCAGAAGCTTTCTTCTGGGAGACCCTTAATAGCATGACCTGCCATCAGGAGAGGAGGCTCAGACAGCTTGCTTTTGATTCCTGGTGAAGGGTGGGTTTGTTCCAAGTAGGAAAAGCAGCTTCTACTGAGGCAGGGACTCTACCTCCCCACTCTTTACAGAGTCCCAGAAGCTTATTGCTGATAGGGACGTTACCCTGGCTCAAGTCCTTCATGGAAGAGACCAGGAACTAATGGCCAGGAAGCCTAAATTACTTAGCAAATGTTTGGGCCAAGCCATGATTTGGACTCAGCAAGTCCAGAGATCCTGCCTTTACATCATCATCTTTTGTTTTCTGGAGTGCTGGTAGGTTAGATCCCAAACTCTGAAGTACTGTCTGTGTTAAAACACTTTTTCCCCATCCCATTTTGAGCTAGCCTCTTCCTCACCAGGCCCATGCCCTTTCTCCTAATTCGCTTTAAAGAGGCAACAGCATGCAGTGAAAGGACCTCTGAGTTTGTATCAAACAGACCTGGGTTCAAAGTTCTGCTTCCCTGTTTCATAGCTATGTAACCTTAAGCAACTCACTTACCATCTCTGAGTCTCTGTTTCCTTGTCTGTAAAACAAGGACAACAGTTAACTTTCTGGGACCTAGCATTCAATAGGCACTCAATCAGTGAGCATGATTCCCTAAGGTGGAAGAGTTTGTATCACCTTCGGGATTTCCAGTGGGTTTAGGGTGTTTTCTGCCATACTCCCAGTAGACTCTATACCTTCTGACTACCCTGGACCATAAAGGAGCAAATAAAAAAGACTCAAGACTGAACACAACACAGAAATGGGTCAAAAGAAAGCTCTTTATTGATTGACTCAGCAATGCAGGGCTGGCACCCATCAGCTTCAAACCACATCTTATCGCATCCACTCCTGTCCACTCCCGTCCACTTTGCCCTCTTCCAGGCTGAAATCTTGCTTTCAGGCAAGGGCTTCCGGCCAGCCTTGCATTAGTTCTCAGCTATGGTCTTCTGAACCCAGTGCTGGATGGAAGTCACCTTCACATACACACCATACTCAGCCACAGCACAGCTCTTATCAAAGCTTAGGATCCCAGCCGCGTACCAGGTGTCCTCCTCCAGGTCGTGAACGGCAAAGGCACTGCCCGCATCGCCATAGCAGGTGTCTTCCTGGTACTTAGACATGCCGACACAGAAGGTGTGTTCGTTCAGTATGGGCTGCACCCCTACAGGGCTCTTCGGTGCCTTCCATTTGGGGCATGTGCTGCCTTCATAATGCGTTATGCAATCGTATTGGTCAGCCACAGGCAGCATGACATACTTCAGATGGTCAGTAAGTTTAAAGTTGTCACTTTGTCCCCAGCCAGACACGTAACCCACACGCCCTACTTCTGCATAATTCTTTGAAGGTAGGCAGATGGGCATCACTCTCTCATTAACAAGCACCTTCTGTTTGAGTTTGATGAGCCCAATATCTACCTGGTGGTAGTTAGGGTGTAGAACCACCTTCTCAATCTCTACAAGCTGCTTTTTCCCCACATAGAGTGTTAAAGTAGGGGCAATGTCTTTCGCTGTTGCATTTTCTGAATGGTTCAGGAAGAGATTTTTAGCCGTGGTCAGCAGCCATTGTTCATTGATCAGCGTGGCCCCTGTGGTGAGATTATGGTGGGAAACCATCTTAGCCTGCCAGGGAAAGCTGCCTTTGGCATCCAGGTGTCCACCCAGGATCCGCTGCACTGGGTTTGCCGGATTCTTGGGCTTCCCACATACTGTCAAGGAGAGCAAGACACTCGTGAGTGGAAATGTGCAAGAGCCTTTCCATCTGAGAAAGGGGTGAAAGCATTGGCGGCTGTCACTGCTGCATAAACTGGAAAGATTTAAATGCTTTGTCCTTACCACCTGCTGATCTCATTTCCAATAGTTGCAGTTTTAAAATAATTTTTTTAATTGTTTACATTACAAAAAGCTCTATTTCTAAATAAGGAAATGAGAAATACTGAGTTTTTTGAGGCCTGGCTGGTGAACTATATTATATTTAAACAATTATCTCAACAAAGGAATTTTCACAATTCCCTGAAATTCATTGAAAGGGCTAGGGGCCAGATGCGGTGGCTCACGCCTGTAATCCCAGCACTTTGGGAGGCTGAGGCAGTTGGATCACCTGAGGTCAGGAATTAGCACCACTGCACTCCAGCCTAGGCGACGAGAGCAAAACTCTGTCTCAAAAAAAAAAAAAAAGAAAGAAAGAAAAAAGAAAGGGCTAGGAGCTACAATAATTCATCATCTCTGAAGAAAGAGGAATCTAGAGCAGCATTGGCTGGAGCTCATACTTTATAGATGTTGCAGTTAATACGAGGCAGGTTGGTAGTTCCACACCACTCACAGCAGAAGAGGCTGGGCCTTTGCCTCTGGTTCTGAGACGGAAAGGAGAGAGCAACAGTTCCTCCTAATAACGAGAAGCAGGAGTTCCAGCCCATGTCCAGCCTCCTGCTAGGCTTCCATGGATTAAGATTTTATGTTATCCCTTGACTTGTTCTCCCTGGAGCTTGCTTCTCCTTAGACCCAGGGCTCTCTAGCAGGCTCTCTGTATGCACAGGCTCTCCTGATCTGTGGGCAATGCCGACAGTGGATTCAGCCAGTGCCCTTCAGGCCCCAATGAACAAGACCCTGGTGATCCTTAGGGAGTCATCACCTAACTGCTTAAGTCTCTCCCTGGCCAGCTGCGGTTCTCCCACATCCCTCCTCCTGGCTCTTGTGTGCTCAGAGGAAGCCGCACTGGAAGGCTGTGCCTCTAGGACGTTCCCCGCTGGACGCCTGCCTGCTCTCTTAAGTGCTCAGTGCTCAGCACCCACCTGCTTCACATTCAGGAAGTTTATCTCCAACAGCCTTATTTATCCACTGCTTCTTATCATTTAAGGTGTATACTCCTGAAACAAAAGGCAAGAAATGAGCCAAAGGAAAAGTCAAGTCTGCACCCAGAGCAGAGTGAGAAGGCATTTAAGGAGAAGAATTAAAAAGAAGAAGAAGAAAGGAGGCAGACAGGAAGGGAGAAAGGAGAGAGAATACGAGAAGGAGGAAGGGAAAGAGTGCTGTGCTGGAAGCCAAGTGCCTGGACACCAGTTAAGCCCAGCAGAACACACTGTGGTGATGGCGGTCACAGCCAGGCAGTACAGGGAGGGCTCAGGGTTCAAATCCTGACTCTGCCTCTTACAGGCCACCTGAATTTGGGCAAGATACTCAACCTGTCGGTGCCTCTGTTTCCTTATCAGCAAAGTGAGAATAATAACCTCTATTCAGTGGGAAACTGTAAGGACTAAGTGAGCAAATAAATATAAAGCCCTTAGAGCAGTGCCAGGACAGCAAGACTCACTAGGTGAGGGTGACATCATCATCAGCATTCCTTCTTTTCCCACATCTGCTGGAGATGTAAATCTGACTCTGAGATTTACATGAGGTAGGCTGCATGGCATCACCTCCCCTTAACAAAACAGAAAACCTGAGGCTGACAAAAGTTAGTCTGCCCAAAGGGCCATGGCTACTGGCGACAAAACGCTTATCAGAATCTAAATCTCCTGGCTCCAAGGAGAGCAACGAACTTTCTGGCAAATCACCTCAGCACCACCCATCATGGAAATGTCAGAGCAGGGGTTGTAGGTAGAGCACAGAGATAGTTGTCCAGGTCTTACCATCTCCTTCTGTGCGCAGTCTGTAGTAGTTCTTACACTGGTAGCGAAACAAGTGCTCCACATAGCCATTTGCAATCTCAGGGGGCTTCGGGAAGCGGTCATCTGCAAAGAGAGAGAAGCCAGAGAGTTTACCATTTGGAAATTGTTCCCAGAGACCCATGAAAAGTCAGATGAGTGGAAGCTGCTCTGCACATCAATCTCCTTCTACCCCAAATAGAAGCCAACGAAAGCTCAAGCTCCCCTCATTTCTGGCAGGATCCCCAATGTTCTTGGCAGTCCTGAAAGCCCAGAGGTCAGGATAAGAATGGGGAACTGTGTGTTCTCAAAGAAAGAATGCAGACCCGAGAGAGTCAGAGTGGGATGTGGCAGTGCCAGGGATGCATGCTCCTACCCAACTCAAAGACTGACCTGAAATATCCGTGACATCATTGCCTGAGTACAGTGCAAAAAGCTGTCGTCCCCAGAGCAGGAGGGAAATGACAGCTCCCAGGTCACTGCAGAGAGAAAACAAGAAGGAGCGGAAAGCTGGTCTCCCTGCTTCACAGCACATGCATGCATCCACACACACAGGCATGTACACACACACACACACGCACACACACACATGCATACACACACACTCCTCCCACTAAGCAGCCAGAAAAGAAAATCAATATATGGAAGTGCTAGGACCAAGAAGTTGCCCCCACCCTCCGCCCCACATACACGCTTTAGCTGCTTCTGAGCATACCAAGCTTCCAGCAAGCTCTGTCTTGCTGGGAATTCTGCAGAAGCTTCAGAGAGGGATAGAAAGGTACATAGGTATAGGGGCCTCAGTTTCTGGCTGCAGTCAGGAAGGTACATTGGCAATAATTCAGAAGCCCTCCAGGAAAGAGAAACCTCCCTCAGTCACCCCAAAGATACTTCTAATAAAATGTAGATAACTCAAAGATGGGAACAGAGGGCTTAGTATGCTATTCCCTCTACTTCTTGAAATTTTCCATAATCAAAGATTCCTTAAATATATAATTGTTGAAAACAAATGCTTGGTGCTGCAAAGAAGAACTAGCACTGAGACAAAGGACAAAGGGTCTCTCAGCAAGGCAAATTTACTTTTGCATAAGGTTGCTCCTCATAGGTTCGGTTGCCACGAGAGCACCCCGAACAAAGGAAAGCAGAGGTTTTTATGTCTAACGCAGCTTGTCCCTGCTACTGTATCCTGACTCCATTGGCTAGAGTTGGACCGTACAATCTAAGCTGAACCCGGTTGGCTAACTTGAAAAGTGCAGGAATGTGATTACACTGCTGGGAAGGCAGGAAGATCAGTTTTGCCGGGAGAAGCCATTGTGATGGGAGGGGTAATTCACAGAGTGGGTAGCAGATGTGGAATGTGGGCTCTATAGATAACGACTGGCGGGAAGGTTGTTTACCAGCGCAGGGAGAACACAGAGAGTAAGGAAGTCTGGCCTTGAAAGCAGGGAGCAAAGAACAAGGAAACTTAAGCAAGCTGAACCTTTGAAGAAGAATTTCTTACTGTATTTAACAATCCCCCTGTTAAATATTTTACAGTATTTTTTCTTTAAACCCTTTTAACATAATTTGGCTCTGTTATTCTACTTGGGTCTTCTAAAAGAAAAAGCTCACTGGAACGAGGAGGAGGAGGATTGAGGGAGGTTTTGGGGAGAGCTGTTTCAATGAGCTTTTGTATTAATCCTAGGGCACAGGGTATGACACAGCATCCTACAAGAATAAGCAACCCTATTCTGATGGCAAGAGACATGAGGATTGAGGACATAAATCCCTTCCATTTGCCAAAGAATTTCCCATTAAATTT
The DNA here is from genome assembly GCF_000001405.40 of Homo sapiens. Taxonomy (NCBI): domain Eukaryota; kingdom Metazoa; phylum Chordata; class Mammalia; order Primates; family Hominidae; genus Homo; species Homo sapiens. Next base: position 72,072,572 of record NC_000016.10, on the reverse strand, counting down.
GTGAAGGGGTCGTTTAGTCCAGAATTTTTGGCTAGCTCATTTGATAAGGCAGTAAGACCTTGTAGTGCTTTTGGTGTGATCCCACCTGGAGTAGTATTATTAGGGATAAAAGTATAGCATCGGGTTCCGATAATGACACAATCTCCACCCTCTTTCGCTGGTATCATGTCTAATGCTATTTTATTTTCCCAGGCCATTTGACTGGTGGGTCTTAATTGTTCAGCTGTCCCTTTAAGAGCATCTCTAGTATAATTAACAAATCATAGGCTGGGCACAGTGGCTGATGCCTGTAATCCCAGCACTTTGGGAGGCCGAGGCAGGCAGATAACCTGAGGTCGGGAGTTTGAGACCAGCCTGACCATCATGGAGAAACCCTGTCTCTACTAAAAATACAAAATTAGCCAGGCGTGGTGGCACATGTTTATAATCCCAGCTACTCGGGAGGCCGAGGCAGAAGAATTGCTTGGACCCAGGAGGCAGAAGTTGTGGTGAGCCGAGATCATGCCATTGCATTCCAGCCTGGGCAACAAGAGCAAAACTCCGTCAAAAAAAAAAAAATCATCATTGGTTGTAATAAATGTAGTTTATCTAATTCACATTTTTATTTATAGTTAACCACCAGAAGAACGTGGATTCAAATCCTGCAGTTGTCTGATTTTGGGCCTTAAATTCATCTGGCACTCCTCGTTGGACTCCAGTGGAATCTATATAAATGTGGGAGTCAACAGACCCATGAGGGGCCTCTCTTGTTTTACAGTGTTTGGTTTCTGTCTTTTCTGGTTGATGAAATGCCAGGGTGAAAGGGATAGCCAATGGAATTAGAGTGCATGTTCTGCTCCAGTTACTCGGCAGTGTCCAGTAATGGTCCACCACAATACCACCATACATCCGCTCGAGGATGACTAAGGGCAGACTGATGGGTAAGCTCTTGGAAGGACTTAAGCTCACTGCATCCCATTAAGGCTCCAAGGAACACCAAGTTTTCTCCCTGTTGTGAGAGACACAAAGTAAAATTGGCATTGGGAAACGGAAGCTGATGGCCCTCGGGGGCTGACCCTCAGGGTGTTGAGCTTCAGGGAACAGCAGAGAAAGAGCTTGACATGATTTGTCACCCCAGGCTGTGTGATCTTGGAAGAGAACTACCATACAGCTTATGCCCGGTCAGTTAGAAGACCATCTGAGTGGAAAGGGGACAATCTGGGCCTCTGGTCTACCGTGAGCACAAGCATAACATTCATATTTGTTTAAAGTGCAGATGGAATATTTAATCCATTTTAGCCAAGCATTTGCATCTTGACATCCTGTCTCTAGGGCTATAGTCTGCTTTAAATTTTTTACCTTTACAACCGTTACTTTAGTTGGGTTGTTTTGGAGATGGGAGGAGGACGCTGAGCTCGCTATACTTGGAGAGAGTGTTAGATTCCACTCGTTTCCCAGACTCTGGGTGTGGATTTTTTTTTAATTATCATTGTTAACCAGTGGTTGAAGATTTTTATGGGATTTTGTTTTGTAACATTTGCTCCTAATCCATACTGTTTGAATATAGTGGGTTCTTGGGCCATTGTTTGGGGGTTAGCTATAATTAGCAATGAGGGGTTACACTGCAGTGGCTTACAGTTTGGTGGGGTGGGACCATGAATTAGTTGGAGTTTCTGTTTTAGTCCCCATAACTTATTTGAAAAAGGGGGCCTGGCTGTCCACCCTCCATACTGAGTGGTTTCCAAACATCTGTCCAGTCACCACAGGGACTTTTTAAGGTTCTATACTTATACTTGGTTGACTTTTTATGGTATGGACATAGGTACTTATCTACATGAGACAGCTTCCTTTGAGCTTGCTTGTCTCCACACAGGATGACTGAACAAGCATCAAACTGAAGGATTAAAGGATGGTTAGCCCAAGTTACATTGATGACAAGATGACCTTCTGTTGGAAAGAAAAGAAAAAATAAACAAGTGATTATTAAGCCCTTTTTAGAGTTAATTTGGTTGGGGTGAGCCCTGGAGTGACGGTTTATGATCCTGGAGGTGGCAGCGCCTTTTTGACGCGGGTGTGATCAGTCCATCCTCATTCTGCTGTTCGGACTGCAGTCTTAGTATTTAGGAGCACCAAGTAGGGTCCTTCCCAAGCTGGTTTGAGTTTGCCTTCCTTCCACCCTTTTATGAGGACATGGTCTCCAGGCTGACGCTAATGTGCTGGAAACTCCAGCGGTGGCGCCTGTGCTAGGAGACCTTTAGTCTTAAGGGAAGAGAAAGTAGAGTATGGACCAAGTATATAATTTTTGAGGAACTGATCTTTTATTTTGAATGTAGGAATGTTAGCAGTGGAGTATAAATAGGGCAATCCATAGAGCATCTCATAAGGGGAAAGGCCAGTATCTCTCTGAGGAGCAGTTCGGATTCTTAACAAGGCAATAGGAAGACATTTAGTCCATGGCAATCAAGTTTCTAGAACTAATTTAGTTAAGTGGCTTTTTAGAGTCTGATTCATCCTTTCTACTCTTCTTGAGGAGGAGAGATGCCAAGGGATATGGTTTTTCCATTTTATGTCTAGTACCTGGGCTAACTTTTTAATGACATATGCAGTGAAATGGGTTCCATTGTCTGAATCAGTGCTTTGTATTAGTCCAAATCTGGGTACAATGTTTTCAATTAATGCCTTAACTACGTTACTGGTGGTTGCATTTGAGTGTGGGATAGTCTCTACCCAGTAGGTAAAGTGGTCTATTATTACTAATAAGTATTTTAAATGACCAATTGGGGGCATTTCAGTATAATTAATTGAACACTTGGAAATGGTCTTAGCCCTGAATCTCTTTCTCCAAGGGGCGGTTTTCTTAGAATCTGCTTACTAGTCTTTTTACATATTAAGCAACTATCTGTAACTTGTTTGGCTAGGGTGTAAATTCTTATACATCCATAGACCCTGAGAACTGCATCGCACATGGCTTGGGATCCCCAGTGTGTCCTCAGATATAGTTGAGACTAGATCTTCCACATAACGGGCTTGGATAACATTTCCTTTTGGTCTAGTAACAGCCGTTTTCATTCTGGTCTTCTCCTTTGGCTCCTATCTTTATTCTTCTTTTTCAATGGAAGAGAAAAAGGAAATTGCAGTAGGGGAAGGAAGACAAGGAGTTAAGTGAAACATAGGTGTTTCGGAGGAAACAGCAGCTTGTTTGGCTATCTGGTTTGTTAGGTTATTTCCTCGACTTTCAAAAGAAAGGCTTTTCTGGTGCCCGGGTACACGGACAATAGCTATTTCTTCTGGCAACTGAAGGTTATCCAGTACTTGGATGATTAACTCCTTATGAACAAGGTCATGACCTTTACTATTAGTGAGGCCACATTCAGTCCAACTTTTTCCAAATGTATGAGCCACTCCAAAGGCATACTTAGAATCAGTATAGATGGTTCCTTCCTGGTTTTGCAAGTGCTTTAAGGCTTGGCTGAGTGCAAACAGTTCACAAGTTTGGGCAGACCAATTATTAGGCAATTTTCTTGACTCTGTTCTTATACATAGAGAATTTCTCCATCGATTACTGGATACCCGTTGTGTCTTTTTCCCTCAATCAGCTGGGAGGAACCATCTATAAATAAGTGCCGTCCTGTTTTGAAAGGGATCTTTCCTAGATCTGGCCTGAGTTTTGTTTGGTAGTCAATTAAATCTAGACATAGGTGTTCTCTCATCTTTTTTTAGTAGAATAGCCCCATATTTTAAGATTCTGGAGTCAGTTAGTCACCTTCCTGCTTTTTTATTTAAAATAGCTCTCTAACTTGGTGGGGTGTGCTTACTGTTAATCTCCACCCAAAGGTTAATTTTCTACTCTCTTCAACTAATACTGCTGTAGCTGCAATGGATTGGATGCACTGAGGCCATCCACAGGTGACCAGGTCCAAAATTTTTGACAGGAAGGCCATGGGCTGCCAGCAGCCTCTGTGCTCTTGGATAAGCACCCCTAAAGCCACCCCATTTTTCACGCTGACGAAAAGGTGAAGTGTATTTTCTAGGGAAGGTAAGGCTAGGGCAAGAGCAGTTATAAGCTATTCCTTTTAGCTCTTTGACCTGATCGACCTCTTTAGAAGTCCACAGGAGATGCTCAGGTTTTCCCTGGGCAAGTTTTTGGTATAAAAGTTTACTGTTTAGGGCATGTGAGTTAATCCTTAAGCGGCAGTATCCAACTAACCCTAAAAATTTCCTGAGTTCCTGTTTAGTCTGAGGCAAGGGTAAGGACACGATTCCTTCGACCCATTCAGGCCCTATCCTTCGCTTGCCCGCACTTATTAAGCGGCCTAAATATTTAACTTTAGGCTCCATACACTGAAGCTTTCCCTTTGAGACCCGTAACCCCTCGAACTGTAGATGGTCAAAAATATGTGTAGAGAAGCCAGCTTCTTTCTCTATATCCTCACCAGATATGAGAATATCATCGACATATTGAAGCAGGCATAATTGTTTTGGAACAGAAACTTTGTCTAGCACTTGTTCTAAAATTTGACCAAAAAGGTTGGGTGAATCCATGAACCCCTGAGGCAAGACTGTCCATTGATACCATTGTTTTCACCCTAACTGGGGATCTTCCCACTCAAAGGCAAATGTGTCTCGGCTCTCTTCAGCCAGGGACATGCCCAAAAAGCATCCTTTAAATCTATTACAGTAAACCATTGATGATTATATGGAATTTTGCTGAGAATGGTGTAAGGGTTGGGGACAACAGGGTTAGTGGTCTGGACTGTTTGGTTAATGGCTCTGAGGTCTTTCACCAGCCGGTATGACCCATCTGATTTTTTGACAGGCAGTATTGGGGTGTTATAAGGAGACATACAGGGTTCAAGAAGCCCATCATTAATGAGACTTTCAATTATAGGTTTTAGCCCTAGCATGCCCTCTAAGGGAATGGGGAATTGCTTCCTCCTCACTACTTCCCAGTGCGGGGTGTTTAGCTTGATGTGGATTGGGAGAATTCGAAGCTTTCCTCAGTTTTCTTCCCTTGACCAAACATCAGGATGAATGTATTTCTCATCCGCCGTGGTGAGTAAGTTTAATGAAGTAAGGAATCCCTTTGGGCTGACTTGTAGGCCTATGCCTAACTTTAACATTAAGTCTCTTCCTAACAAACTAGTTGCTGCTTCAGGGATTAACAAAAATTGAACCTGGGTTGTTTAGTCTTGGTACTTGACTTCTGTATTTTCTAAGATTCTCACCGTAAATCCTTCCCCTTTTATCTCAGAGACTATAAGTTCTTCTGAAGAGCAGGCAACATTAGATGAGGGGAAACAAACAGAGGAACAGGCCGCTCCTGAATCAACCAAAAATGTGATAAGCTCATGTGTAGGTCCCACCTCCAAATTTATCAAGGGCTCCTGGTGGGACTCAAGATAATATAGACAGAGCCCCTGACTTCCCTGTTCCTCTTCAAAGGTCGTGAGTGGAAGGGCTTCTCTCTCCTTTTCTAATTTGGGACATTCTCTTTTGAAGGGGGCTGTCCTTCCACATTTGTAACACTTATCTTGTCCTTCCCCTCTCTCAGTTTTGGGATTTTTTGGTCTTGCTTTTCTATGCTCTTTAGGGGGCCTGGGAAATGTAGACTTGGGTCCTCTAGCTGAAGGTTTGGTTTCTCTAAACTGGGTTTGGGAGGCTTGGGACCTTTTATAGTTTCTGGCTCCCTGGAAGCCTCATTTAGTAGCATATGGGTTTGGAGCCACCTGCTGGAAAGTAGATAACATTGGTTTTGACTTCTGTTTTTGTTTTTCCCTGTCCCTCCTCACATACACCTTTTGAGCTTCTCTGAGAAGTTCTCTTAGAGGTCGGTTTTCTCAGTCCTCCAATTTTTGTAACTTTTTTGAAACATCTGGCCAGCCTTTAGTGACAAAATGGATCTTTAACATCCTTTGCCCAAGGGGATCTTCTAAATTCAGACCTGTATATTGCTTCATTTGCTCCTTTAGTCTGTCTAGGAATCTTATAGGTCCCTCATCTTTCTCCTGTTGTATATCAAATGCTTTAGAGAGCTTTTGAGTTCTGGGTATGGATTCACTGATTCCTTTTATTATTATTTCCCTTAGGTCCTGCATGTTTTCTCAGTGGGCTGCATTGCTGTTGTCCCACCAGGAGTCTTGCTTGGGCAGCAAATGTTTGGTCCACAGTAGGAACGTTTTGACCAGGAGGGTGTTCATGTTCCCAAATTGCCATAGCAGCCCTACGGATCATGCTTCTTTCCTCCCCTGAAAAGAAGATGCCTAGGATAGACATTTGCTCGACCCAAGTGTATAACTGAGGTCCTAAGAATTGATCAACTTGATCTGCCACTCCATAGGGGTCATCTAGCAGTGGCTTAAGTTCTTTCTTCAGACCTCAGACTTCTGAAATAGTCAAGAGAGCATTTACAAAACCAATGACTTCCCCTCCTTGTGATACCCCTTTTAAAGGGAAGAAAGTTATGGCTGACTCCTTAGGTGTGGAAAGAAAAGGGGAGTTCTGAATGTCCTTTTTACACTGCTCTATTTCATGTTGGAGCCCTTTTAAGGAAGGATATTTAGGTTGGCAATGAACAGGCTCTTGGGACGACTGCCCCTGAGAGTCAGGGTTGTAAGCGGGAGGAACATCATGAGTTGGGGAAGAATCTGGGATGGGATCTGGGGCAGCAGCAGCTGCCTGAGGAGTAGGGGGGTTAGGATTGGGGCAGTAAGCAAAGGAAGACAGTCTAGGGGATCCCATGTGCTGACTTTAGGTGTGGGAGTCGGCTTGTCTGACTTCTCAATTTGAGATGCTGGATCGGATTCTTCCCTAGTTGTCTTTAAGGGAAAGAGGAGGACAGGTCCCTGCTTCCAACAAAGAGCATAGTCTAGTTCTTCTTGAGAAACCAGACTTTTATCATTAACATATTGGATTAGGAGTTGACTCATTACACCCTCATTCGACCCATACTTTGGCCAGAAGATTGAGGGTTTGAGGATGGGACCTTGGGTCCAAATGAAACAGCAATATTTTATCATTTGCTCCTTCTTCTTATGCTTAGTCCTCTCATTATCTTTCCAGTATTTTAACATGAAACCTAGGGGACTATCAAGGGGTATATCCTTGTTACTATTTTCATCCTTCTTATTCTCTGTCTTTCTTGGGGTATTTCCCATATTGGGTCTTAGCTAGGCTCAATCCCTCATATTAGGGATTTGTTGCCTGCTGGAGGCTTGCTGTGGCTCAGTTCCTCATATTAGGAATTTCTTTTTTATCTGTCTGGAGCTTTCTGTGGCTCAATCCCTCGTATTAGAGATTTCTTGCCTATCTTTTAGCCCCACCTCCTGGAGGTTCTTCACACTCTTCTCCTTTTGCTTCATCCACTCTGGCCACTTTCCTCCTAGGAATATTTTAAGTCCCGCTTAGCATTGGGAGGACTATATAAACCCCAACATCAGGATCCTTCAGAGAAGGCTAAGCCGTATGAGGTAACCATAGACCCACAGATTGGACTCATTCACTCCACACAGCAGTAGCACTTGTTACCATTCATGAACTTTCAGCCACCAGAATATAGTGACCACCAAGGAAGTACTTTGTCACTCCTGCGACATTTCTTACCTTGGTCTGCGCACAGAGTTACCTGGCCACCATAGTGTTGCAAGTCTTTTTCTCCCCACGTTGTTGAGAGTCTGGGGTTATTCATCAGACCAGGTGGGTCTCGATTCCTTACTCATGAGGCCACTGCAACAAGGCAGTGGGATGTGTCTCCTCACAAGAGGTGATCAAAGACCCTTTCCCGGAGGACAATGTTTTCCCTGTATGGGCCACCAAATTTGTTGGAAACAAATGCTCGGTGCTGCAAAGAAGAACCAACACTGAGCCAAAGGACAAAGGGTCTCTCAGCAAGGCAAATTTACTTTTGCAGAATAGAGCTCCTGGTAAGTCTGGTTGCCACGAGAGCACCCTAAACAAAGGAAAGCAGAGGTTTTTATGTCTAACGCAGCTTGTCCCTGCTACTGTGTCCTGACTCCATTGGCTGGAGTTGGACTGCACAATCCGAACCCGGTTGGCTAACTTGCAAAGTGCAGGAATGTGGTTGCACTGGTGGGAAGGCGGGAAGATCAGTTTTGGTGGGAGAGGCTATTGCGACGGGAGAGGTAAATCACAGAGTGGGTAGCAGATGTGGAATGTGGGCTGTATGGGTAAGGACTGGCAGGAAGGTTGTTTACCAGGGTAGGGGAAACACAGAGAGTAAGGAAGTCTGGCCTTGAAAGCAGGAAACAAAGGACAAGGAAACTTAAGCAGGCTAAACTTTTGAAGAAGAATTTCTTACTGTATTTAACAATAATTTTAAACACTTATGTGGTTATTTCTAGTATTTTGTGATAATTCACCTTTAGGAAATGGTATCTCAAACCCCAAAATGCCAGAAGGTTACCTGGAAGAGAACTGGTGTCTGAAAGCAGGACGGTGGCCATGGGCATTGACACACAGGCGCCATCTGCCAGTTCACCATCTCGCTAACAGACGCCCACCATTCAGGCACTATTTGCTTCTATTAAAATAGTTTCTAGGCAGGGTGCGGTGGCTCACACCTGTAATCCCAACACTTTGGGAGGCCGAGACAGGTGGATCACGAGGTCAAGAGATCGAGATCATCCGGGCCAACATGGTGAACCACATCGCTACTAAAAATACAAAAATTAGCTGGGCGTGGTGGCACACGCCTGTAGTCCTAGCTACTTGGGAGGCTGAGGCAGGAGAATTGCTTGAACCGGGGAGGGGGAGGTTGCGATGAGCTGAGATCGCGCCACTCACTCCATCCTGGTGACAGAGTGAGACTCTGTCTCACAAAAAAAAAAGTTTCTAGTCTTATTATTTCAACATTTCAAAAAGTCTTTTTATTTTTTAAGATCTAAGTGTCTTAATTAGATGTATCCCAGGTACTAGTGTGTATCCCAAGTACTAGTCAATTAATTGTGTCATTCAAATGTGTTACTATTAGTCTTTCTTATTATACATTTTTAAAGAGGAAAATATCTGCTAGTAAATATATTCCGAATGCCAGGAAGCCTACCACGGGAGCTGATGACATACCCTACAAAGACAAAAACGTAACCTCAAGGAAAAAGACACTCCTGAGAGTAAATCTTATCTCCTGGGAAAGACAGCAGCACTGTCTTCTATGGATGCAGAAAAGGAGAAGATTTAACACACTAAGCCCTTTGGTTCACTATAATTTAGCCCATTTGCCCTGTTTCTTTGTTCTATTTCTGCATCTGTACCAATGTATGCAAAAAAGACTGAAATAAAGAACCAGAGGAAAGGCAGGAGGGAAAGCTGTGGACCCACCTCATCTTGGTTGGTCTTGCCTCTGGAAGAGCAGTGCTGTGGGGCATCTGCTGGTCTTTTTATGCTGCCACTAGCTCACTTCTCCCCCTTCTCCATTTCGTAATTCCTGTGTCTACAAACTTTGGACCTGGTAAGGTCTCTATCTTTTCCAGTAACAAAACTCCAAACATTGCCCCTGTTAAGAGTTGAGCTCTTGCTTCACACTTGATTTTCCCGTGGTGTTCTTTTTTGTTTTTTGTTTTTTTTGAGACAGAGTTTCACTCCTGTTGCCCAGGCTGGAGTACAATGGCATGATCTCAGCTCACCACAACTTCTACCTCCGAGGTTCAAGCAATTCTCCTGCCTCAGCCTCCCGAGTAGCTGGGATTACAGGCATATATCACCATGCCTGGCTAATTTTTTGTATTTTTAGTAGAGACGAGGTTTCTCCATGTTGCTCTGGCTGATCTCAAACTCCCACCCTCAAGTGATCCACCCGCCTTAGCCTCCCAAAGTGTTGAGATTACAGGTGTGAGCCATCACGCCCAGCCCCCTCGTGAGGGCTTTTGATCGTCTTTCTCTCACATCTTGATTTGTATTTTTGATCCTATCTTAGTTTCTTTCCATTCCACAAGTATTTGTTAAGTGCCTGCTGTATGCCCCATCCTATGCTCACAGCTACGTAAGTACAGATGGCTCCTTAGAGGAGGCAGTGCCTGCATGTTGAAGGCGGGTAGGAGGTGCTAATACAGCAAGGGGAAGGGAATTTCAGCAGAGGGCCCCCGAGGAAATAAAGCCCAAGAACTGGAGACGGCCGGGCTTGTCAGAGAGCAACATGGAGTTTGGTGTTGCTGAAGCCCACAGGCTGAGGCCAGGAGATGTTGCTAGGGAGGAAGGCAGAGAAGATGAGTGATCAAGAGAATGCCAGAGCTTTTCTCTTACCATTATTTTACCAGAAGCCACTTACTTAATACAATCAGACAATTCTTTAAGAAAACTGGGGAGTAGCTTGTTCTTCCAGGAAACTTGGTGCTGAAGAGAACTACCAGAGGAAAAGGTGTAAGTGACTGTGTTCTGAGAGGCATTTTTTTAAGAGTTTGACTGTTATTTTCCAGTTTCTGGCTATTACTTCTTTCACAGGTTCTAGAATATAAGTGTGCATCTTATTGGCCTACTGGCGCTAACCTGTTGAAGTTTATTGATGAATCTGCAGGGTGCCTGTGAGGAGAGCTTCACAGAGATGGCCAGACCTTGGTGAGAGAGAGTGACATCAGTGTCGTTTTACACCCTACAAAGGAGGGGCCGTATTTTGGCATGAGAAGAAGGTGCACTGGTGATTGGTGGTATTGAAAGCTTATAGCAAGAAAAAGTTCTGTTAGAAGAGCTTCTGTTTCTCAGAGTTCCAGAACCTTTCTTCTGGGAGACCCTTAATAGCATGACCTGCCATCAGGAGAGGAGGCTCAGACAGCCTGCATTTGATTCCTGGTGCAGGGTGGGTTTGTTCCCAGTAGGAAAAGCAGCTTCTACTGATGCAGGGACTCTACCTCCCCACTCTTTATGGAATACCAGAAGGTTATTGCTGATAGGGACATTAGCCATCGCCTGGCTCAAGTCCTTCATGGAAGAGACCAGGAACTGATGGCCAGGAAACCTAAATTACTTAGCAAATTTATGGGCCATTCTGTGATTTGGACTCAGTAAGTCCAGAGATCCTGCCTTTACATCATTGTCTTTTGTTTTCTGGAGTGCTGGTAGGTTAGATCCCAAACTCTGAAGTACTGTCTGTGTTAAAACACTTTTTCCCCATCCCATTTTGAGCTAGCCTCTTCCTCAACCAGGCCCATGCCTTTTCTCCTAATTCACTTTGAGGAGGCAACAGCATGCAGTGAAAGGACCTCTGAGTTTGTATCAAACAGACCTGGGTTCAAAGTTCTGCTTCCCTGTTTCATAGCTATGTAACCTTAAGCAACTCACTTACCATCTCTGAGTCTCTGTTTCCTTGTCTGTAAAACAAGGACAACAGTTAACTTTCTGGGACCTAGCATTCAATAGGCACTCAATCAGTGAGCATGATTCCCTAAGGTGGAAGAGTTTGTATCACCTTCGGGATTTCCAGTGGGTTTAGGGTGTTTTCTGCCATACTCCCAGTAGACTCTATACCTTCTGACTACCCTGGACCATAAAGGAGCAAATAAAAAAGACTCAAGACTGAACACAACACAGAAATGGGTCAAAAGAAAGCTCTTTATTGATTGACTCAGCAATGCAGGGCTGGCACCCATCAGCTTCAAACCACATCTTATCGCATCCACTCCTGTCCACTCCCGTCCACTTTGCCCTCTTCCAGGCTGAAATCTTGCTTTCAGGCAAGGGCTTCCGGCCAGCCTTGCATTAGTTCTCAGCTATGGTCTTCTGAACCCAGTCCTGGATGGAAGTCACCTTCACATACACACCATACTCAGCCACAGCACAGCTCTTATCAAAGCTTAAGATCCCAGTCGCATACCAGGTGTCCTCCTCCAGGTCGTGAACGGCAAAGGCACTGCCCGCATCGCCATAGCAGGTGTCTTCTTGGTACTTAGACATGCCAGCACAGAAGGTGTGTTCATTCAGTATGGGCTGCACCCCTACAGGGCTCTTCGGTGTCTTCTTTTCGGGGACTGTGCTGCCTTCATAATGCCTTATGCATTGGTCTTGGTCAGCCACAGGCAGCATGACATACTTCAGATGGTCAGTAAATTTAAAATTGGCATTTCGCCCCCAGCCAGAAACATAACCCACACGCCCTACTTCTGCATAATCCTTTGAAGGTAGGCAGATGGGCATCACTCTCTCATTAACAGACACCTTCTGTTTGAGTTTGATGAGCCCAATATCTACCTGGGAGTAGTTAGGGTGTAGAACAACCTTCTCAATCTCTACAAGCTGCTTTTTCCCCACATAGAGTGTTAAAGTAGGGGCAATGTCTTTCGCTGTTGCATTTTCTGAATGGTTCAGGAAGAGATTTTTAGCCGTGGTCAGCAGCCATTGTTCATTGATCAGCGTGGCACCTGTGGTGAGATTATGGTGGGAAACCATCTTAGCCTGCCAGGGAAAGCTGCCTTTGGCATCCAGGTGTCCACCCAGGATCCGCTGCACTGGGTTTGCCGGATTCTTGGGCTTCCCACATACTGTCAAGGAGAGCAAGACACTCGTGAGTGGAAATGTGCAAGAGCCTTTCCATCTGAGAAAGGGGTGAAAGCATGGGCGGCTGTCACTGCTGCGTAAAGTAGAAAGATTTAAATGCTTTGCCCTTACCACCTGCTGATCTCATTTCCAATAGTTGCAGTTTTAAAATAATTCTGTTTTTTAAATTGTTTACATTACAAAAAGCTCTATTTCCCACTTTTCTAACAAAGGAAGTGGGAAATACTGAGATTTTTGAGCCCTGGCTGGTGAACTGTATTATATTTAAACAATTATCCCAATAAAGGAATTTCCACAATTCCCTGAAATTCATTGAAAGGGCTAGGGGCTACAATAATTCATTCTCTCTAAAGAAAGATGAATCTAGAGCAGCACTGGCTGGAGCTCAGATTTTGTAGATGGTGCAGTTAATACGAGGCAGGTTGGCATTTCCACACCAGTAAGAGCAGAAGAGGCTGGGCCTTTGCCTCTTGTTCTGAGAATGAAAGGAGAGAGCAACAGCTCCTCCTAATAACGAGAAGCAGGAGTTCCAGCCCATGTCCAGCCTCCTGCTAGGCTTCCATGGATTAAGATTTTATGTCATTCCTTGACTTGTTCTCCCTGGAGCTTGCTTCTCCTTAGACCCAGGGCTCTCTAGCAGGCTCTCTGTATGCACAGGCTCTCCTAATCTGTGGGCGATGTAGACAATGGATTCAGCCAGTGCCCTTCAGGCCCTAATGAACAAGACCCTTGGTGACCCTTAGGGAGTCATCACCTAACTGCTTAAGTCTCTCCCTGGCCAGCTGCGGTTCTCCCACATCCCTCCTCCTGGCTCTTGTGTGCTCAGAGGAAGCCGCACTGGAAGGCTGTGCCTCTAGGACGTTCCCCGCTGGACGCCTGCCTGCTCTCTTAAGTGCTCAGCACCCACCTGCTTCACATTCAGGAAGTTTATCTCCAACAGCCTTATTTATCCACTGCTTCTCATTGTTTAAGGTGTACACTCCTGAAACAAAAGGCAAGAAGTGAGCCAAAGGAGAAGTCAAGTCTAGACCCCGTGCAGAGTGAGAAGGCATTTAAAGAGAAGAACTAAAAGGAAGAGGAAAAGGGGACAAAAAGGAAGGGGAAAAGGAGAGAGTATATGAGAAGGAGGAAGGGAAAGAGTGCTGTGCTGGAAGCCAAGTGCCTGGATGCCAGTTAAGCCCAGCAGAACACACTGTGGTCATGGCGGTCACAGCCAAGCAGTACAGGGAGGGCTCAGGGTTCAAATCCTGACTCTGCCTCTTACAGGCTGCCTGAATTTGGGCAAGATACTCAACCTGTCTGTGCCTCAGTTTCCTTATCAGCAAAGTGAAAACAATAAACTCTGTTCAGAGGGATACTGTGAGGACTAAGTGAGCAAATAAGTATAAAGCCCTTAGAGCAGTGCCAGGACAGCAAGACTCACTAGGTGAGGGTGACATCATCATCAGCATTCCTTCTTTTCCCACATCTGCTGGAGATGTAAATGTGACTCTGAGATTTACATGAGGTAGGCTGCATGGCATCGCCTCCCCTTAACAAAACAGAAAACTTGAGGCTGACAAAAGTTAGTCTGCCCAAAGGGCCATGGCTACTGGCGACAAAACGCTTATTAGAATCTAAATCTCCTGGCTCCAAGGAGAGCAACGAACTTTCTGGCGAATCACCTCAGCACCACCCATCATGGAAATGTCAGAGAAGGGGGTTGTATGTAGGGCATGGAGACAGTTGTCCACATCTTACCATCTCCTTCTGTGCGCAGTTTGTAGTAGTTCTTACACTGGTAGCGAACCGAGTGCTCCACATAGCCATGTGCAATCTCGGGGGGCTTCGGGCAGCCGTCATCTGCAAAGAGAGAGAAGCCAGAGAGTTTGCTATTTGGAAATTGTTCCCAGTGAACCGTGAAAAGTCAGATGAGCGGGAGCTGCTCTGCACATCAATCTCCTTCCACCCCGAATAGAAGCTCGCGAACTGTATTATTTTTAAACAATTATCCCAATAAAGGAATTTCCACAATTCCCTGAAATTCATTGAAAGGGCTAGGGGCTACAATAATTCATTCTCTCTAAAGAAAGATGAATCTAGAGCAGCACTGGCTGGAGCTCAGATTTTGTAGATGGTGCAGTTAATACGAGGCAGGTTGGCATTTCCACACCAGTAAGAGCAGAAGAGGCTGGGTCTTTGCCTCTGGTTCTGAGAATGAAAGGAGAGAGCAACAGCTCCTCCTAATAACGAGAAGCAGGAGTTCCAGCCCATGTCCAGCCTCCTGCTAGGCTTCCATGGATTAAGATTTTATGTCATTCCTTGACTTGTTCTCCCTGGAGCTTGCTTCTCCTTAGACCCAGGGCTTTCTAGCAGGCTCTCTGTATGCACAGGCTCTCCTGATCTGTGGGCAGTGCCGACAGTGGATTCAGCCAGTGCCCTTCAGGCCCCAATGAACAAGACCCTTGGTGACCCTTAGGGAGTCATCACCTAACTGCTTAAGTCTCTCCCTGGCCAGCTGCGGTTCTCCCACATCCCTCCTCCTGGCTCTTGTGTGCTCAGAGGAAGCCGCACTGGAAGGCTGTGCCTCTAGGACGTTCCCCGCTGGACGCCTGCCTGCTCTCTTAAGTGCTCAGTGCTCAGCACCCACCTGCTTCACATTCAGGAAGTTTATCTCCAACAGCCTTATTTATCCACTGCTTCTTATCATTTAAGGTGTATACTCCTGAAACAAAAGGCAAGAAATGAGCCAAAGGAAAAGTCAAGTCTGCACCCAGAGCAGAGTGAGAAGGCATTTAAGGAGAAGAATTAAAAAGAAGAAGAAGAAAGGAGGCAGACAGGAAGGGAGAAAGGAGAGAGAATATGAGAAGGAGGAAGGGAAAGAGTGCTGTGCTGGAAGCCAAGTGCCTGGACACCAGTTAAGCCCAGCAGAACACACTGTGGTCATGGCGGTCACAGCCAAGCAGTACAGGGAGGGCTCAGGGTTCAAATCCTGACTCTGCCTCTTACAGGCTGCCTGAATTTGGGCAAGATACTCAACCTGTCTGTGCCTCAGTTTCCTTATCAGCAAAGTGAAAACAATAAACTCTGTTCAGAGGGATACTGTGAGGACTAAGTGAGCAAATAAGTATAAAGCCCTTAGAGCAGTGCCAGGACAGCAAGACTCACTAGGTGAGGGTGACATCATCATCAGCATTCCTTCTTTTCCCACATCTGCTGGAGATGTAAATGTGACTCTGAGATTTACATGAGGTAGGCTGCATGGCATCGCCTCCCCTTAACAAAACAGAAAACTTGAGGCTGACAAAAGTTAGTCTGCCCAAAGGGCCATGGCTACTGGCGACAAAACGCTTATTAGAATCTAAATCTCCTGGCTCCAAGGAGAGCAACGAACTTTCTGGCGAATCACCTCAGCACCACCCATCATGGAAATGTCAGAGAAGGGGGTTGTATGTAGGGCATGGAGACAGTTGTCCACATCTTACCATCTCCTTCTGTGCGCAGTTTGTAGTAGTTCTTACACTGGTAGCGAACCGAGTGCTCCACATAGCCATGTGCAATCTCGGGGGGCTTCGGGCAGCCGTCATCTGCAAAGAGAGAGAAGCCAGAGAGTTTGCTATTTGGAAATTGTTCCCAGTGAACCGTGAAAAGTCAGATGAGCGGGAGCTGCTCTGCACATCAATCTCCTTCCACCCCGAATAGAAGCCAATGGAAAGGCAAGCTCCCCTCATTTCTGGCAGGAACCCCAATGTTCTTTATGGTCCTGAAAGCCCAGAGGTCGAGATAAGAAGGGGGAATTGGGTGTTCTCAGAGAGAGTGCAGACCCGAGAGGGTCAGAGTGGGATGCACACTCCTACCCAACCAAAGACTGACCTGCGATATCCGTGACATCATTGCCTGAGTCCACTGCAAAAAGCTGTCCCCAGAGCAGGAGGGCAATGACAGCTCCCAGGGCACTGCAGAGAGAAGACAAGGAGGAGTGGAAAGCTAGTCTCCCTGCTTCACAGCACATGCATGCATCCACACACACATGCATGTACACACACACACACACACATGCATACACACACACTCCTCCCACTTAGCAGCCAGAAAAGAAAGTCGATATATGGAAGTGCTAGGACCAAGAAATTGCCCCCACACCTGCCCATACACACTTTAGCAGCTTCTGAGCATACCAAGCTTCCAGCAAGCCCTGTCCTGCTGGGAATTCTGCAGAAGCTTCAGAGAGGGATAGAAAGGCACATAGGTGGAGGGGTGGGCTCAGTTTCTGGCTGCATTCAGGAAAGTACATTGGCAATAATACAGGAGCCCTCCAGGAAAGAGAAACCTCCCTCAGACACCGCAAAGATAGTGGTAATAAAATGTAGATAACTCAGAGATGGGAACTTTGGGCTTACTGTGCTATTCCTCTACTTCTTGATATTTTCCGTAATAAAAGGTTCCTTAAATATATAATTTTAAACACGTGGGTATTTCTAGTATTTTATAATAATTCACCTTTAGGAAATGGTATCTGAAACCCCAAAATGCCAGAAGGTTACCTGGAAGAGAACTGGTGTCCAAAAGCAGGACGGTGGCCATGGGCATTGACCCACAGGTGCCGTCTGCCAGTTCACCATCTCACTAACAAATGCCAACCATTCGGGCACTACTTGCTTCTATTAAAATAGTTTCT
This sequence comes from Homo sapiens, assembly GCF_000001405.40. Classification (NCBI taxonomy): domain Eukaryota; kingdom Metazoa; phylum Chordata; class Mammalia; order Primates; family Hominidae; genus Homo; species Homo sapiens. The sequence continues at coordinate 72,055,438 of NC_000016.10, read as the reverse complement.
AGGCCAGACACGGTGGCTCATGCCTGTAATCCCAGCACTTTGGGAGGCCAAGGCAGGCAGATCACGAGGTCAAGAGATCGAGGTCATCCTGGCCAACATGGTGAAAGCCCGTCTCTACTAAAAATACAAAAATTAGGTGGGCATAGTGGCGCACGCCTGTAGTCCCAGCTACCTGGGAGGCTGAGGCAGGAGAATCACTTGAACCTGGGAGGTGGAGGTTGCAGTGAGCCGAGATCATGCCACTGCACTGCAGCCTGGTGACAAAGCGAGACTCCATCTCAAAAAAAAAAAAAGTTTCTAGTCTTATTATTTCAACATTTCAAAAAGTGTTTATTTTTATAAGATCTAAGTGCCTTAATTAGATGTATCCCAGGTATTAGTGTGTATCCCAGGTACTAGTCAATTAATTGTGTCATTCAAATGTGTTACTATTAGTCTTCCTTATTGTACATTTTTAAAGAGGAAAATATCTGCTAATAAATATACTCAGGATGCCAGGAAGCCTACCACGGGAGCTGATGACATACCCTATAAAGTCAAAAATGTAACCTGAAGGAAAAAGACACTCCTGAGAGTAAATCTTATCTCCTGGGAAAGACAGCAGCACTGTCTTCTATGGATGCAGAAAAGGAGAAGATTTAACACACTAAGCCCTTTGGTTCACTATAATTTAGCCCATTTGCCCGTTTCTTTGTTCTATTTCTGCATCTCTACCGATGTATGCAAAAAAGACTGAAATAAAGAACCAGAGGAAAGGCAGGAGGGAAAGCTGTGGACCCACCTCATCTTGGTTGGTCTTGCCTCTGGAAGAGCAGTGCTGTGGGGCATCTGCTGGTCTTTTTATGCTGCCACTAGCTCACTTCTCCCCCTTCTCCATTTCGTAATTCCTGTGTCTACAAACTTTGGCCCTGGTAAGGTCACTATCTTTTCCAGTAACAAAACCACAAACAATACCCCTGTTAAGAGTTGAGCTCTTGCTTCACACTTGATTTTCTTGTGATGTTCTATTACAAATCCCAAGAAACCTGGCAACTCTATGACCCACAAACCTGCCAAAGTATTTCCTGAAATCAGCAACTGGGCAGGACAGGGCGGCGGCAGGAACCATCAATCTGTCTCTTTATCTTGGAGGATTTTCACACTGCAGAAAGGCTCATTTTGAGTTTTTTCAAACCCATTGTAGACATTTCTGCAGCCTAGCTTAGGTGGGGCTCTAAAGAAAGTACTTCCTTTTCACAGTAATTTTCTCCACCTTGTGTGTGGCCATCTCCCTATTGCTTAAAAGCTCTCCAGCCTGAAATCAGTAAATGTGTTTATTGTGTCTTCTCTGATTGCTCTTTGCAAGAAATCACACAACTAGTTAAAGCTATAGTGTAGACTGACACAGACTATACTCAATGGCAGTGGTTCTCATGGTTTTATAGTCTGGTGATTAGCCTAAATAGGCAGATGAGAAAAATCAATATGTCTCAGTCAAATGTCTGCACCTGTGTGTATCCCAGGTACTAGTCAACTGAAACTTAGTAGCAACTCAATACAAGGTTGATTTATTCATTAAAAAGGGTTAGTTGTTCTTAAATTAGAGTGTACAAAAGAATTACTTTTGGATAATCATGGTGACACTGATATAATAGCAAAGTAACTAGAAACAAGACAAATGCCCATCAACAGGAGGAAGGGTCAATACTGCATTGTATGTGGATATAATGGAATATTATACAGCATAAAATGAATAAACTCTGCAAGAACATGGATCATCTTATAAACATAATTTTTGAAAGAAAACCGCAAGTTTCAGAAGATTACCTTCAGTATGATGGCAGTCTTCTAGAGATCAAAACCAAGTAAAACTTGGCAATGGATTCTTAGATAATGACACCAAAATCACCAGCAATCAAAGAAAAATTAGATAAATTGGGCTTCATCGGAATGAACATTTGTGTATCAAAAGACAGTATTAATAAAATGAAGACAGGCCAGGCGTGGTGGCTCACGCCTGTAATCCCAGCACTTCGGGAGGCTGAGGTGGGCGGATCATGAGGTCAGGAGTTTGAGACCAGCCTGACCAATGTGGTGAAATTCCATCTCTACTAAAAATACAAAAATTAGCCAGGCATGGTGGCGCATGCTTTAATCCCAGCTACTCGGAGGCTGAGGCAGGAGAATTGCTTGAACCTGGGAGGCAGAGGTTGCAGTGAGCCTAGATCGCACCACTGCACTCCAGCCTGGGTGACAGAACAAGACTCTGTCTCAAAAAAAAAAGTGAAGACAGTCTACAGAATGGGAGAAAATATTTGCAAATTCTATATCTGATAAAGGGTTGTTATCCAGAGCATATCCTAACTACAACAACAAAAAGACAAACAATTAAAGCATGGGCAAAGGATTTAAATAGACATTTCTCCAAAAAATATACATAAAGTGCCAAAAAGCACATAAAAGATACTCAAGGCTGGGGAGTGACTCACACCTGTAATCCCAGCACCTTGGGAGGCCGAGGTGGGTGGATCACCTGAGGCCGGAAGTTTGAGACCAGTCTAACCAATACGAATATGGTGAAACCCCATATTTTCTAAAAATGCAAAAATTAGTCAGGCGTGGTGGCATGCATCTGCAGTCCCAGCTACTACTTGGGAGGCTGAGACAGGAGAATTGCTTGAACCTGGGAGGCAGAGTTTGCAGTGAGCTGAGATCGCACCACTGCACTCCAGCCTGGGCAACAGAGCGAGACGTCGTCAAAAAAAAAAAAAAAAAAGTCACTCAACACCATTGGAAAATGTCAATAGGGAAATTTGCAAATCAATACCACAATGAAACACCACTTCACACCTACTAGGATGGCTACAAATTTGTGTGTGTGTGTGTGTGTGAGAGAGAAATGTTGGCAAGGATGTGGAAGAGTTAGAACCCTGGTACATTACCTTGCTAGTAAGAATGTAAAATGGTGCAGTTGCTGTAGAAAACAGTTTTATCGTTCCTCAAAAAGCTAAGCATAGAATTGCCATCTGACCCAGCAATTCCACTTCAGGGTATACACCCAAAGAATTAAAATCAGAGACTCAGAGACGTGTACACCAATGTTCATAGCAGCATTTTCACAGTATCCAAAAGGTAGAAGCAATCCAAGCGTCCATCCACAGACAAATGGATAAACAAACTGTGATATCTACATACAATGGAATATTATTCACGTATAAAAAGGAATGAAGTTGATACGTGCTACAACATGAATAAACCTTGAAAACATACTAAGTGAAAGAAGCCAGACATAAAGGGACAAATATTACTTGATTCCACTTATAATAAAGTATCTAGAGAATAGGCAAATGCATAGAAGAAAAAGTAGGTTAGACTTTACTAGGGGCTGGGAGAAGCAAGAAATGGGAAGTGATTGCTTAATGGGTACAGAGTTCCTGTTTGGGGTGATGAAAAAATTTTGGAAACTGATAGTGGTGATGGTTGCACAACATTGCTGGTGTAATAAATGCTGCCGAATTGTACACTTCAGAATGGTTAAAATCGGAAATTTTATGTTACAAATATTTTAGCACAAAAAATTCAAGAAGTAAATAAGTAAACTTATTTTTATTGGAGAAAGAGAAAGAAAGAGAAGGAAGGAAAGAAAGAAAGAAAAAGAAGAGAGAAAAGGAAGGAAGAAAGAGAAAGAAAGAAGACTCAGCAGTATGTTGTTCAGGCATAGATATCAAAGAGTCAAAACTGTATTTTTAAATTTCTTGTTGGAATGGAAAACCCAAAATGTAAAATGTTACATCTCAAGAGGAGGTAGGAGGAAGGCATAAGAGAAAGACACTTAGGTAAATATAAATAAATTGTTAATGACCCAGCTTTTGGGCTGGGTAGTAGGTTCATTAACGTACATTATATTATTGTGCTTTATTTTTAATAAAACACATATATGCCCACACATATATGTCACATATAATATATTATAAGTATCAAATAAAATATTTTAAAATATTAAGGAGGAGGGAGTCACCCGAAGGACATAGTGAGAGGCCCCTTTTCCATGAATTGGATCCAACAGGTGTGTGTGGGGATGTGAGAATCTACATTTCAAGCGTCCATAACTTCTCCCCAGCCCTGCAGGTATGAGGCAATAGACTGCAGCTCTTCAGTCATAAGTAGGAGCCCATTTCTCCACCCCTGGAATCTGGGGTTGGCTCTGTGACTATGTTGAAATAGTAGCAGATGTAACAAGGATAGTCTTGAAACATGCTTGTGAATTGGGGTTTGACTGCTTTTACAGCACCCGGAATCTGGGGGCTACCCTGTGAATGAGCCCAAGTTATTCCTCCATTGCTGGAGAATGAAAGGTCCCCATAGAGTGGAACCCAGGCATTCCAGCTGACAGACAGCCAGCCCCAAATTTCCAGAAGTCCTCCACAGATGCATGAGTGAGCTCCTGCCAAGATCAGCTGAAACTGATCCTGACCAAAACCACCTCCAGCTAAGCCCAGCCCACATTGCTGACCCACAGAATCATAAGCTAAATAGAAGATGACTGTCCTAAGCTACAAAGCGTGAGGAACACTCATAGGTAGCAGATGTTAACCAGTAGAACTGGTGTGTGCAATGATGGAAATGGAGCTGCTCTGGCTGAATCTGGGGTGAAGGTGTTAGAATTCTGCTCCCTAGGTCCCTGGGTTCCTGCTATCCTCTGTCACAGCTTGTCTTTACCTGTGCTTTGCCACCCAGGTCTTCCTTCAATGGCCAGAAGGAGGGAGCTACACCCTACGTTTTCCAAAGAGAACCCGCACTGTAGACTGTGAAGGATTCCACTAAACCTGGAGCACTTCTGTCCTATGGCATCCTCATGCCCTCCTCCCCCTCCCACCTCATCCAGTCCATCATCCCTCCCCACAGAAACTGTCAAATCTCAGCCTCTCACAGTCCTCTATCTAGAGTCTTGCAAATGTCACAGCCCCAGGCTTCTTTTTTCTTTTCTGTCCAGTTGCTGCTACTTTTCCACAGAGGGAAGAGATGGCCTCTATTTCTGCAGCTCTGTGGGTCCTCAGGGAAGTGGGGAGAATGCTGGTCCTATGAAATGGAGGGAGAGACTTCCTCCTCAGACTGGTGCCCTCCTAGGGTGTCTAAAATGAAACATTTCTCACCACTTTTGTAGAACAATTGTTTACTCACCAGGTACGTGAAAATTCACGTTCCTCCTCTGAACATACCCTGAACTCTATTACTCTGACCCCTTGTCTTGGGCAACAGGGGAGCATTCACACACAGCCTTCCTGCCCTGGGCATCTTTCATTAACTTGAGGAGAAACAGAATCCAGCCCAAAAGGCTTCTCTCTATCACTGGACAAGTCAAGATGGGAGATAGCAAGTCAGAAGACTCCACCAAGGAAAGTAGGCATATATTTTCTTGGGAGAATAGAAAGCAGGAAAGCTTGAAATATTAATAGGCCAGGACAGCAGTTGACAGAGGAGCTTGAAGGGGAGAGTTTTGATTTTAGAAGGAAAATATGATTTTTAAAAGTTCACTCTGCCAGCCAGGCATAGTGGCTCATGCCTGTAATCCCAGTGCTTTGGGAGGCCAAGGCGGGTCGATTGCTTGAGCCCAAGAGTTGGAGACCATATGGAATAAAATGGGCAACATGGTAAAACTCCGTCTCTACAGAAAATACGTAAAAAATTATCCAAGAACAGTGGCACATGCCTGTAGTCCCAGCTACTCTGGAGGCTGAGGTGGGAGGATTGCTTGCACCTGGGAGTTGAGGCTGTAGTGAGCTATGATCATGCCACTGCACTTCAGCCTGGGTGACAGTGAGACCCTGTCTCAAAAAAACAAAAAGTTTACTCTGCCATTACAAAAGTCTTGAAATTTTATAAGCTACCAAAAAATAAAAATAAGAAATAAGTCTCCGATAATTTCACCACCTCAAGACAACCAATAACCACTATTAACATTTTAGTGTTACTTCCTTTCAGATTTTCTCTGTGCATACTTTTACACAATTTTGATCATTCTTTATATAGAATTTTTTGGCCTAACCTTTTCATCTGTTAGAAATGCAAAATGCTTGTTCCCCAGTGCCATAAAGAAATAGCACTTGAACATAAATTTAATTCTCTCAGCAAGGCAATTTTTACTTTCTGCAGAAAGGGTGCCCATCACAGATGGAACAAAGACAAGAGCACACTTGAACAAAGGAGGTACAAAACATTTATATCTGACCCATCCAGACCCTACTGCTGTGTCCTGATTCCATTGGCTGGAACTGGACCTGACAGTCTAGGCAGCACCCAGTTGGCTAAAGGTTTAAAACTTTTTCTAAAGAGGTAATGGCAGAGGAGAAGAAAGGAAAAGAGGAAGTTGCTTATGAAAAGACTCAGAAAAGTAATAACATTCCCAAATAAGGAAGGGGCATAGGCTGCAAGCTGTGACATGCCTGTGCACAGGTCTAGCACAGATATCTTGGTTAAAGTACAGGGACATAGAATGTATTTAATTTTCTTACATTTAATAACTACATAGGATAGGGCTTAACAAAGAGTTATTAGCACAAAGCAAGGAAGTTTGAAGGAAGTTAGTTTTTAAAAGAAACTATTATCTCTAACACTTATGATTTATTCTTTAACAAGAAGGGAAATTTTGAAGAGGAACTTTTTGCTTTCTACATCACCCAATGTTGTAGGCATTTTCCATGTTGTAGAAAACTCTTAAAACATTTTAGGCCAGGCACGGTGGCTCACACCTGTAATCCCAGCACTTTGGGAGGCCGTGGCAGGCAGATCACGAGGTCAGGAGTTTGAGACCAGGCTGACCAACATGGTGAAACCCCATCCTACTAAAAATACAAAAATTAGCCAGGTGTGATGGCGTGCGCCTGTAATCCCAGCTACTCAGGAGGCTGAGGCAGGAGAATCACTTGAACCTGGGGGGCGGAGGTTGCAGTGAGCCAAGATCGCGCCACTGCACTCCAGCCTGGGTGACAGAGCGAGACTCTGTCTCAAAAAAAAAAAAAAAAAAAAAAATCTTAAATGCTATATTATACTCCTAACTTAAGGAGGTATCACATGTACTTTAATTTTACTGTTATAAATAGCTTGCATACACACAGGGAAGTGAGGTAAGGAGACCACACTCATTTTACTCCATTTGGATGTACAATTGATCCAGCATCATTTACTAAAAATACCAAACCTTAAGTGTTCATCTCAATGAATCTTTATAGTATGAAATATTTCTAGCACCCCAGAAAACTCCTTTGGGTTCCTCTCAGCCCACACCCCACCCCTACCAAAGTAACCACTGTCCTGACATCTGTCATGATGGAATACTTTTGCCTGGTCCTGAACTTTGTATAAATAGAATCAAATAGTAGGCATTCTTGGTTTCTGGCTTGTTTTTTCAACATAATGTCTGTGAGAAACATCCATGTTGTCACATTAGTTTCTTTTTTTATTGCTGAGAAGTATTCCATTGTGTGACTAAAGCACAATTGATTTATCCATTCTCCTGTAGATGGATGTGTGGATTGATTCCATCCGGGGGCTACTGCAAACCAAGCTGCTATGAACATTCTTGCATATATTGTTTGGTGGTTACCTGCATTCATTTCTCTTGGATACGTACCTGGTTTTGTCATAGGGTAGGCATATGTCTAGCTTTAATAGATTCTACCAGTTTTTCAATAAACTCTCCTATCATCAGTATATCAAAGTTCCAGTTGCTCTGCATCCTTGCCAATACTTTTTAAGTTTTGCCATTCTGCATATGTGTAGTAAAACATAATAATGGAGGCCAGGCACAGTGGCTCACGCCTGTAATCCTAGCACTTTGGGAGGCCAAGGCAGGTGGATCACCTGAGGTCAGGAGTTCGAGACCAGCCTGGCCAACACAGCGAAACCCCGTCTCTACTAAAAATACAAAAATCAGCCGGGTGTGGTGGCATGGGCCTGTAGTCCCAGCTACTCAGGAGACTGAGGCAGGAGAATCGTTTGAACCTGGGGGCAGAGGTTGCAGTGAACTGAGATCGCACCACTGCACTTCAGCCTGGGGGAAAGAGCAAGACTCCATCTCAAAAAATAAATAAATAAATAAAAATAATAATAATGGCTTTAATTTTGCATTTCCCCAATATCAAATGATGTAGACCACTTTTTAGATTTGTGTTGGACCACTTAGATATCCTCTTTACAGTATGTCTTCTCCTTGTAGATTTGTTGTCTTTTTCTAAAATATTCTGAATACTAGTCTTTTTTTGGATAAATGTATTGTAAACATGTTCTCCCATTCCATGGTTTGTCCTTTAATTCTTTTAATCTTGTATTTTGATGAACAGAAGTACAGAAGTTCTTAATCTTAAATAAGTCCTAATTTGTCAGTTTTTTAAATTTCATAGTTAGTGATTTCTGTGTTCTGATTAAGAAATTTTTGCCTACAAGGTTGTGACAATATTCTCCTATATGTTTTTCTAAAAGTGTATTGTTTTACCTTTCAAATCTAGGTCTATGATCCATTTGGAATTAATGTTGGTATAGGATGTGAGAGAAAAGTTCATTTTTTCCATATAGGCATGCAATCGATCCAGTATTATTTGCTAAAATGACCATCCTTTGTCCCTGAATTCCAGTGGTATCTTTATTATACATCAGGTGATTATATATGTGTTGGCCTCCTCCTGAATCCTCTATTCTTTTCCATTAGTCTATTTGTCTAATCTGGAGCCATTGTCATACTGTCTTAATAATGTGTGAAAGGAGGTTGGGTGCGGTGGCTCACGCCTGTAATCCCAGCATTTTGGGAGGCCGAGGCGGGTGGATCACGAGGTCAGGAGATCGAGATCATTCTGGCCAACATGGTGAAACCCCATCCCTACTAAAGTACAAAAAATTAGCTGGGCATGGTGGCGGGCGCCTGTAGTCCCAGCTACTCGGAGGCTGAGGCAGGGGAATCGCTTGAACCCGGAAGGCGGAAGTTGCAGTGAGCTGAGATCGCGCCACTGCACTCCAGCCTGGGCGACAGAACGAGATTCTGTCTCAAAAAATAAAAATAAAAAAATAAATAATAATAATAATAATAATAATAATAATGTGTGAAAGGAAACTATCTTAAACCCCCAGAATCACTAAGCTAAAGGGAAAAGTGAAGCAGAGAACTGCTTAGGGCAAACCTGCCTCCCATTCTATTCAATGCCACCCCTCTGCTCACTGAGATAAATGCATATCCTTTTGCCTCTTTTGGAGAGGCTCATCAGAACCTCAAAAGAATGTAACCATTTGTCTCTTATCTACCTATGACCTGGAAGCCCCCTCCTGGCTTTGAGACTTGTCCCGCCTCTGCGGACGGAACCAGTGTTCATCTTACGTATGTTGATTGATGTCTCAGGTCTCCCTAAAATGTATAAAACCAAACTGTGCTCTGACCGCCTTGGACATATATCAGGACCTCCTGAGGTTGTGTTGGGTGTGCGTCCTCAACCTTGGCAAAATAAGCTTTCTAAATTAACCGAAACCTGTCTCAAATTTTGGGGGTTCACAAATGGGAACTTTTTTTGAGACAGGGTCTCACTGTCCCCCAGGCAGGAGTGCAGGGACACAATCTGCAGCCTCAACAATGATCTCCAACAATCCTCCCACCTCAGCCTCACAGGTAACTGAGACTACAGGTATGCGCAACCACACACAGCCAACTTGTTGTTGTTGTAGTTGTAGAGATGTGGTTTTGCCATGTTGACCAGGCTGGACTTGAACTCTTGGGCTCAAGTGATCCACCCACCTCAGCTTCCTAAAGTGCTGGCATTACAGGCATGAGCCTCCACACCTGGCCAATAATGGGAACTTTATACTAAATCTTGCTATCTGGTATTATAAGTGTTCCAACTTTATTTTCTTTCAGAGTTTGTCTTGACTATTCTAGGTCTTTTCCATTTTATGTAAATTTTAAAATCAACTTTCCAATTCTCACAAAATGTCCTGATGGGATTTTTATTGGGATTACATTGAATCTCCAGATCACTTTGGGGAGAGTTGACATCTTGACTCTGTTGAGTCTTTCGAGTAATGCACGTAGCATCTCTCTTCATTTATTTAGGCTGTCTTTAATTTTAATGCCTTGTTCATATTGATACAGACCTCTGGCACCTCTTTCATTAGATTTATTCTTAAGCATTTGATGTTTATGTTATTGTAAATGATATTTTTTAATTGATTTAAATAGTATAGGAATAAATACCTCAGTAGCCATGAAATGAGAACCCTGGATTTTCACAAGAGTATACATGACCTTCAAACAGAATGGAGAGTGGACTGTTGAATTCAGAACAGCACATGTTGTTCAGAATTGCAGTTTATCTTGATAAGAAAATTAAACAAAGACATTCACATGATTACACCTATTTCTAGAATTTCTCCTTTTTTTCACAGTCACCAGGACCAGGGGCTACAGGGTCCCACGGTGCCTGGAACATAGGCATTGCTTCCCAGTTGCACTGCCTTACGGTCAGCAATTCTCTTCTCCAAAACTGAGCCACTGGCAGACACACATATTGATATTTTGTACCATACACATTGATATTTTAAGCTTTTTAAGAGCTTCTTAAAAGTAGGATCATCCCTGACAGTTTGTAAATGAGGAACTTCCAAGATCCAGGCTGCTAAATCAAATATTATCCTCAGACCAGCTTCCTGTCAGCAAAGACAGCCAACCAAGGTGGGAAACCCACACAGCCTGTCAAAACTTACAAAGAAATGCTGCCTTTCCCAGCATGAAACTGGTCAGATGTCAAAGGCATGAGGATATTAGTACGAGTGTAAAAACTGACTCTATATTCAAAAGAATTCATATCAACCTTCCTTAATTTCTTCAACCTACCACGTTTGTGGGATGGGTCCCAGGAAACAAGGTAGGACCAAGTCGGTGTTTTTTCATTCACCCTTATCTCCATGGCCCAGCAATGCCTGGCATACAACAGAGGCTCAGTCCGGTTGGTTGAATTGAATGGGGGATAAACATAGCCTCTGCCTTCAAAGAGTTCAGAATAGGGGCAGAAATAAAAACTGTAACACGAGTAAGTAATGCCTGTATTGTCATCTTCTGTCTGCAGTGGAGAAGATCCAGCCCTCAGAAGCATAAAAGCTGTCCGCAGAACCAGCCCTGCAGGTACTTTAGGAGAAAAGCCAGTCAACTCCTAGTAATAACAGGTAACATTGGGAGGGTTCTGTGTGCCAGGCACTGTGCTATGTGCTTTCTGTGTATTTACTCATTTAATTCTTCAACAGCCCATAAGCATTGGGTCTTTTTATTATCTAATAATCCCGTTTTTTATAAATGGGGCACAGAGAGGATAAGGAACTTGTTCAAGGTAACACAGCTAGCAAAGAGAGGAGCCAGGATTCAAACCCAGGCCAAGCCCTTGACCACCCTGGGGTGCTACCTCTCCCACATGACAAACTACACAGAATTCTCAAGACTCCCTCACATGTGCTGGGCACAGTGGCTCATGCCTATAATCCCAGCACTTGGGAGGACATGCTGGAGGATTGCTTGAAGCCAAGAGTTCAAGGTGAGCCTGGGCAACATAGGGAGATCCATCTCTACAAAAATAAAAAAATAAGAAGTTAGCCAGGCATAGTGGTATGCACCTATAGTTCCAGCTACTCAGGGGACTGAGTGGGGAGGATCACTTGAGCCTGGGAGAGGCTGCAGTGAGCTCTGATTGCGCCACTGTACTCCAGCCTGGGCAACAGATCAAGACCCTGTCTCAAAAATAAAATAAAAAAGATTCCCTCACATAATCAGCATCAAGGGCTCACCATTAGAGTCACTTTTAAGGGTCATCTGGAGACAGATCTTTCACTGGGTTAAGGCATTTCTTACCTGGAAGGGATAACAAACTTGCTAGCTAACCACATTAGCCAGGCTAAGGGTGTCAATTGTACATGGCTATGGAGGCCCATTAAGAACCTTGTGTATCAGATTTAAACCATGACTGAGGCAGTGATGCCCAGCAAAGAGGATAAGGAGGACCTTAAAGCACTGGCACCCAAGGCTGGAGAAGCCTGAGGCTGCAAAGAATTGAAGGTTTTCTCCAAGCATGACCCCTGTGTTGGCCTTGGGGGCCCTGGAGCAGTCTGAAACCATGTGGACCATGGCTGGGAAGCACGTTAGGAAACAGATCAAGTAAACTACCTGACAAAGCATTTGGGCAAGAGTGCCCTGGGTGCCAGCCAGATGCAGAGAGGAGTTGAACCATGCACCCTGGTCATAGGACAGATCTTCAGAAGGAATGGAATTTAAATGGAGCTCTGCTTTTCAGCAGTCAGTGCAAGAAATCAGGGACTTGCATAAACTTGCCAAGCCGCAAAGCAAATCCCCTTCCACTGAAGAGGTGCTGGGCTTGTCGTAGGATGTGACCCACTGGATGCTGGCAGGCGGTTCTTCTGAGAGACTGAGAGATGCTGGAAAACTCAGCATCTCAGTGAATGACTGGAAGAACAAGGGAGTAAAAGAACATGAAGGTGGGCCACCCTATTCACACACACACACCTATGTGTGTATAGATATTTGTATATATGTGTTTTTATTTTTAAATGATTCTGTCAGGGTCTCAGATAGAGGTGAAATTCTAACCTACTCAGAGTGATTTCTTTTAGGTTCCCAGACCTGGGATCCACATTTTTTGCTCTACTGAGGTAGGAAGGTGTCACTAGATCCATTAAGAACTGCAAATTCAACATCTGTGAGAATGGTTGAAGCTCAAAAGACTGGCCAGCTTCTCAAATACCCAGTGACTGAAATACGTAACTGGCCAGCTTCTCAAATAGCCAAGGCAGTGCCAAGGTTACTACTCAGGAGAATGTCTTCCATGTGCCTGGGGCAGACAGGAAGTGTTCTGACCCTCTGCCCACAGCTTTGTTCCTGTACCCACCAACTCAAGTGATTAATGGGGTGGCAGGTGGTGCAGCAGCCAAGTGACCTTCACACACTGTAACTCCTTTTGTTTCCTATGGGACACTTTCCAGATGGGGTTTTCAGCACTCAGGAAACCTCTTTGTGGCTGGCAGTAATGCAAGAAGTGCAGTGTTTATCCATTTCCTCTCCTGAAGCCCTGCCCTTTGGAGCCTCGTCCTTGTATTGCTGCCCAGGTATTTCACAAATTCCAGATCATTCCCACACTGTTCCTGCACACACAGCGCTATGCCCTGTCCCCTGCTGTCCTCTTGCATGTGACAAGCCACAGTGACTTTATTTCCTATGTGTCTAACCACAAGGCTCTTACAGAAATTTTCCCTGGCTGCCAAGACTCATTCAACATCATAGGTGGCCCAGACTAGAGGGTAGGTAACATTATCATCTCAGAATGTTCTTATGGTGTGTTGGGACCGGAGGTCTGTACCTGGAGGAAAAAGAGAAATCCTGAAACATGTTTTAGCCAAGTAGTAAGCACATAACATCTCTTCCAAGCAAATATAAAACTATAGTAGACCTCAATCTGTCTTCTTTATTAGCTAGGATTAAATTTGACTAAGTGACTTAACAGGGATTAAAGCACACAAGGTCCCAGCCTGGGCAACAGAGTGAAACCCCATGCCTACAAAAAATACAAAAATTAGCCAGGTGTGGTGGCACACACCTGTAGTCCCAGATGCTCTGGAGGCTGAGGTGGGAGGATCACTTGAGCCCAGGAGATTGAGGCTGCAGTGAGCCATGATCATGCCAGTGTACTCCAGCCTGGGTGACAGAGCAAGTGAGACCTCGTCTAAAAAATTTTTTTTTAATTTTTAATTACACACACACACACACATACACAAGGTTCTGTTTTCTCAAGTAAAAGAGGTAGGGAAGTAGGCAGACAGAGCTGGTATTAGTGTCAGCATTAAGCTGTTTCCAGCTTTTGCCTCCATCATCCCTGCAGAATGACCCTGATCCTTAGGTCTAAAATGGATGCCAGAGCTCCAGCCATCATACCCATATTCCAGGCAGCAGCAGACTTTCCAGAAACTTCACACAATACTTTCATATATATGTCATTGAATAGAACTTGGTCACTGGACCACATCCAACTATACTGGAAATCAGGAAATGTCTTTATGCTGGGAATCCAGAACATGGAACCATTGATATGGTTTGGCTGTGTCCCCACCAAAATCTTATCTTGAATTGTAGTTCCCATAATCCCCACATGTCATGGAAGGGACCTGGTGGAAGGTAATTGAATCAGGGGGCAGTTATCCTCATGCTGTTCTCATGATAGTGAGTTCTCATGAGATCTGATGGTTTTATAAGGGGCTTTCCCCCGACCTTCACTCTGCACTTCTCAGTCTGCCGCCATGTGAAGAAGAACATGTTTGCTTCCCCCTTCCACCATGATTGTAAGTTTCCTGAGAACTCCCCAGCCATGCTGAACTGTGAGTCAATTAAACCTCTTTCCTTTATAAATTACCCAGTCTCAGGTATGTCTTTATTAGCAGCATGAGAATAGACTAAAACAGCCATCTACAAGATAACTGGACTGATCTCATGAGAGGTTACTGTTCTAGATTAAAAGAAACTAGCTGGGTGCGGTGGCTCAATGCCTGTAATCCCAGCACTTTGGCAGGCCAAGGTGGGCGGATCACCTGAGGTCAGGAGTTTGAGACCAGCTGGCCAGCATGGTGAAACCCTGTCTCTACTAAAAATACAAAAAAAATTAGCTGGGTGTGGTGGCAGCCGCCTGTAATCCCAGCTACTCGGGAAGCTGAGGCAGGAGAATCGCTTGAACCCAGGAGGTGGAGGTTGCAGTGAGCAGAGATTGCGCATTGCACTCCAGCCTGGGCAACAGAGTGAGACTCCCTCTCAAAAAAAAAAAAAAAAAATAGGCCGGGCACAGTGGCTCATGCCTGTAATCCCAGCACTCTGGGAGGCCAAGGCTGGTGGATCATGAGGTCAGGAGATCAAGACCATCCTGGCTAACACAGTGAAACCCCATCTCTACTAAAAAATACAAAAAATTAGCCAGGCGTAGTGGCAGGCGCCTGTAGTCCCAGCTACTCGGGAGGCTGAGGCAGAAGAGTGGCGTGAACGCAGGAGGCGGAGCTTGCAGTGAGCCGAGATCGCTCCACTGCACTCCAGCCTGGGCAACAGAGCGAGACTCCGTCTCAAAAAATAAAAATAAATAAAATAAAATAAAAGAAATAAAAGAAACTAAAGAGGCATATGGATGAGCGTTGATTGGATATGGAAGATATTTTGGATACAACAGGAGAAATTTGAACACGAACTCAGTGTTAGATGATATTAGCAAATCATGGTTAATTCTCTTATGTGTGATTATAGACTTATGGTTACATAGGAGCATGTACTTAGATAATGCAGGTTACAAAGTACTTAGGAGTGAATCAAAATACACAATAAAAATAGGTTAAAAGATTGGCAGAGCCAACAGGGAAAAGATAGTAAGAATTACTGAGTGTAGGTGGAAGGAGTATGGATATCTATTATACTATTCTTTCTGATTTTCTGTATATCTAAATTTTCTTTTTTTTGAGACAGAGTCTTGCTCTGTCACCCAGGCTGGAGTGCAGTGGCACAATCCTGGCTCAGTGTAGCCTCTGCCTCCCAGGTTCAAGCAATTCTCCTGCCTCAGACTCCTGAGTAGCTGGGACTACAGACATACACCACCATGCTTGGCTGTTATTTGTTTTTTTAGTAGAGACAGGGTTCCCCATGTTGCCTAGACTGGTCTAGAACTCCTGGCCTCAAGTGATCAGCCCATCTTGGCCTCCCTAAGTGCTGAGATTACAGGCATGAGCCACCATGCCCAGCCTAAAATTCCTTATAATACAAATTACAGGAGGGTAATTATCTATTTGGGCTGACTGTTCCTCAGCTTTCTCATGTGAGGCCGATGGCCTCCTGGTGAAAATGAGTGAGGTTCCTGGCAGTATTCTGGAACCAGTCAACACAAAGGGTCTGAGGAGTGGGTTGAAGCCCATGGTCTCAGCCAAGATGGATCTCAGAGCTTGTGGATGTGGGGAGAGAAAGCTGCCCTCCAGCCGCAGCTTCTCCAATAGTCTTCTGTCATCACCCAGCACTGCTGCGAGGATCCACAAATCCCATCACTTATGTGAGATAACAACATGGCAGAAGACAGAAAATGAATCTAAGACATCTTATATAGTGGAGACATCAGTACTCTGTCAGGACATGACTGGGTGGAGTAGAACAAATGCCAGACTTGAGATTAGGGGAATTTGTTGTCCCCTCCACCATTTCTGCCCATATCACCTTGGAGCAGGTGCTTAATCTGTTTCCTCGCCTGTAAAATGGGGATTGTAATTGCCACCCTCACCTACTCCACAGAGCTGTCTGAGGCTCAAATAAGATAATGTGTGTGATTTCTGGAAAATGTGCAAGACCATTTGGAAGAAAACCTTCTTGTCCCTGAACTACTGCTTCATCCTGTTAGGCTCGCATACAATTATCCACAGACCCCAGAACCAGGTGAACTTTTCCAAAACCCTGCTTGTGGTGGCTGAAAAATATCTCCACAAATTATTGGACATTCCTCCCTTCAAAAGTGGAAGCCCTTCCCTTGAGTGGTGGGCTGGACTAAATGACTTGCTTCTAACATAGGGTTGCCAGAGAAAATATATGATACCCAATGAAATTTGAGTTCAGATAAACAACAAATAAATTTTAGAATAAGTATGTCCTGAATACTGCATGGGATAGACGATAGACTTATACTAAAAGTGTATTCATTGTTTATCTCAAATTCAAATTTAACTGGGCATCCTTTTGTTTTAGTTTTGCTTAAACTAGCAACTCTATTCCAATGTGTAGAATGAGGCTGGGCACAGTAGCTCATGCTTGTAATCCTAGCACTTTGGAAGGCCAAGACTGGAGGATCACTGGAACCCAGGAGTTCGAGACCAGCCTGGGCAACATAGTAAGATCCAATCTCTACAAAAAATACAAAACTTAGGGAGCCCTAGTGGCACGTGCCTGTAGTCCCAGCTACTCAGGAGGCTGAGGTGGGAGGATTGCTTGAGCCTGGGAGGTTGCGGTGAGCCGTGATCATGCCGTTGCACTCCAGCCTGGGTGACAGAGCAAGACCCTGTCTCCATAAATAAAATTAGAATGAATGTGGCATAAGTAATGATGTGTGACTTCCAAGACTAGGTCATAAAGGCACTGTAGCTTCCACCTTGCTCCCTCTTAGATCACTCACGCTGGAGGAGCTGGATGCCATGTTGTGAGAACACTCAAGCAGCCCTATGGAGAGGTTCACCTACACTTCCTGCCAACAGCTTGCATCGGGAGGAGATGTTCATACCCTGGGGGCTCCAGTTCTATTGAATCCTGGCCGTATGGTTTAGGGAAGTTATTTAATCTCTCAAAGCCTTTGTTTTATCTGTAACTATGGGTATACTAATATCTATTTTCAGGACCCATTTGTGATAATCAGAAATATAAAAATAATAGCTAACATTTATTAGAAATTTAGAATATGCTAAGCACTATTCTAAGCACTTCACATTTAATCCGTGTAGTAACCCTCTGAGATCGGTGCTGTCCTTATTCCCATTTTACACATTGGGAAACTGAGGCACACAAAATTTACATGATCACCCACAGCTAATAAGTACATAATCTGATGGGCACATAACATGCATCCTTTTTTTTTTTTTTTTTTTGAGACAGAGTCTTGCTCTTGTTGCCCAGGATGGAGTGCAATGGCCTAATCTCGGCTCACTGCAAACTTCTGCCCCCTGGGTTCAAGTGATTCTCCTGCCTCAGCCTCCCGAGTAGCTGGGATTACAGGCGTGCACCACCATGCGCAGCTAATTTTTGTATATTTTGTAGAGATGGGTTTTCGCCATGTTGCCCAGGCTGGCCTCGAACTCCTAAGCTCAAGCAGTCCTCCCGCCTTGGCCTCCCAAAGTGCTGGGATTACAGGCTTGAGCCACTGCGCCCAGCCTGCATCCTTTTATTTTTTTTGAGACAGAGTCTTGCTCTGTCGCTCAGGCTGGAGTGAAGTGGCGCCATCTTGGCTCACTGCAACCTCCACCTCTCAGGTTCAAATGATTCTCCTACCGCAGCCTCCCGAGTTGCTGGGACTAGATATAGGTGCACACCACCATGCCCGGCTAATTTTTGTATTTTTAGTAGAGATGGGGTTTCGCCATGTTGCCCAGGCTGGTCTCAAAATTCTGGCCTCAAGTAATCTGCCCACCTCAGCCTCTCAAAGTGCTGGGATTACAGGTGTGAGCCACCATGCCTGGCCAATATTTATCTTTTTAAAAGTTGCTGTTGAGGCTGGGCACGGTGGCTCACACCTGTAATCCCAGCACTTTGGGAGGCCGAGGTGGCGGATCACTTCAGGTCAGGAGTTGGAGACCAGCCTGGCCAACATGGTGAAACCCCATCTCTACTAAAAATACAAAAAATTAGCTGGGCGTGGTGGTGAGCGCCTGTAATCCTAGCTACTCTGGAGGCTGAGGTGGGAGAATCGCTGGAACTCGGGAGGCAGAGGTTGCAGTGAGCTGAGATCGCGCCACTGCCTGCACTCCAGCCTAGGAAACAGAGTAAGACAACATCTCAAAAAAAATTAATTAATTAATTAATTAATTAATTAATTTAAAAAAATTTGCTGTTAGCATATCATTGAACCCTCCAAACCACTGTTTTTACAGTTGAGAAAACAGGGCCTCAGGGAGGTTAGGTAAATCTTACAAGGCTGACTCCAATGTCTATACTTCCACCCTATACCCCCAGTGAGTCTGGGGTCAATAGCACACCCCCGGTGCCCTCCTGCCCCACCCCTGGATGGAATGGGCCATTTTCCTGATATACCCCTAAGTCCTCTGCCGGTGCTCCTCGTTCATGGACATTACTAATCACTACCAAGGATTGGTATTGTCAAATTTTGCCCCCAGACAAGATCGACCTGAGGGATGCATCTAAATTAAACTATGCACACAATTAGAACAAAGAGGAGTCTGGATTTCTCAAAAATACTAAGAGGCTTTCCTTTAATCAGCATTTTTGAAAGCTCCAAACGCAATTGGCAGTCTCTAAATTTTTAAAGGAGACTAACCGGAACAATTAACCAATGTCTGTAAAACAGAGAGCCCTGTATCTCCCTGCTCCCCCACTTGCATTCCACCTCCATTTTTTCCATCTCACCACCACTCTCTTTGCCTGGAATATTGCAGGGACCCTGAGGGTACCAGCAAAAGCCCTTTGAGCCCCTCCAGCTCCTCCAAGATTGCAGACAACTGGCTGCATTTCTCCTGAGTCTCAGACTTCCCACATAATTCCGGTCCTGAGTTCTGTTCAGCTAGATATTCTCACTCCTCGATGAAGTCGTGAGTTTTTCCTTGAGACTTTTTGTTTCTCAGGAAGGGGGTAATCACTCTGGGGTTCTCCCCTGTGTGCACGTGGATAACTGTATGCCATTTCTCTTGCTCAACTCCTTTGTGAGGTGATTTTTCAGTGAACTTTCAGAAGGCAAAGGGGAAGCTTTCCCTTGGACCCTACAGTTTTGGTGCTGTGGGCAGGCTCACCAAAGCCACTCTGCTCTTCTAGAAGCCACAGTGAAGGGAACCCAGGGCTTGACAACGGGCAAAAGGGTAAGAATTCCTCAACAGTCAGGCTCCCAGCCTGTCTTCCTGTGAAACCCAGTTGAGCAGACAGGAAAAAAATAACCGTTTATCTCCTCTACATAATCTCAATTAATGGGAGTGATATGGTTTGGCTCTGTGTTTCCACAAAACTCTCACCTTGAATTGTAGTAATCCCCATGTGTCATGGGAGGAACCCAGTGGGAGGTAATTGAATCATGGGGGCAGATTTTTCCCATGCTGTTCTCCTGATAGTGAATAAGTCTCACAAGATCTGATGGTTTTATAAAGGGGAGTTCCACTGCACACGCTCTCTCTTGCCTGCCGCCATGTATGACATCCCTTTGCGCTTCCTTCATCTTCCACCATGATTGTGAGGCCTTCCCAGCCATGTGAAACTGTGAGTCCATTAAATGTCTTTTCTTTATAAATTACCCAGTCTCACGTATGTCTTTGTTATGCTTTTTTTTTTTTTGTCTTTTTTTTTTTTTCCTTTTTCTGGAGAACGGGGTCTCGCTATATTGCCCAGGCAGGTCTCAAACTCCTGGGCTCAAGCTATCCTCCCACCTCTTGCCTCCCTGAGAGCTGGGATTACAGGGGTGAGCCACCGCGCCCGGACTCAGGTATGTCTTTGTTAGCAGCAGAGAACTGACTTATTCAGGGAGAAAAGGATTTGTGTGACTAGTTTTGGGTGTAGAACTCTGGTGTGCTTTTTGGTAGTTTTTGGTATGCATATTCTTATTGTTTGATCCCTTTAACTGACTGAAATAGTGTTTTCCTTTGTCTTCATCTTTCTGTGTCGTTCTGTCACCAAGAGGGGTAGAACACAAGGCTAAGCCGCTAGAAGCCCGCTTATTCAACCCAGCCCTGCAGACTGCTCAGTTTGTCGTTCCGATCAACATACTTTTACTGAGACAGGGTCTTGCTCTGCCGCTCAGGCTGGAGGGCAGTGGCACAATCATGGCTTACTGCAGCCTCAACCTCCAGGTCTCAAGCAGTCCTCTCACCTGAGCCTCCTGAGTAGCTGGGACTACAGGTGGTTGCCACCACACCTGGCCAGTTTTGAAATTTTTTATAGAGACAAGGTCTCTTTTCTGTCCCAATAAAAGTACACACATTAAAAAAAGCAACAGAGTCTCACTGTGTTGCCCAGGTTGGTCCTGAACTCCTGGTGTTACCGGTTGAAGGTGTCCAGGTTCTTGGAGTCTTGAACAAAGAATTGGACAAAATGCACAAACAGAGCAAGGAAAGAATGAAGCAACAAAAGCAGAGGTTTTTTGAAAATGAAGGTACACTCCACAGGGTGGGAGCGGGCCTGAGCACAGGGGCTCAAGAGCCCCATTATAGAATTTTCTGGGGTTTCAATACCCTCTAGGGGTTTCCATTGATTACTTGGTGTATGTCCTATGTAAATGAAGAGGATGAAGTAAAGTTAGAAAGTCATTTACTCAGTGTATGTCCTATGTAAATGGAGAGGGTATTTCCTGTCATAGCTGAAGTGTTTCCATTTGATTTAGTTCTAGGAAGTCAGCATGAATTGGCCTTATGTTCCCTATCTCCAGACCCTATTCTCCTGCCTTACTGGGCTCAAGCAGTTCTCCCACCTTGGCCTCCCAAAGTGCTGGGATTACAGGTATGAGCTGCAGTGCCTGGCTTCAACACACATTTTGTTCTGAACATGTCAAGTTCTTGGAGGGGTTTGTCTTAAGAAGTCACTGTGGGGGCCGGGCGCAGTGGCTCATGCCTGTAATCCCAGCACTTTGGGAGGCTAAGGCGGGCAGATCACGAGGTCAAGAGTTTGAGACCAGCCTGGCCAACGTAGTGAAACCCTGTCTCTACTAAAAGTACAAAAAATCAGCTGAGTGTGGTGGCACGTGCCTGTAGTCCCAGCTACCTGGGAGGCTGAGGCAGGAGAATCGCTGGAACCCGGGAGGCGGAGGTTGCAGTGAGCCGAGATCACGCCACTGCACTCCAGCCTGGGCGACAGAGCGAGACTCCGTCTCAAAAAAAAAAAAAAAGAAAAGAAGAAGTCGCTGTGGGGCTTCTCTCATCTCAACCCTTGTTGCCTGGTTAGTCCTGGGAAAGTCCAATTCCAGGAGGGTCTGCCCAGTGTCACAGATTGAGAGGTCTGTGACTAGCGACCCCCCACAGACTTATAGGTTGCTGGAGGCAGCATATGCACAAACACCGTCATCCTTAACCATCTGTGGCAACAAGAGTCTTTTGCCAACTTAGCCTATTCCTGGGAGTGAACTTTTTTGCATAGGGGGATATTTGGCATTGCCTCTTCTATACCCTTTCCAGGAAACATCTGTTTCTTAACTGGTTTAAAAAAAACAAAAAACAAAACTTTCTCTACACCTGGAAAATTACATTCTGGACTTTCCGTAAAGAGGCTATTGGATTGTGCCATTATTGAAAGGAGTACATGATTGAAAATTCTAAATGTCAATGGCCAGAAAACAGATCCTTTAAATTACCCTCCTAAATTTTAAAAATATCTTAGAGATCTCTCATTCTAAACAAATACTTTCTTTGTATTTAAAAAAAATTAAGTTAAAATATAAAGACACTTAATAGTTTCATGGCTAGCCTTAGAAATTCTCTTGACAAAATTAAAGAGCAAAAACATGATCTAAAACAAAGTTAAAATATTTTTTATGCTCAAACTGCCTGCTATTGATCCCCTGTAGGATTTACAAAAAGCCCTCCACTCTGTGGTCTAGTGGCTGAGATTCTGGGCTCTTGTGGCTGTAGCCCAGGTTCAATTCCGAGTCAGAGAAGCAATCCCATTTGTTTTAAATTGTTTGACTATTGACCTTTTTTGGGTACCCATTTGTTACTGATCCTTTTTCCTTCCATGGACGCTTAGGAGTGTCATGGCTAGCCTTGGAAATTCTCTTCACAAAATTAAAGAGCAAAAACGTAACCTAAAACATGATTTGATTTCCCGTCTTTTTCCTTCTGTAGGGCATATGGGACCTTTGGGCCTTTATGCATAGGTGGTCAGCTGAGAAGCTGAGATCCTAGAAAATATGGCCAGTTAGAAGTATAAGTTGTATTCCATTTGTGGCTAAAAAGACTTTTTATCTTTGAGCTGACTTTGGGGTAGTTCTGGATCTTGTGAGGACTGCTTTGCACCTCTTGGAGGTGCCTGGTTCATCCTTGACTAACCAAGTCATAACCTTGGTTAAGGGTTATTGCTTTTGGTAAACTATTTGAAAAGGTACCTTTGGTTCAAAAGAAAAAACAAGCTAACTAAAGTGTTTATAAAAGATAGGTCCTCAGGTAAAAATAGACTTCCTAAGTCCAAGCATAGAAAAGGCTGCTTTTACCCTGTTAAAGGACTCAATAATCTAATCAAGAAACAGCCTAATTTAAAAAGACCAGTCTAATTAGATTGGTCTCCAAAATATTTTCTGGAATTTAGCTGGCTATTTTGAAATTCTTTGTAAAATAAATTTACATGTATAAAAAATCTCCATTTGTAAGGGCATCTGCATCCCCGCACTTAAACCACTAGAAACTTTCCAACAAGGAAGATGTCCTAAAGTTTACCTAACAAACCTTAAATTTGTTTAAGACACTTTTCCTGGAAAGCTTGTCTTGAATGGGCTTTTACCTACCCCTTTTTGTCTTGGCAAATAATGGTGTTTATATCTAAGTTCTGTGTCTTTGATACGTAAATTTTTACCAAAGAAGTCCTGTCTTGGAGAGTACAAATTTCAGGTTGCCTAGCTAACAACTGCTTAGAGCTTAATAGTCTGTCTGCAGGGGGGAGAAAAACTATTTGAAAACTGGCAAATGAAGAATCTTATAAAGCTATAAAATCTTCTGTCTGTATGTTTATGTGTCATGTGTATGTGATATTTCACTACCAAAATATATGAAAGAGCTCTAATTAGTTGGCTTAATGAAAAAGTAAGTGCTTAAATCAAAATACTGTATCAGAAAAATAGAAACTAACTCAAATGCTTTTTAGCTCATGTGACTCTAGTAATCTCTGGTAAATAAAACTGGTTTAAATTGTTGGCAAAATAAAATTAAATGTCTTCAGAATTGTCCGTATTAAATTTGACTCAGACTTCTTGCCTGAATGTACTGGTCAGACAGATTTAATTAATTTCTGTAGATGTTTTTGTTTTTGCTTTTGTTTTTGTTTTTGTTTCTGTTTTTGTTGAGACGGAGTCTCACTCAGTCACCCAGACTGGAGTGCAGTGGTGCGATCTCAGCTCACTGCAACCTCCAACTCCCTGGTTCAAGCGATTCTTCTGCCTCAGCCTCCCGAGTAGCTGGGACTACAGGCACATGCCACCACGGCCAGCTAATTTTTGTATTTTTAGTAGAGACGGGGTTTCACCATGTTGGCCAGGATGGTCTCAATCTCGTGACCTCGTGATCCACCCACCCTGGCCTCCCAAAGTACTGGGATTACAGGTGTGAGCCACTGCGCCCAGCCTGTAGATGTTTTAAGGTCATAAAACTGTTGCTTGTTTTGTCTGTGAGGTAGAGTTGTGAGGGTTGGCTGTTGTGCTCCCCAAAGCCTTGGACATATCTTACTGTCAGCTTCTTTTCGGTTTTGAGCATCTGGAGTCTAGGGTCTGGACAGGCTGGCCATGGTGGGACCTGGGGACATGTCCTCAGTTCCTGACCACCAGCTTAAGGCAGAACCAAGCCCAATATGGCCCCATTCTCCCTGGCCCAGTTTTGCCTCTTTGCCATGCTGGGATGGGTTGGATTCTCCAGGCATTATCTTCACAACTCTGTCCTGTCCTGAGCTCTATACTTGGTATGTAAATTTGGGACCCCAACAAGGCCTGTCCTTCATAGCTGTCCTTGGGTGCCACATGGACATGTGAGATGCCAGACAACAGAAAAAAACATTAGGAAGGGTACCTGTGTCATCATTTCAAATTATTAATTTAAAAATCTTAAAATCATGCTATGTTAAATAATAGGTAATCATAGAATGTCTAAGTCACCTATATGGTATAGAAAACAATATACTTCGATCTGTTAATAAAAAATTGAGGAAACAAAATGGTTTTCATCTACAAATACTGATATAAAATAATTCAACGGCACTTCCTAAGTTTTCCACTAGAAATTAGGGCTACTAAGAGTTAAAATTATAGTTAATATATATAAGTAAAACTACTAGATATGCCTGTAATCCCAGCACTTTGGGAGGCTGAGGCAGGTGGATCACCTGAGGTCAGGAGTTTGAGACCAGCCTGGCCAACATGGTGAAACCCTGTCTCTACTAAAAATATAATAATTAGCCAGACATGGTGGCAGGCTCCTGTAATCCCAGCTACTCTGGAGGTTGAGGCAGGAGAATCACTTGAATCTGGGAGGCGGAGGTTGCAGTGAGCCGAGATCACACCATTGCACTCCAGCTTGTGCAACAAGTGTGAAACTCAGTCTCCAAAAATATATATATATCTAGCAGGTGTCTGCCCACTTTACACTCTGCTTGGCCCAAGTTGTTCAATTGTCATAAGTTTCTTAGCCACATGAGTCCCACCGGGGGACTAGATGGTCCCAGGGCAGGTAGCCACACCATGCTGGCAACAATATGTGATGGAGCATAAATTGGTCATCAGTGCTGCCTATGGCAAGTTTCTACCAAAAGGGGGAAAATGACGAGTTATACCCCCAGTTGACAGACAAGATGGACTCCCTGAGGCTCAGAAGTTAAAAGCAGAACCAAGAGGCCATGGCAGGGTGAGGGAGTGGTAACACTGTGTCCTTGGAAAGTGTTGCAAAATCTGTTTTTCTGCAACCAAGTCAAAGAACAGTGCCTGAAAACAATCGTACCTGGAAATTCCCAAACTGACCACCAGCAGACCACCAGGTCCCAACTGACCAACCACCTGGAACCAGCCAATGAAGAGACTGGTGATTTGGGGCTTAAACGTCATCCAATCAAGACTGTTCCTGGCCAGGCACGATGGCTCACACCTGTAATCACAGCACTTTTGGAGGCTGAAGCAGGAGGATCACTTGATCTCAGTAGTTTGAGACCAGTCTGAGTGAGACTCCATGTCTACAAAAAATTTTTTAAATAGCCAAGCATGGTGGTGCACACTCAGGAGGCTGAGGCGGGAGGACTCTTTGAGCCTGGGAGTTCAAGGTTGCAGTGAGCCATGATTGTGTCACTGCACTCTAGCATGGGTGACAAAGCAAGACACTTAAGGCTGTTCCTCACTCCTCTCCTGTGGTTTTTTGCCTTTATAACGTCCTACTCTCTCACACATTCTCTGAGCGCACTTTCATTTTACACCAAAGCCTGTGTCTCCCCAATCTGCAGACTGCCTTCAGAAAACAAAGTTCTCCCTTTTGCCTCTGCAAATCTCGTGGTCTTTTGTTAACAGTATGGATTTAAATTAGAAGCCCTAATTCACATATGGCCCATAAACCAGTTTCAATGGACTGGCACAGTATCAGTTAATGTCTTAAAAACTGGAGATGATCCACAAAACATGCAGATTTCTGCCTTCTCTTATTTTTATGTATTTATTTTTTAAGATGGAGTCTTGCTCTGTCGCCAGGCTGGAGTGCAGTGGCACGATCTCAGCTCACTGCAACCTCCACCTCCCAAGTTCAAGTGATTCTCCTGCCTCAGCCTCCCAAGTAGCTGGGATTACAGGTGCATGCCACCACACCCAGCAAATTTTTCTATTTTTAGTAGAGACAGGGTTTCACCATATTGGCCAGGATGGTCTTTTTTTTTTTTTTTTTTTTTTTTTTTTTTTTTTTTTTTTTTTGAGACGGAGTTTCACTCTTGTTGCCCAGACTGGAGTGCAATGGCGCGATCTTGGCTCACCGCAACCTCTGCCTCCCAGGTTCAAGAGAGTCTTCTGCCTCAGCCTCCCTAGTAGCTGGGATTACAGGCATGTGCCACCACGCCCGGCTAATTTTGTATTTTTAGTAGAGACAGGGTTTCTCCATGTTGGTGAGGCTGGTCTCGAACGCCCGACCTCAGGTGATCTGCCTGCCTTGGCCTCCCAAAGTGCTGGGATTACAGGCGTGAGCCACCGTGCCCAGCGGCCAGGATTGTCTTGATCTCTTGACTTCATGATCCGCCCGCCTTGGCCTCCCAAAATGCTGGGATTACAGGCATGAGCTACCATGCCCGGCCTGCCTTCTCTTATTAAAGGCTGGCCAGCGTTGTGGGCAGCAAACTAGCTGGAGTGCAAGAGCAAGGTCTTCTTCCAGATGGAGCCCGTGCCTCCCATCTGCTGCTGAGAGCAGAGCTGAGTGAATCCTCGGTGTCCTGACAACTTGATTTTCCTACCCAGGGGCACTGAGTAAGCACCACCAAGGAGCTACTGAGGTAGCCAAGTTACACCCTTGGCCTCCAAGATGGAAGTAAGCAAATCGTCTCCACGCTACATCACAGTTCCCCACTTGTCCTTGAGACTGCCATTCTGACTGGATGTTTTCCTCATGGGGAAAACAGACTAAAAAAAGTATTGGCTACAGAACTTGACCCAGAAGCAGCCTATCAGAAAGTCAGTGGGGAAATGGATTCTTTCAAAACACTTGAGTGTATGTGACCTGACGTACCTGCCCCTTTGAAGGAAGGTGGTGCATGTAGGAACCTCAGCCCTTTCTGATACAGAACTGAGCCTATGGTAGGAGAGAGAGGAGATAAAGAGAGAAATGCATGTGGCAATCACTCTGGCTGCAGCCCAAAGTAACCTGCTAAACCCTCCATTTCTTTTCTCTCTTTTTTTTTTTTTTTTTAACCAAGGGAGAGCCATAATGCAAGCCATTCCTAGTGGAAAAGTTGAGAAGGAAGAACAGCTTATTCCAGACCAGTGAAATTGAAATTCCCATGTGGAACAACATAAGAGGAAAGAGGCCTTCCCTTACAAAGTTGGACAGCCCTCTCGCATGGCAATTTGGCAGTAAGTATCAACATGTTCAGTGTGTATAACCTTTGCCCAAGCAATACCACTTCTGGGAATCTACAGAAATTCTACCAGAAGACCACAAAGATACATAAGCCCTGAGCACTGAAGCACTGTCTGATGTGAAAACCTGAAAATATCCTTTGTGTTTCCCATAAGCAAACATTGATGCATTTATGCCGTGAAAAGGGCTGTTAGAGCAAGGCCGATCTGAGGGATGAATATTGACGTATATCATTATGATGACACGTGAGAAAAGTAAGTCACAGAATAGGATTAGCTTACTGCTTATATTTAACTGATATGAAATTGGCAAGCAAAGACAATTATGCACTCCACACAAGAGTGAGTGATGTAAATAACATTTGGAATTCTGCACACCCTTCCACCATCCTTGGTCCCAGAGGGAGACGCGGTCATCATCAGTCTCCCAGGATTCCCAGCATTGAGAGCTGCTCTGGTGTCTGAGTGTGGCTTCCAGCATTAAGAAAAATAGGTATCCTTGGGCCGGGTGCGGTGGCTCACACCTGTAATCTCAGCTCTTTGGGAGGCCAAGGTGGGTGGATTGCTTGAGGTCAGGGGTTCGAGACCAGCCTGGCCAACATGGTGAAACCCCGTCTCTACTAAAAATACAAAAATTAGCCAGGCACGCTGGCTCACGCCTGTAATCTCAGCACTTTGGGAGACTGAGGCGGCCAGATCATGAGGTCAGGAGATCGAACCATCCTGGCTAACACGGTGAAACCCTGTCTCTACTTAAAATACAAAAAAACTAGCCAGGCATGGTGGCAGGCGCCTGTAGTCCCAGCTACTCGGGAGGCTGAGGCAGGAGAATAGTGTGAACCCGGGAGGCGGAGCTTGCAGTGAGCTGAGATCGCACCACTGCACTCCAGCCGGGGTGACAGAGCAGGACTCCATCTCAAAAACACACACACACACACACACACACACACACACACACACACACACACACACAAATTAGCTGGGTGTGGTAGTGGGCACCTGTAATCCCAGCTACTTGGGAGGCTGAGGCAGAAGAATTGCTTGAACCCGGGAGACAGAGGTTGCAGTGAGCTGAGATCATGCCACTGCACTCTAGCCTGGGAGACAGAGCGAGACTCTGTCTCAGAAAAAAAAAAGAAAAGAAAGAAAAATAGGTATCCGCACACCACATGGCCCCTGAATGCAAGACAACTCCTTATCCTGGTGCTCAAGCAGCCTCTTCCAGCTGTGCTGAGACAGAATGTCAGTCTCTCGAGCCAGGCGCGGTGGCTTGCACCTGTAATCCCAGCACTTTGGGAGGCTGAGGCGGGTGGACCAAGAGGTCAGGAGTTCGAGACCAGCCTGGCCAATATGGTGAAACCCCGTCTCTACTAAAAATACAAAAATTAGCAGGGCACAGTGGCATGCACCTGTAGTCCCAGCTACTCTGGAGGCTGAGGCTGAAGAATCCCCTGAACCCAGGAGGCGGAGTTTGCAGTGAGCTGAGATCATGCCACTGCACTCCAGGCTGGGCGACACAGCGAGACTCCATCTCAAAAAAAAAAAAGGCAGTCTTCCGTGGAGAACCTTCCAAGGGCCGACTCTTCCCTCTTCTCCTCCACCCCTTCCCTTCCCTTTCCTGAATTGTTCAGTCCTGAAGCTATTAGGTGGGACAGAGCAAGGTAGATGCCTGTAGCATGGGAAAGGGAGGGCAGATGACTCACAGAGAGCATCAAAGCCCAGAGAGAATGAGGAGGGTGTCCAGAGTATGTGCGCTGGCACCTGACGTGGCATGTCGGAGCCCAGGCTGAGGAAAGTGACCCCGCAGGGGTCTGGCCAGCATGTGGTTCCTTTTGCCCATTCCCATTTCTCCTTCAGTGCACTGCTCTTCCTGGAGTAAGGAACGAATCCGGAGAAGCAGAAGGCAATGAGCCGGCTTTTAGAGCAGCCAAGGCTTGGTCCATGGCAGAGCCATTCAGCACAACATGCTCTATGACCACACCGCTGGGCTCGAGCCCAGCCAAGCAGCCTCCACGCAGGGGGACTGGACAATCAGCCGCTTCTCTGCCCGTTTCCTCATCCTTAAAGAGGAAACGTCAAGCCCTTGGCACAGCATCCAGCCCACAGTCAGTGTTCAGTGGACATGAGCTGCCTTCAGGGCAGCTCTGTCTTCAGGCCTCACAGGGTAGCTTTGAACAGGCAGAGCCAGAGGAGCTGGGGATGTCCCCTCTGTTGCTGTCTCCACGGTGGGAAATGGGCAGCTTGAAAACCTGATAGGAGCAACTTGGCTCTATCTATCAGAATGTGAAACATGCCAGCCCCTCAGCCCAGCTGTCACGCCCCTTGGACCCTGCTCTGCACCGACACCAGAACGAAGGCACAGGCACATTCACAAGGTGTTCACGGAGGCACCGATGGTGATAGGAAAACGCCGGAAGTTAGCGATGTGATCACCAACAGGGGACTGGGTAAACAGACCCCACTCAAAAGACCGAGGCCCAGCATGAACCATGCCACATAAGAATAGTGAAGAAAGTAAATGGCAGAATTCTATTTGTGGGATGATGTCATTTGTATGAAAACATAAAGTAACTAAACAGATAACAGTGTGCATTCCATCCAGAAATCGGTATACAAAAAATACAGCCACATGTATGTCTGAGTGTATGTACAAAATGAACATCTTTATGCAGGGGAAAAGTCTGGGAGGACAGACAGAAAGGCATGTCTGCAGAGTGGGGTGAGGAGGAACAGGAATGTTTACACTTCAAGAGTGCTGTACCGTTTGAATTGCTAGTAAAGAATGCAGGTCAATTTTATAGTCAAAAAACTAACATCAGGATGCTTAGGAGATACAGACTGAAACACTGAAGAATAAGGCACCAATGACTCAGCAATAATAAATACATAAGACGTGAATATTTTATCCATGTTATAGAGAAAGGGACAGAGAGAAACGGGAAAATTTGTTTGTTTGTTTTGTGTGTGACAGAGTCTTGATCTGTCGCCCAAGCTGGAGTGCACTGGTGCAATCTTGGCTCACTGCAACCTCCGCCTCCCAGGTTCAAGCAATTCTCCTGCCTCAGCCTCCCGAGTAGCTGGGATTAAAAGTGCCTGCCACAATATCTGGCTAATTTTTTGTATTTTTGGTAGAGACAGGGTTTCACCATGGTGGCCTGGCTGGTCTCCAACTCCTGGCCTCAGGTGATCCGCCCGCCTCGGCCTCCCAAAGTGCTGGGATTACAGGCATGAGCCACCACACCCCGCCCTTATGTTTGAAATATTTTTAAAATAAAGTTTAAAATATTAAATAAACAAAAATAAAGATCAAATGAAAGACAGTCAAGTTCCTGGGAAGCCCACTGCAGATGCAGATAGCAGAGGCCTGGATGGACCTGCAGTATCTTGGCAGGGCCTATGGCAAACCAGAAAGGGCTAGCGTTGAAACCCAGGTTCTAAATGGCTTTATTTTTTCCATGACTTTTTCCTCCTAATATTCAATGTCCTTGCAAGACTGATGGATCCTAGGGTTTGAATCCACAAAGAATCAAAAATGCAGTTTATGGTCTGACCAAGGGACTGAAGAAAGCCTGCGGTTGATCCTGGTGACCCCCCGATTGGCGTTTACAGTGCAGCCATGCCATGGCTGGGGGACATGGCTCAAGATGGAGTCCCTCCTCTCATGATCCAGCCACAAAGGCTTGCCTGAGTCCTTGGGAAGGTTCCAGATCAGGCTTCCCGTCAGACGCTGTCCTCACCTCCGATGATCTGCTCCAATGGCATCTGTGACTCCGCCAAAGCCCTGCTCTCTGGAAAAAGAGCAAACAAAGCAATTTCAGCAAACAGTGGAGAACAGGCCCTGCTCTTACAGGAAGCCCACGTTCACCCAGAAACGCATCATCCCGGCCCAGGCACATCTGGTTTCCTCTACACTCTTCACCCAGAGACCTAGGGATATTTCTACCCAGGTAGGAACAGAGCAGGAAGGAAATTGCTTTTAAGTATTGACAGCTCCCAACATTGAACCAGTGTTGCTTAATTAATGGGAATGCTGATGGGATTCCTCAGGCTCCCCTCCCTTGAGCAAATGGACAACTCCACCTTAGAAACACCATTGCCTTGGAGGTTAATCCTCAGTTCTCCTTGGCATTGTTTGTCCTTCATCAAAAGAGTAACCCAGAATTTCTCTCCCCTTCAGAGTGTACCCCTCAACTCCTTTTTGAATGAATAAGAAACAGATCAACAGTATCTCGTTGACTTGAGTGATCTAAATGAACCTCTGCCTAACTTCTGTTTCAAGCCACACATGACCTCACTCACTTCAGAAGGGCCTCCAGTTCCCGCTTGACTTTGCCCACAACGGGTGGCCCCCAGAAGGTGAGGGCCGTGTACAGCTGCACCAGGGAGGCCCCTGCCCGGATCTTCTCCAGCGCGTCCTGCCCGCTGCTCACACCACCAACCCCAATTATGGGAACTCGGCCTACAGAGAAGCACATGGCGACACCATAAAGAAGGATGTGGCTTCAGCCCCAGAGTCCCCCACAATCAAGACAGATTAGGGAATGATGATTCCCATCACGACCCAGGAGCCCAAGCCACACGCAGATCTGAAGACACAAACACGGGAAACCTTGCCTTGGGTGAGTGCATACATCTCCCGAATGGTTTGAGTTGATAAATCCCGGAGGGGCTTCCCACTCAGCCCTCCTGTTTCAGAGCGCAGGGCACCCTGGAGGCCCGCAGGGCGACTCACGGTGGTGTTCGTAACAATCAGCCCATCGATGCCCAACTGCAGTGCGAGATAGAGAAAAAGCCATGAGTCATAGCACCGAAGGACCCAGAGGCGCTTCTCTGGAGGTCGAAGGCAGCAGCCGGGCCAGGTACCCACACCTACAGCCCCCAAAGCAAGAGCTACACCAGACCTCACTACTCATCTTTTCCTCAACAAGTTTTAGAATGAGCCATAACATGACGACAGCAGCCATCACACGCTGACCACCCACAACATTCCCCTAGGACAGGGTCCAGTCCTTACAACAACCCAATTACAGTGTCTTGTCTGAGGCCCCCAGGTAGTAAGTGGTGGAACCAGGATTTGAACCCACGATGGCCGGGCTCAGTCTGTTTCCACTACTCTCCTATGCCACAGAGACCCGCTGTCCAGACAGGCTGGAGAGAGGAGTGAGAGAAAGAATTTTCAGTCCCAGTCAAGACTGGCCAAGGAGCCAAGCTCAAGCCTTAAACTTGCTGGATGCAGTTGACAAAAGAGAGGAAGAGGCATTAGAAAAACTCCTTCAAGCACTTATTCCAACATTCGCTTTTGACCACAGGGTGAGTTACACCATGACACACACCAAACCAGCCTTGAATACCAAGGAGAGGAAATCACAAAGAACGCCATTCTGGGCTAGCCCAGCTGGCCAAACGGCCTCTGCAGACCATGGGAGGCACACCCTGGGCCCAGGCCCCGACTCAAACCTCTTTGACCACACTGGCAATGTCCTCCTTATCCTGGCTGGTGAGGTCAGGAGCGATCTTCACCAGGACTGCCGGCCTGTGCACTCTCCGCAAGCCATCCCTCTCCTGCAGCACCTAGGGCGACACACGGCCAGAGCTGGGGACCCCGCAGACCACAGCCCTGCAGTGCAGCTGTGACCTACGCTGCAGGTCAGTGGGTTTCCACAATAGCGATCAAACTAAAGCAGAAACAATTTCTTTTCAGGAAAGCCAGCCCTCAGACGTGAGGAGTACAGTCGAGATGGATCCGATTCCATTCTTTTAGGCCAAGGGATCCCGTGGACATTGGCTAATAGCTCAAGGGTGTTTTAGACTTTTCTTTTCTTTTTTTTTTTTTTTTTTTGAGACAAGGTCGCACTCTGTCACCCACACTGGAGTGTAGTAGCATGATCACGGCTCACTGTAGCCTGCACCTCCCTGGGCTCAGGCGATCCTTCCACTTCAGCCTCCAGAGTATCAGGGACTACAGGTGTGCACCACCATGCCCAGCTAATTTCTGTATTTCTTGTAAGATGGGGTTTTGCCAAGTTGCCCAGGCTGGTCAGCTCCTGAGCTCAAGTGATCTGCCTGCCTCGGCCTCCAAGTAGCTGGGGCTATAGGCTTGAGCCACTGTGCCTGGCTAATTTTTAAATTTTTGTAGAGACAGGGTCTTGCTCTTTTGCCCAGGCTGGTCTCAAATTCCTGGGTTATAAGTGATCCACCTGCCTTGGCCTCCCATAGTGCTGGTATTACAGGCATGAGCCACGGTGTCCAACGTTTTTTAGACTTTTATTCCTAAAAGATAACCAGGAAATATTACCACATGTACTGGGTGATGAAGTCCTTCAGTTCACTCAGAGCTCTGGGCGCTAGGGTCAGAGTGACAAATGAGAGAGACGTGGTGTCTGCTCTTACAGACCCCGTGATTTATAGCAGCAGGGACAGATAATTTGTCACCGTCGCATATAATCAGTGTCATGAGAGGGGATCAGAGGGGACTCTGGGAAGGTATAGCCAGGGGTCCTACTGGTCTAGGTGCTAAGGACAGCTTCTGAGGGTGATGCTGAAGGTTCGCCCTGGAGAATGAAGGGGAGCAGGTGGGACAGGCTGGTGGGACAGGGCCTGGAGAGGGGTGCAGCTGCCCACCTTGGTCAGCAGGCGGCGCAGCTCGGCCTTTCCCTGAAGGCTCCGCAGCCCGGCAGTGTTGGGGCTGGACACATTCACCACCAGGTAGTCGGCCAGGGGGCCCAGTACGCGCACCCCTTCTGCGTAGTCCTCCGCGGCGTCCACTGAGGTCTTGTTCTTCCCCAAGTTGACCCCCAGAGGCAGTCCATCTGCAAACATCGCTGGTCAGGCCTGCACCCCGCACACCCTTTCCTGTGCCACCTTCTGAGGCTGCCCTTGACCAAACCACCTGTGGACAGCCGCGCAGGCCTTCCCTCCAAACCTGACCTGCCCGACACCGGCTGACAGGTGCTCAACTGCGGCCTGGGCCCGCCTGCTGACCAAAACCACTCACTGGCTTTGTCTAGCAAAGTCTGGGCAGCTACGAGGATGTTTTGCTGCATTTTGCCCTTTTTATTTTTAAAATTTTCATGGAAAATGGACAAATTACTGCAAATACTTGTGGGGCAAAAGATGGGCCTCATAAATTGAATAAAACTGAGAACAGAGAGAACTCAGTAGGCACATCAGGCCCGCAACTCTCACCTCAAGGAATGCTTGTTGGCCTTGGCTCGGTTGACTGGATGTACAGTTGCGAAGAAAAAACAAAATGAAAGAACATGTATAAAATACTGAAAAACAGGCCAGGTGCGGTGGCTCACGCCTATAATCCCAGCACTTTGGGTGGTCAAGGGCAGAGGATTGCTTGAGCCCAGGAATTCAAGACCAGTCTGGGCAACATGGTGAAACCCTATCTCTATAATTGAAAACTCAGCCGGGAGCAGTGGTGCACACCTGTAGTCCTAGCTGCTCGGGAGGCTGAAGTAGGATTGAGGCTCCAATGAACCGTGATCGCGCCACTGCACTCCAGCCTAAGGAGCAGAGCAAGACTCTGTCTCAAAAAAAAGAAAAAAAAAAAAAATATATATATATATACACATATATATATATATATATATATATACACATATACATATACACATATATATATACTGGAAAATGTTTTTTGTTTTTTTTTTTGAGATGGAGTCTCACTGTTGCCCAGGCTGGAATGTGGTGGCACAATCTTGGCTCACTGCAACCTCCGTCCCCTGAATTCAAGCAATTCTCCTGTCTCAGCCTCCTGAGTAGCTGGGATTACACGCATGTGCCACCACGCCCAGCTAATTTTTGTATTTTTAGTAGAGATGGGGTTTCACCATGTTGGCCAGGATGGTCTCCATCTCCAGACCTCATGATCTGCCCACCTCAGCCTCCCAAAGTGCTGGGATTACAGGCGTGAGCCACTGCAACCGGCCTAATTTTTGTATTTTTAGTAGAGAAGGGGTTTCACCATGTTGGCCAGGCTGGTCTCAAACCCCTGACCTCAAATGATCCGCTTGCCTTGGCCTTCCAGAGTGTTAGGATTACAGGCGTGAGCCACCATGCCCGGCCAAATGTTTTCAATTATCATGCCTAAAATGTAGAGGTGTAATTGTTTTCTAACTTATAATTTTAGTTCTCTGAGGAAAGGGACTCTCCCTCATATAATAACTGAGGGTACCCTGTATCTTAGGTGCTCCCTGGACAACCTGATTACTCCCCTAGCCTGGGCATCATTGTTAACACCTGCCCCTTTTTACTCTCAAGAGGGTCTCAGTTTACATGTAAGCAATTAGGTCAGCTTACTTAAAAATCCACAGGACTATCAATGGACTTGCATTTTGGACCTCCAGAAAAAATACATTTTCAGAAACACACTATGTGTAAAAGAAACGGGTTGTCTCTACTTGACTTCTTCTAAGTTTACTATCTTATCTGCACGGGGAGTGGTACATCAATGGTACAGGCTGTACTTTTGATCTGAGAGTTGGGGGAAGAATTAGAACACCAAGTAGCTCACAAAATGTGTTGTCAGGCCAGAGAGGATCAAACAACATCTATTGTACTGCTCACCACCTTCCCAACCCCAATCACACTCTCGCATCATCAGCAAATGAGATGAGTGTAGCTACTTTCCAGGGTGGGGACTGGAGGAGGGGATCAGAACCCAATTAGAAGCCGGGCGCAGCAGCTCACGCCTGTAATCCCAGCACTTTGGGAGGCTGAGGTGGGTGGATCAATTGAGGTCAGGAGTTCAAGACCAGCCTGGCCAACACGGTGAAACCCTGTCTCTACTAAAAATATAAAAATTAGTCAGGCATGGTGGTGGGCGCCTATAATCTCAGCTACTTGGGAGGCTGAGAAAGGAGAATCGCTTGAACCTGGGAGGTGGAGGCTACTGTGAGCTGAGATTGCACCACTGTTGCCTGGGCAATAGCGGGAGACTCTGTCTCAAAAGAAACAAAGAATCCAATTAGACAAAAGGTTTATCATAAGGTCTCCAAGCTTCCCAGTCTAGCACCCATCAAGCCAAGATCATCTGTAAGCTTGAATTCTTTTCCTCACAAGTAAACTGACTTGAAGGAGAATATCACTTTCATGTAGCTAACGGATTAGGAGTCATCTGCCCAAACTGACAAGATTTGGGAGTTAGACAGAAATTGCTGGATTACTCTGTCCCCAGAGGGCACCAAAGCTTTTGTCAACGCGTGTTCCTTGGCATGGTGCTAACAACAAGCTGCCATGAAGGCCCCTAAGCTGCTGGCAGACACATCCGTGCAGAGCACTGCTGCAGGCTCCGCTTCACTCCGTAGACCAGGAGGGCCACAGGGAGGGAGGGCTGGGTGAGGAAGAACAGGAGATAAAGCCAGGACACTGCACTGCAGACACCGAGGAGAAGAAAAAGCAAGCACGAAGGCGGGCAAGCATCACAAACCATGCAAGTCCTGTGATGACCTCCAAAGCTCCCCAGGTGGGCGGCTCTGCAGTACAGCGGGGTCTGGTTCCACCCAACCCAGGGGTTTCCAAAAGATAATTTCCTATTCCCCAAATCTGACACTGCTGAGTGCCTCAGCCCTTTCCACCTCACTTCCTGAAATGAATCCCATATCCATTGGTTTCTTCATCCTGCTACCAGGACTATCTGAGACTAAGACATCCTGGAAGGAGTTTCAGAGGGACCCAAAGAAGAAAATGGTCGCTACTGAGCCACAACCCCACACAATCCCAGAGGGTCCCAGGGGCATTAGGGTCAGGACAACAGAGGGCTGCGACCACTAAGTGCATCCTGAGAGCAAGTGAGGCAGAGGCCACAGAGAACACCCGCATCGCCGGAGGCGTCTTCAAAAATGCATGTTGTGGCCAGGCGCGGTGGCTCACGCCTGTAATCCCAGCACTTTGGGAGGCCGAGGCAGGCGGATCACCAGGTCAGGAAATCGAGACCATCCTGGCTAACACAGTGAAACCCCGTCTCTACTAAAAATACAAAAAGAAATTAGCTGGGTGTGGCGGCGGGTGCCTGAAGTCCCAGCTACTCGGGAGGCTGAGGCAGGAGAATAGTGAGAACGCGGGAAGCAGAGCTTGCAGTGAGCCGAGATCCCGCCACTGCACTCTAGCCTGGGGCGACAGAGCGAGACTCCGTCTCAAAAAAAAAAAAAAAAAAGCATGTTGTTTTTGGTTTTTTTAGAGAAATGGGATCTCACCATGTTGCCCAGGCTGGTCTTAAACTCCTGAGTTCAAGTGATCCTCCCAACTTGGGCACCCAAAGTATTGAGATTACAGGTGTGAACTGTCCCGAACCAAAAATGAGTTTCCAAAACAACTCATGAAGAATATTTTCCCAAATGCTAATATTAGTTAGCCTTGAGTAGGGAGGAGTATCTGTTTCTTGAACATTCTTTCTTTACGCTTCTCTGTATTTACTAAGTCTTCTATAATTAATGAACATTATTTACACAATGGATGACAAAAAAGGGAGGACAGAGTGGGCCACGGGAGGATGACATTCAAGTCCTGCTCCTGCCCTCATTGCCTGTGTGATCATTGCCCAGCCGCTTTGCTTCGCTTGCTTTCAGGCCTCCCTAGTTACGGTAACAGGTTACATAACAAGGCAGAGGCAAAGTGAGTATTTGCTAAATTGCAAAATCCAGTTAAACTCTTGGAAGCTGTGTGGGACCAGGAAAATCGCTCTAGGAGAGGTGTCCTGAGGTCCTCAGTGGTTTTTGCTATTGCTCAATCATGTTTATTTCACTAGAAATGTTCCCAGCATTTCTCCCACGTTTCCTCCTAATAAATAAGAAAGGCCCACTGACACAACCCCACTTTACCTTCTGTGAGCTTGGCCTGCTTCTGCTGTCTGGCCCGTAACCTGTGTTCCACCACTGAAAGCCCGTGACTGTTAAATCCATACCTGCAGAGCACAAGCACACGGGAGGGGCAGAGTGAGACGGCACCATAGCCACTTCCCATACACTTAGGACTTTTTCAAACAAGAGAAAAAAAAAAATCACAGTCAGTTCTTACACTTCCAGGGTCTAAACACCACTGGGACTCCTAGAGAACTTGCCAGAACACCATCCAATACCCAGGGAAAGATTAAAATTTGCAAATGCTCAGCCAGCTAGCACTGGAAACAGCCCAGACTCAGCAGCAGCTGCCCCAGACCTGCTGGATCCCCACTCCTTACCCAGCCACTCTCTGAGAATTGCACACTCACTTGCCACCTTCTGCCTGGGCTCCCAAACAGCCTCCTGAAGCCCCTGCAGCCACTCCATCTCTCTAGGCTTTCTGTCTGAAAATCACCTCTCTTCCTAGCTCAGAGCAAACGCTCCCTCTCCTCCTGCACAGAGCTCGCAGCTGCAAAGGATCCCTCATCCCCCTGGCCTTCATACAGAGCTTTGGCCCCACCTTTCTCCTGGCTTGGGATAGATACATACATATATGCTTAAGGTCCCTAGGTTACAATCTTCTTGAGGGTGAGCAACATCTCATACTTCTCTCATCCCTCTGTCACTGTCACTAGACACTCCCTGAAGGCAGGAGCCTCATCTCTCTTTCATCCCTGTATCCCCAGCCCCACTGTGGGTTTTGACCTAGTGGCCAGTCCCCTTCCTCTTCCTCTTTGCCAGTGAAACCCACCTGCCCTGATACAGGGTAAAAATGCTAATGACTCCTTTCCCAGCCTTGCTGGCAAGGGAAGCGTAAGTGTATGCCAAGTGTAGACACTGAGACACAAGTGAGACCTACTGGGAGCCTCTGAGAACATCCCTGCCCTTTTTCCTTTCTGCTCTTGGGCGTCCGTGTAAGAACATAATACTTGCAGCCGAGGTCGCTCTCTGACAAGCAAAAAGAAAACGCCCAGAGAAGTTGGACCAGAGTCTCAACACTGCCCTGGTGCTCAACCAACCCTGGACCTGCCCATTGCACCTGTTATGAGAAGAAAATAATATCAAATGTGCCTGTTGTTTAAGCCACTTTGTTAGAGCCAAAAGCATCCATAATAACAGACACACTGGCACACATATCTGATGACTTCATAACTTCACCCATTCATTAAGTGTTTACTACACACTTACCACATGCCACACAACCAGGAGGCCGCACACACAGGGCTCAGAGCAGGATCTCACACCCCTGCTCACCTATAGGATTCACCAAGTACCATCATCCCAGCACCTGCAGTTATCTGTAGCAGCTGAATGTTAAGCAAATATATTTTGCCTGGCCAATTCTGAAGATATTGATCCCCACCTGCAATGCAGCAGAAAGATCAATAACTTGATCTCTAATGCTGGAGAATTTCCCTGAAACAAGCACAAGAAAGCAGGAAGCACGGCCAAGTAAATGTCCTACAGGTCCGTCTCCCAGGAGGCCACCAGTGGCCCCAAAGATGCCCATCGAAATCTCCCCAAGGAGGCTCTTCAAAATCCTCTTACCAAAAAGTAAGCACTTCTTCACCTTTTGGGTTTGCTGTAGTAAAAATTGCCCAGGGATGACAAAGGGAAGGGCTTTATACAGTCTAGAAGGATTTCTCTTACTAAGAGCAGCTGTGCATGTTGAATATTACATTTCCCTGTTTGCTAAAGGCTGGGGCTGTGCTAGCCAATACAAGCCTGCTGGCCGCATGTGGCTACTGGCTGCTGGGAATGCAGCTGGTCCAAAGGGAGAGGTGCTGGAAGTAAAATGCACACTGGCTCTTGAAGACTTGGTACAGGCAAAAGAAGGTAAAAACAGCGAATTAATACTTTTTATGGTGTTTTAAATATACGTTTTTTTAAATACTTGTAACATTAAATATAAATTATAATTTTAAGTAAGTATTAACTTCACTCATTTCTGTTTACTGTGTTAATGTGGTCACTAGAGTACTTTAAATTACATATGGGGCTCACATTACATTTCTCCTGGACAGTGTCGAGTAAGAGCATTGGAGAAACAACATGGACAGAGCACAAACTCTCAAGTCCAATAAGCCCAGGCCATGCCCAAGCTCTCCTGCTTATTATCTCCGTGACCGAAGCGGAGTTATTTAGCTCTATGAGCCTCCATCTACCCAACTGTTAAATGGACGTAACAAAGCATGCTTTTCAAGATAGATGCCTGGGGCACATAGTAGATGCTGAACAGGGTTCCTGAACATTCCAAATGACAGAAGAATGTCCACATTGTATGAGAGAAAAAAAACAGAGGCAGATCTTATATCTCTGAACGCCCCCAGCTGGAAAGAGGGCATCCCCCGTTAACTCTGGGCCGCTCACCTACCTGTTAATGACAGCTTGGTCCTCAGGGAGGCGGAAGACTCTGGGTCTAGGGTTTCCTTCCTGAGGTTTTGGAGTCACACTTCCTATCTCAACAAAACCAAAGCCCATCTTATAAAGTCCGTCCACGGCTTCCCCATGCTTGTCAAATCCTGCAGCAATTCCTACTGGATTTCGGAATTTATGGCCCAGAACTCTCACTTCCTGGGAAGAGGAAGACAAAGTCAGAGGCACGCTAAGGCTATCCCGGTATTTCTCAAAGCATGGTTCCTGGCACAGCTACATCAGAATGACCTGGGAAGCTTGTGAAACCTCAGATCCCAGGGCCCACCCCCAAGGTCAAAATCTTTGGGGGTGGAATGGAGCACTGGGGGAACTATTTTTAACAGTGCTGGCTCTCCAGGGGACTGTGACACCAGCTAGAGTTTGAAAACCACGGGGCTTTATTATTAGCAAGCCTGGGGGGAGAAATGGTGTTTCCACCGTGGGTTGAAGCGGAGACGAGCACTGTCTTTTCCAATTGTGGTTAAGGTTCATACCTTCTTATCAACTAGCCTTGGTGGGAGGGAGTAGCTCGCTGGTGTCAGGCCCTAGATAGTGCTTCCCTGAAACCAAGGCGTGTCAAGCAGCAAAACCCTTTAATCAGCTTAATAAACATCAGCTCCAGCTGTGTCCCTCCTCATCCGGGCTGGCAAGAAGCCCCAGCCACGTCCCCCAGCCTCCCACGGGGAACCAGAGGAAGGAAGATGTTCAGCTGGGCAGAACTGACTGATGGGCTCCAGCGACCTTTCAGGAGACTAGCAAAGGCCTCCCGGGGTGAACACGGTCGGATCCTGGAAGCAGGGGATTAAGAGAGATGCTCCAAGAAGGAAGAGCAACAAATGAAGGTGAGAATGCTCACAGCACCTCAGGAGACTGGTAGGCAAGATGTGTAGGGGCCTTCCTCCAGGACCGTGGTTCTCAGCTCCAGCTGCACCACAAAGGCCCCTGGCAGCTTTCAGGTCCTGCTCTCAGATGTGGCGGTGAAACTGGTCTGGCACCAGGCCAGGGCATCTGAATATTCCAAGTGCACCCCCGGGGGATTCTAACATGCCTGACATAGGTGAAGGGTGGAGAGCCAAACCAGGAAAGTTGTGAAATCAAGAATCCTGGTTACCGGTTAAAAAGTCTGAGTCACATTCTAAATGAGCTGCTGCAAGTGTGGGCCCACGCAGAGGTGTTGAGGACAACACCTCAGAGGTCAGGTTTGCCTGTCTCTGTCATCTGTGTTTATACAGACACAGCTTGCACCCTCAGGCACCCCGCACTTCCTTCTAAATTCACCCCATCTCTGCACCCCACTCATTATTCACTCCCATTTTACACTGGTTCCAGGGCTCTCAAACTAGCAGTCTGAGGTGAGGACACCTTAACGGAGTGCTCTTTCTGAGCCTACAGTGCCTGTTAGTGTGTGAGCATGGCCAGTCAGGGGAAATGACACGTCTGCTCAACACCATATAATCAGATAGTGAAGAGGAGTCTAAGGTAGGAAGAGAAAATGCGGTGAAGGCCCCTTTAATTTATAACAGTGACCCTTCCCACCAGAGTTCTGAGGGCTTCTTGTTTGCATTTTCACACTCATCATTCTGATGTCCTCCCATTTGGTAAGAAGCCTCTCGAAAGGAAACTGCCAAGGCTTCCATGAGGAAGCAGCTTCCATGAGGATGGGGACTCTTTTATTCGGTTTGCTGCACTAAGCCCGGAAGGTCACATGAAACAGAGGCCCTTAGCCTTCCGCTGACACTGGCCTCTGCAGTCAGAGGCTGTATCTACACTTCTGCCTACACACCCTCTTCCTGCCCTAGAGGCTTTCCTGGGACTCTAGGCCAAAGATTTCAAGCATATGGAGAGGGCCCGTGTGCTGAACACGTGGCTGAGTGAGGCTGGGACACGATGCTCCTGCCTCTCACCAGTGCTTAATGACTCTGGCAGCTTCCCCATTTAGCTGAGGGGAAGACTGAGCTACCCACGACCTCAGCAAGGCAGGACAGTGGCCAAGGGGCGGGAAGCCAGCGTCAGACTCTGTGGGTTTGAATCCTGGTCCTGCTACCTCCTAGCTGTGTGACTTGAGTTCCTTTATGTTGCTAATCTGTTCCTCAGTTTCCTGATCCATGGCTGGGGATGGTAACAGGATCCAGCTCATGGAGCAGCTGGGAGGATCAAACAAGAACACCGCCTAACACAATCCCATATACGTAATAGATAATCATCGTTGCTAATTACATGACATAAAATAATAATGCTCAGACTGAATTCCAAATCCCCACTGCTCACTTGGGGTTCTGGTTTTCAAAAAGATCAGTCCCAGCTGAGAAGTTTAGGGGACTGCAGCCTTCGCCTTTGTATTTAATGTATAGGGTGTCTGGGAGCACTACCAGCATGTCAGAGTCTTGAAATCTGGCCCGTGGAAGGAGCCCCAGGGAGGTGAAGCGAACAGCCAGTCTGTGGGCTGACTCCGGGTCCAGCAGCCCCTGCAGAGTCGGCATCAGGTGTTCAGCATAGAAACGCTCATCTCCCGTGGCCATCAGGTAGGAGGCGAAGAGAAGTCCTCCTCCCCCCAGGATGATCACAGCATCCTGGGCCCGCTTCTGCAAAAAAGAGCATATTAGGGGGGTCCCCCAGGCCAGGCTGCAGCACCCTTCCTGAGCCCTTCACACCCAGGTACACAGAGGGCATAACGGCAGGTCACATGAAACAGACGCCCTTAGCCTTCCGCTGACACTGGTCTCTACAGTCAGAGGCTGTATCTATACTTCTGCCTACACACCTTCTTCAGGCCCTAAAGGCTGTCCTGGGACTCCAGGCCAGAAATTTAAAGAGGGACAGTACTGTCCCCTAGGGTGATCGTGGTGGACACTGCTACTGGTTACAGTGACAGGGTAATGCTAATAGATGTGGTGGGCAGGAATCCATAAAGTCAGACATCCTTCTTGGCTTGAGACTATCTGACATGAACTGCCCCATTTCCTGTGTGACTTTTGAACATTCTGACATTTGTGTGGGTAAAAATTATCCGTTCATATTATCTAAGCCAAACTATATTTTACCACATAAACACAAACTGTCTTTCCTGACCTCCTGGTCTCAAGCAATCCTCCCCTCCTCAGCCTCCCCAAGTAACTGGGACCACAGGCACATGCCACCAAGCCCAGCCAATTTTTTGAAGAGATAGAGCCTCTTTATGTTGCCCAGGCTGGTCTTGAACCCTTAGGCTCAAGCAGTACTCCTGCTTTGGCCTCCCAAAGTGCTGGGATTACAGGCATGAGCCACCGTGCCCAGCCTCTACATGGTTTTCACATACAGTACAAATATCTTGTAAATTGAGGGACAACTGTACAGTTTCACATAGAACATTCCCAAGAATTGTTCACCATTTCAGAAAATCTCATCGGGAATGGTACAGTGCTTTCCTGGGGTGCCTGATATGTAACACACCTGTGTACCTGCATTTCTAAGTAGAGACTTAAACACAACTATCTCACTAGGGGAGTCATAGCAATATTTACATACTGAAATACATGTAATTTTATTATTAATATAAACTACTTTTACATTTTCTCCTTTATATTCCAGTTAGGGTATTAATTATGCTGGCTTTTAAAAATTGCACATAGCTGGACTTGGTGGCTCATGCTTGTAATCCCGGCACTTTGGGAGGCTGAAGTGGGAGGACTGCTTGAGCTCAGGCGCTTGAGACCAGCCTGGGGAACATAGTGAGACCCCGTCTCTACAAAATATAAAAAATTAGCCAGGCATGGTGGTGCGCCTGCGGTCTCAGCTACTTGGGAGGCAGAAGTGGGTGGATCCCTTGAGCCCAGGAGGTCCAGGCTGCAGTGAGCCGGGATGACACCACTGCACTCCACCTGGGCGACAGAGTCAGACTCTCTCAAAAATGTATACATACAAAGACATTATACATATATTCCATTTCAAGGTAACGGGGGTGTAAAATATAAAACAGAAGCTTCAGATCTTATTGGATCAAAAGTGGTTCACAATGCTTTTCTCTATCACTGCCACATGCTGAGTTATTCATTCATTAGTTCAGTCATTCATCAAATACTGATTGAGCAAAGATGACAAAACAGATCTTGCCCCTACCCTCATGGAGAGTGTGATCTTATGAAGCGACAGACAGAAA
Organism: Homo sapiens; assembly: GCF_000001405.40. Lineage (NCBI taxonomy): Eukaryota > Metazoa > Chordata > Mammalia > Primates > Hominidae > Homo > Homo sapiens. Next base: position 72,010,496 of record NC_000016.10, on the reverse strand, counting down.
TTAATGATCATGCAAATATGTAGTCATAGCAACTGTGATGAAGGATAAAAAGTATAAGGTAATGGAAGTATTCAACCTAATCTTAGAGGTAAGGAAAGGCTTCCTTAAGGAAATGACTTAAAGCTGATACTCAAGGGATAAACGAGTTGATGGGGGTCTCTCTGAACCTATTCTGGTTCAATTATTTAAAAAAATAGTTAACCAGAAGGCAGTACGGAGAGGAAAAAGTGTAAAGGCTCTCTCAGTAGCAGAAGAGAATGAAAAAGGGAGAAAGTTTGGAACAGAGGAGTGAGGGAAAGTAAGGCTTAAGACGAGGCAGGAGAAAGGAGCAGGAGTCTTGGCCAAAATAAAGATTTGGGTTTTGTTCCCTAAGCCAGGAAATGACATGATTAGATTTGCTTTTAAGGATCCTTCCAAACTGCTAAAGACATGTAGATCAAGTATTCATTGGCTGGGCGCGGTAGCCCACGCCTGTAATCCCACCACTTTGGGAGGCTGAGGCGGGAAGATCCCTTGAGGCCAATAGTTCTAGACCAGCCTGGGCAACACAGTGAGATCCCATCTCTCTCCATTTATTTATTTTAAAAAGAGACTCAGGCCGAGCGCGGTGGCTCACGCCAGTAATCCCAGCACTTTGGGAGGCTCACGAGGTGAGGAGTTCGAGACCAGCCTGACCAACATGGTGAAACTGCAGTCTCTACTAAAAATACCAAAATTAGCCAGTCGTGGTGGCGCGCGCCTGTAATCTCAGCTACGCAGGAGGCCGAGGCAGGAAAATCGGTTGAACCCGGGAGGCGGAGGTTGCAGTGAGCCAAGATCGCGCCACTGCACTCCAGCCTGGGCGACAGCCCAAGACTCCGTCTCAAATAAACATATAAAAAGAAAGTCAAGGTTATTCATTGCCTCCCTTGGAGACTGTACTCCCCCCCACCATGTCAATCAACAAATATCTGAACACCTATTTTTTTTTTTTTTTTTTTTTTTTTTGAGACGGAGTCTCGCTCTGTCGCCCAGGCCGGACTGCGGACTGCAGTGGCGCAATCTCGGCTCACTGCAAGCTCCGCTTCCCGGGTTCACGCCATTCTCCTGCCTCAGCCTCCCGAGTAGCTGGGACTACAGGCGCCCGCCACCGCGCCCGGCTAATTTTTTGTATTTTTAGTAGAGACGGGGTTTCACCTTGTTAGCCAGGATGGTCTCGATCTCCTGACCTCATGATCCACCCGCCTCGGCCTCCCAAAGTGCTGGGATTACAGGCGTGAGCCACCGCGCCCGGCCTCTGAACACCTATTACATACGGGGATACAGCTAAGAACTTTTCACAGAGACCCCCGCCCCTAACAAAACTTTACCTAAAAGGGTTGGGAGCATGTCCTACTCTAGTTTCATTCCCCGTTGGATCCGGCACACAACGCTAGGCGGTCATGTGTTCACTAAGCACCCCTGTGCCAGGCTCAAAAACATGGCCCAGGCGCAGACACTCAGATCAGCACCCACCCAGACCTGCAGGCGCTGTCTGCACACGCCTGACCGAGTCCACGTGCAAATGCACACGCACGAGCATTTGCAGGAGACCCCGGAAACACGCACACGTCCCAGGGGGGCCCACACTCCCGGAGCCGCCTTCGGTCCATGCCTCGCCCGGCCTGACTCTCCGTTCTCGCCCTCCCCGGTCCCTGGTCCCCCATCCACACTGCTCACTCGCGGGACTCACTTTCAGGTGTCTCCACGCCATGCTCCTTCCGTCATTAAGCCCGCCCCTGTCTCCCTTCCATTGGAGGAGATGGTGGCGGCCCCTCTTGTCTCCGCCCCTTAGCCGCCAACCCACCAGTCGCCGGGCAGAAGGGTTGAGAGGACGCCTCCGCGCAGCGGGGAAGGCCCGGCACCACCCCCAGGTTCTGGTTGGGTGCACGTGCGCAGTAGCGGCGGCCACGCCTCTTCCGCCCGCCCTCTCCCAGCCTGCCCGCTTGATCGCCGGCTGTTGGCGGAGATGAGATGCCGCTGCACGGTGTTTGTCCGTACTACCGCAGCCTCGAATCCAAGAGTCCGCGAGCATCAAAACACTGTGTTTCACACCAGAAATATTTGTACAGTTTTTATCACTTTAAAAAATAAATTTTACTGCTGTGTTGATATAAAGATGAATATGTTAATATATAAACTTTTTCAACTTAAAAGTTGATTTTTCTTAAGGTTTTTTAAGGAAATTAAAACATTTTCTTGAGGCCGGGCATGGTGGCTCACGCCTGTAGTCCCAGCACTTTGGGAGGCTGAGGCAGGCAGATCACTTGAGGTCAGGAGTTCGAGACCTGGTCAACACCCAAAACCCCGTGTCTACTAAAAAATAAAATAAAATACAAAAATTAGCCGGGCGTAGTGGCAGGCGCCTGTAATCCCAGGTACTCGGGAGGCTGAGGCAGGAGAATCGCTTGAACCCAGAAGGTGGAGGTTGCAGTGAGCCGAGATAGCACCACTGCACTCCAGCCTGGGCGACAAAGCAAGACTCTGTCTCAAAAACAAACAAAGAAAAATAACCAAAAAAAAAAAATTTCTTGAGATCCTAAAAGTGTCAGAGGCCCTTCCCTGGCCCTGCGCCTGTTGTGCCTCCTGGAGAAAGTGGCCCTGGTTATACCTTGGCATTGTGGTGCAACAGATGTGGAGGTATTTTTTTAAATACTGTTTCTAATCAAGACCCTGAGTGTGCAGGCCCGTTGGAGTGTGGTTTACTGCGGTGATTTTTTTTTTTTTTTTTTTTTTTTTTTGACAGAGTCTTGCTCTGTTGCCCAGGCTGCAGTGCAGTGGCGCGATCTCGGCTCACTACAAGCTCCGCCTCCCGGGTTCACGCCATTCTCCTGCGTCAGCCTCCCGAGTAGCTGGGACTACAGGCGCCCGCAACCATGCCCGGCTCATTGTTTTGTATTTTAGAGACGGGGTTTCACCGTGTTAGCCAGGATGGTACTGCGGTGATTTATGACGACCTAATGTGTCACTTTGTAGTCCTCTGAAGCAATCGTGCCCTCACGAAGAATTTTGAAATGTCTTACCTAATGATGTCCTGGCCGTTGGAGAATAGCCTCTGTAGACTTAGGTGTCAACAGCATTAATCAGATACTTATTGTTTGGAGGCTCTACACCCATCCGTGTCATTTTTGTCCAGTTGCAGTGTTCCCGCCATCAGCTGAAATAGCTGGGTTATTGTCGTAGCAGAAATTAGAGCAAAAGAAAGGTGTATGAAATATCTTGAGTCAAGCCATTTTTGAGCTTCATCAGTTGTATGAAGCTATCAAATTAGAACAAATTCACAGACCCAGCTGAGACTTAGAGACAGATTCTACTGCAATAATTTACATGCTAGGTGTTTCAGTCTACATGCAATAGAAATCATTGAAAACATTTATCAAGGTAAAAGTTATGCTTATCAACCTGTCTTCCCTTTACACTTTAATGGAATAAGTTAATTCAGCACACCTTAGTCAACATAAATCATTGCTCATCTGGGACAAAAAACTACTTACATGTTTATCCTCAGTTCTGAGCACTCTCTCACCAATTTTTTGGTCGTTTAAATTAAAACTTTTATTGATAGAGTGCTTGTGTCTTAGATAAAGCATGTATTGAAAGAATATATACAAGGACTTTACCCTTTATGAAAAGGATTGAAATGAAATTACAGCATTGTGTAAGATACCTGACTTGACTTTCAGAGATTTCATCAACATCAGGTTTCATTTAAAAATGCTTGAAACGGTCCCAGTCAGTCCAGAGGCTGCGGCTGTGGAGGTACCACCTGTGGAGAAACTGCAAAGATGCTGTCTGTGTGTGTCTCCGCGGCCGTAGCCCGTGACCTCACTCGGTGGGCAGGACTGGTCTCCAGAAATGCTTTGGGTTCATCTTTCATTGCTGCAAGGAACCTCCATGCCTCTAACACTCATCTTCAGAAGACTGGGACTGCTGAGATGTCCTCTATTCTTAAAGAGCATGTTCTTGGAGCTGATACCTCTGCTGACCTTGAAGAAACTGGGCATGTCTTAAGTATTGGTGATGGTATTGTCCATGTACATGGGCTGAGGAATGTTCCAAGCAGAAGAAATGGTAGAGTTTTCTTCAGGCTTAAAGGATATGTCCTTGAACTTCGAAACTGACAATGTTGGCATTGTAGTGTTTGAAAATAATAAAGTAAGGAAGGAGGTATAGTGAAGAGGACAGGAACCATTGTGGACGTTCCAGTCGGTGAGGAGCTGTTGGGTCGTGTAGTTGATGCCCTTGGTAATGCTATTGATGGAAAGGGTCCAATGGGTTCCAAGACCCATAAGTGAGTCGGTCTGAAAGCCCCCAGAATCATTCCTCGAACTTCAGTGTGGGAACCAATGCCGACTGGCATTAAGGCTGTGGATAGCTTGGTGCCAATTGGTCGTGGTCAGCATGAGCTCATTATTGGTGACCGAAGGACTGGGAAAACCTCAATTGCTATTGACACAATCATTAACCAGAAACATTTCAATGATAGATCTGAAGAAAAGAAGAAGCTGTACTGTATCTATGTTGCTATTGGTCGAAAGAGATCCACTGTTGCTCAGTTGGTGAAGAGACTTACAGATGCAGATGCCGTGAAGTACACCACTGTGGTGTCAGCTATGGCCTCAGATGCTGCCCTACTTCAGTACCTGGCTCCTTACTCTGACTGTTCCATGGGAGAGTATTTTAGAGACGATGGCAAATATACTTTGATCATCTATGACGACTTATCCAAACAGGCTGTCGCTTACTGTCAGATGTCTCTGTTGCTCCACCGACCCCCCTGGTCGTAAGGCCTGTCCTGGTGATGTGTTTTACCTATACTCCCGGTTGCTGGAGAGAGCAGCCAAAATGAATGATGCTTTTGGTGGTGGCTCCTTGACTGCTTTGCTAGTCATAGAAACACAGGCCGATGATGTGTCTGCTTACATTCCAACAAATGTCATTTCCATCACTGACAGACAGATCTTGGAAACAGAATTGTTCTACAAAGATATCCGCTCTGCCATTAACATTGGGTCTGTCTGTGTCTTGTGTTGGATCTGCTGCCCAAACCAGGACTATGAAGCAGGCGGCAGGTACCATGAAGCTGGAATTGGCTCAGGATCGTGAGGTTGCTGCTTTTGCCCAGTTTGGTTCTGACCTCAATGCTCCCACTCAACAACTATTGAGTCGCGGTGTGCGTCTAACTGAGTTGCTGAAGCAAGGACAGTATCCTCCCATGGTTACTGAACAACAAGTGGCTGTTATCTGTGCGGGTGTAAGGGGGTATCTTGATAAACTGGAGCCCAGCAAGATTACAAAGTTTGAGAATGCTTTCTTGTCTCATGTTGTCAGCCAGCGCTAAGCCCTGTTGGGCACTATCAGGGCTGATGGAAAGATCTCAGAAGACTCAGATGCAAAGCTGATGGAGTTGTAACAAATTTCTTGGCTGGATTTGAAGCTTAAACTCCTATGGATTCACATCAAATATCAGTTCAGTTTTGTCACTGTTTGTTCTAGTAAATTAGTTTCATTTGTAAAAGAGTTACTCTCATATTCCTTATGTACAAAAATCACATAAAAAAGTTTCCATAATGCATTAAAAAAAAAAAAAAGAGGAGAGTTCCGGGGACCAGGCAACCGCCACAGTTGAACGCTGCTGCTCCACGGTGGAGTCACCGCACCCCCGCCAGCATCATGGTGTTCTACTTCACCAGCAGCAGCGTTAATTCATCTGCCTGCGCTATTTACATGGGAAAGGATAAATATGAAATAGAGACAGGGTTTCACCATTTTGGCCAGAATGGTCTCAATCTCCTGACCTCGTGATCCGCCCACCTCAGCCTCCCAAAGTGCTGGGATTACAGGCATGAGCCACCGCGCCCGGCCCTTGAGTTTTATATCTCTCCTACTAACCCATAAATCATCATGAAGATCTGATGAAGCATGGCTGGCCTGAATATATCTGGTTTCGTGCGGACAGACTCTCTTTGGCTCATGTATACCTTCAATTGCATAAGGGAGAGAATATAGAGGACATTCCAAAGGAAGTGCTGACAGACTGCGCCCACCTTGTGAAGGCCAATAGCACTCAAGGCTGCAAGAACAACGTTAATGTGGTAAATACTCCACGGTCTAACCTGAAGAAAACAGCTGACGTGGATGTGAGGCAGATAGGCTTTCACAGGCAGAAGGATGTAAAAATTGTGACAATGGAGAAGAAAGTAAATGAGATCCTGAACCGATTAGAAAAAACCAAAGTGGAGCCGGGCACGATGGCTCATGTCTGTAATCCCAGCACTTTGGGAGGCTGAGGAGGGCGGATCACGAGGTCAGGAGATCGAGACCATCCTGGCTAACACGGTGAAACCCCGTCTCTACTAAAAATACAAAAAATTAGCCGGGCGTGGTGGCAGGCGCCTGTAGTCCCAGCTACTCGGGAGGCTGAGGCAGGAGAATGGCGTGAACCCGGGAGGCGGAGCTTGCAGTGAGCTGAGATTGCGCCACTGAACTCGAGCCTGGGCGACAAAGCAACAGTCTGTCTCAAAAAAAAAATAATAATAATCTTCATTTCTGTTAAGAAGAACATGTTGGTGGGTAATTATGCGAATGTTTCCCTGTCCCTGATTTCCCAATTAGAAAAAACAGCATATGAGTTTTGGAAAAGAGAGTTCCAGAAGATTGTTGGCTTCAGTATTCACGTTCCATCGTGTCGTCTGGGTCTGTTAGTGTAGTGACCCTCAGCGCAGCCTGTCCTGGCTTTTACGTCCTTGCTTCCTCTGAGCAGGGGCCTCCATCTTAGTATCATCATATTTAAAGAAATCAATGGTGTTCATCAAGGTGGGGCCTGTGGCAGTTGTTGCCTGGGCACCAAGTCACCCAAGTCACCTACACAACAACTTCTGGGCTCAGGAGTAATTTCTCAGCACTGAGGGTAAAATAGGAAGGAACGCTCTGTTGATCATTTGGGAGATGTAGGTTACCTGATTGGTGCCTTGGAATGCAGCATGAAGCAGAAGTCCATATTGCAATTATGATTTTAGAAGGAACTAAGCATTTCACCAGCCAGCCAAGTAATTATTTTCTTTACCTTGAAATCATATTTGAGTTGTAACCCCAGAGTTCAATTTCTCATTGTAAATTCAGTAACTTACTATGTAACATTACTTCTCACTTGAACCTCTCACTATCTGTTTTGATTCCGAGCAGAAGATGTCTTTTGATTGCAGTATGTAAGGTAACCCCTGTAGAAGGAGACCAAACAAGGAGAAAGAGAACAAAGCCTGCAGGACCAGAGGCATACAGATAGACATTTTACTCACACCCACAGCAGCAAGAATGACCTCCTGCAGCAGATACTCCACCTGTAATAGCACTTTGGAACTGTGGGCAAAACCAAAAGGCTAGTGTTTCCATTTATGTATGGGGTTGAACTGGAAAATTCCCTGAGGCATAATTCATTGGCCAAATTTTGAGAGGGTATAGAAGATGACTTTAGAGATGAGTGGTTTTGTGTATGTGTCTAATGATATTCAGCCTGACGTTCTGCAATTTTAAAAATTATAATAAAGTATCATTTTTTAATCTGGAAAAAAAGCTTGAAACATATGTGTGGATGTATCATGCATTTATTTATGTATGTATATGAAGATGTTTAGAAGTTGAGGCTCTGTGAACTTTGAAAACAAAAGCATCCCACATCCAGATGATTCCATTGTCACAAACTCTTGAAAGGGTGGACTACTCTGCTCAGAAACCTTCCAAATAAACTGCAAGCCCTTTATTCTGGCATTTGAAACTCTCCCATTTTCTGGTTACAGTTCCTACTACTGTTCCACCAAGTACCCCCTACATGTACACACACACACACACACACACACACACACACTCAAGTATTTCTTTCTCTTTATCAATACCTTCCACTTTCCCACCTCTGTGTATTTATTCACATCGACTCCTCTGTCGAGATGTCCATTTCATCTGTCTAAATATTGCCATCTTAATATGTTCATTCCAAAAGCTGGAAGTAATTTCTTCCTTATCTGAACCTTCCCAGCAGCACCTAAGCTGTCCCTCTGGGCTGGCACTTTTCACTGCCTATATTAATTACAATTATTATGCCTTTTCTTCCCTAATTGGACTTTATGAAAGGGAGGATCATACTGTATTTATCTTTCATTTGATTACTGCAGTGTTTTTGGTGTTTTTCTTTTGGGTTTTTTTTTATTGTTTTTTTTTTTTTTTGAGACAGGGTCTTGCTCTGTCCCCCAGGCTGGAGTGCAGTGGTGCAATCTCAGTTTACTGCAACCTCTGCCAACCTACTGCCAAGTGATCCTACTGCCTCAGCCTCCCGAGTAGCTGGGATTACAGGCACGCGCCACCATGCACGGCTAGTTTTTGTATTTTTAGTAGAGACGGGGTTTCATCATATTGGCCAGGCTGGTCTTGAGCTCCTGACCTCAAGTGATCCGCCCACCTCGGCCTCCCAAAGCACTGGGATTACAGGCGTGAGCCACTACGCCTGGCTGATTACTGCAGTGTTTTTCAAACAGGATGTATTCTTGCAGTCTGTGTTTTAGAGAATTTCATAATTTTGGTGACCACTTCTGTACTGATTTTTAGAGTAACATAAGCATCATTTGGACTATCTGGATAACCATCTTAACCCTGAAACCTACCAAGCAGTTCAGTGCCCACATTTGTTTGAGTTTATGATCACTTTTTGGCACCAAGAAAGAACGAGCTGTAATACACGTGATGGATATGCAACAGGTGGAGACCAAATGACCTGCTGTGTGAACAAAGGTTTTTTTTGTGTGTGTATGTGTGTGTGTGAGTCAAATAAAGAAACGTGGTATCAGAACTGAACCCTCCCCATATCATAAAATAGCATGCATGCCAGATTCAAAGGAACCTGTGTAGTCGTAGGCCAGAGCCCTGTTTATCTGCCATTTAGCTTGGCAAAACTTGGATCTCATTGATTTTCAGTTTTGTTTGTATTTAATTTGTATTCATTCTTCCATTTAATATTGTTTTGTTTTTATGACCGTGTAAGAGTTTTAAGATAAAGTTCATGGACCAGGGACGGTGGCTCACACCTGCAGTTTGGGAGGCCAAGGTGAGAGGATCGTTTGAGTCCAGGAGTTCAAGGCTGCACTGAGCTATGATCATGCTACTGCCCTCCAGCCTGGGTGGCATAGTGAGACCCCATAAAAAAAAAATAGCATTTATGCCTAGTTCTGTTTGCATGTACTTAAGAGACAGAATACAGTAATTTAAATCAGTCCTGGGGGTAGCAGAGATGTAGGATGAACAAGTCAAGAGATTTAGTGTACAAACTGAAGATTACAGGTAATAAAACCATACAGTAGACAGGATTCATGCTAGATGAGATTTTAGCTGCTCTTGCTACAAAAACAAAAAAAAAAGTGGGTAACTAATGTGAGATGATGGATATGTTTGTTTTACTATAGTAACCTTCTTAATATCTATATGTATCCCATGACATCATGCTGTGTGCCTTAAATATACACAATAACATTTATTTTTTTAAAAAGTCAGGCCAGGTGCAGTAGCTCACGTCTGTAATCCCAGCACTTTGGGAGGCCGAGGTGGGTGGATCACCTAAGGTTAGGAGTTTGAGACCAGTCTGACCAACATGGCAAAACTCCATCTCTACTAAAAATACAAAATTAGCCAGGTGTGGTGGCACATGCCTCAACTACTTGGGAGGCTGAGGCAGGAGAATCGCTTGAACCCAGGAGGCAGAAGTTGCTGAGATGACACCATTGCACTCCAACCTGGGCAGCAAGAGCAAAACTCTATCTCAAAGAAAAAAAAAATCAATCCTAGGGGATCTGCAAGAATAACTTTCTTTAAAAAAAAAAAAAAAATGTGGCTGAGTGTGGTGGCTCACACCTGTAATTCCAGAACTTTGGGAGGCCGAGGTGAGCAGATGGCTTGAGCCCAGAAGAACACCCTGGGCAACATAGCAAGACCCTATCTCAAAAAAAAAAAAAAATTAGGTGGGCATGGTAGTGCACTCCTATAGTCCCCAGCTACTGAGGAGGCTGAGGTGGGAGGTTGAGGCGCAGTGAGCTGAGATCATGCCACTGCACTCCAGCCTGACCAACAGAATGAGACCCTGCCTCAGAAAAGAAAAAGCTACACTTATTAATTTTTAGCAGCACTAACTTAGATGTTAGATATTCATCATCCTCTACCCAGTGCAGCTTAGACTCAGCTTTATAATCGATCTCTATTTGCTAAAGGCATATTCGGTAGGTAGACACAGATGGTGGGGCCCCAGATAAAAAGGGCCATTGTTTTATTGATCTCTGCTATTTGTTTTCAGCTTGTAGGACCTGCACCTGGGTCCTCAAAACAAAACCTTTTGTATCCTTGGTAAATTGTTCCCAATTCATAAAAGAATAATACTAATAAGACAAGCCCGCCAATATATATATTTAAAGGACCAGGCAGCTGCTAAACCCCCACACTTTTTCTTGCTACAATTCAGAGAAAATGTTCTTCAAAGGAGGAAGCTGGCTTTGGTTATACATCAGAACAAGTATTATTCTAGGAAGTGAGCTAAACAGCCCAGCACCACATGGGCAAAATAATTGTTACCAGCTTAACAGATTTCAATGCAGCTTTGAGGAAGCACAGCATTACTGTCATGTGCAGAGAGGATTCCTAGCTCATATTTGGAACAAGGAAGTTCAAGATCTCATCCGGGACTATCTGGAAGAAGGAAAGAAGTGGTGGATTGGGCAAAATGTAATGCCATTGAAAAAGCATCAAGACAACAAATACCCAGGTAAGACCCTGGGGTTCAGTGTTTATGAAGGAAACTTCCTTATATTTTATTCTGGGACAGAAAAAAAAAAGAAAATCTTAATCTTTCTGCTTTTGTAGACAGAAAAACCAGTCACTTTACTTCATTACCATCTTTCCTCTGAAATATTTCCATTTTGTGCGACAGCCTTTGATTTGTCTGTTAGCAAAAATGATGCAATTTTTCCTGGAACCCATCTAAAGTTAACTTACCTGACCTTTCACTAAAAGAATTATGCTACGTTCCAAAGACAGAAACTTTGATGGTCATTTTTTTCCTAATAAACATCTCTTCATTATTCTGATCTCTAAGTTTCCTAACACAAAACTAAGAGGAAGAGTATCTACCTATTGTCTTTCTTACAAAGTGTTTTCTTTTTCTTTTTTTTTTTTTTTGAGATGGAGTCTCGCTCTGTCGCCCAGGCTGGAGTGCAGTGGTGCCATCTTGGCTCACTGCAAGCTCCGCCTCCCGGGTTCACGCCATTCTCCTGCCTCAACCTCCCGAGTAGCTGGGACTACAGGTGGCCGCCACCACGCCCGACTAATTTTTTGTATTTTTAGTAGAGACGGGGTTTCACTGTGTTAGCCAGGATGGTCTTGATCTCCTGACCTCGTGATCCGCCCGCCTCGGCCTCCAAAAGTGCTGGGATTACAGGCGTGAGCCACCGCGCCCGGCCCTTACAAAGTGTTTTCAAAGTTATGCACCATAATCTTGAAGTTTTAGAGACAAATCCAAGCCATTATTATATCATTCTCATCATCTTCATTAACGTGTAGATAAAGTAATACTAAGCCTTGTGGTAAGGAACACATATGAAAAAATAAACTATAATGTATGGGAGGAAATTCTACATTTTTATCTATTGGAAGTCAGTCAAATTTGGCTTTCATATTTACTTTTAAAAAATGCCTGGCAGGGTGGGTGTGGTGGCTCACGCCTGTAATCCTAGCACTTTGGAAGGTGGAGGTGGATGGATCACCTGAGATCAGGAGTTCGAGACCAGCCTGGCCAACATGGTGAAACCCCATCTCTACTAAAAATACAAAAATTAGCTGGGCGTGGTGGCGGGTGCCTGTAATCCCAGCTACTTGGGAGGCTGAGGCAGGAGAATTACTGGAACCCAGGAGGCAGAGATTGCAGTGAGTGAAGATCACACCACTGCACTCCAGCTTGGGTGACTGAGTGGGACTGTCTCAAAAACAATAATAAAAAATAAACCTAAAAGCCTGGCTTTCGAGTATGAGGCTCATCTGCGTCTGATCTCCCCTCAGCAGACGTTGCAGCCAACGGGCCCCCAAAGCCCCTCAGCTGCACCTACCTGTCCAGAAACTTCATTCGGATCTCATCCAAAGGGGACAAGTGCTTACTGAAATACTATTTCATTTGCCAGACTGGTAAGTGATAAAGCTACATGCTGCCAAAGACCCAAATTTTAGAAACTGATTCTAAATAAGGAGTGCATGTGAGAATATTGGTTAAATAGTCTGTGAGTGTTAGACCATGGGATGATACAGGGCTTTTGATTTTCATGATGCTGATTAGCATGAGAAAATTATCTGGAGTGACTTCCTTGGATCCATCCCCACTGGGAGTTGGAAGAGTTGTGCCTTGATGTCCTCCTCGTGTTTTGACTTGGGCAGAGTGTGGGAGAAATTGTATTGGTGACACCATTTTCCACATGCACACTCATAATTCAGTCAGCATTTGGGCTTCAGAGGGAAGGATGGGAAAGAGAAGGAGGAGAAGAGAATAAGGCAGAGGAAGATGAGAAGTCGAACGGTGAGAGGGCTGTTATCCGAGGTTCGCCTCTGCAGAAGTAGATCAGGATTAAGCTATGTATGTATGTACGTATGCATTTGTGTGTGTGTAGTTGTTGTATTTATTTATTTATTTATTTATTTATTTATTTATTTTTCCAAGACTGAGTTTTGCTCTTGTTGCCCAGGCTGGAGTGCAATGGCACAATCTCGGCTCACCACAAGCTCCGCCTCCCGGGTTCCAGTGATTCTCCTGCCTCAGCCTCCCTAGTAGCTGGGATTACAGGCATGTGCCACCATGCCCGGCTAATTTTGTATTTTTAGTAGAGATGGGGTTTCTCCATGTTGGTCAGGCCAGTCTCGAACTCCCAACCTCAGATGATCCGCCTGCCTTGGCCTCCCAAAGTGTTGGGATTACAGGCATGAGCCACTGCGCCCAGCCTATTTATTTTTTTATGTGGAGACGGTGGAGTGGGGAGTGGTTGTGGGGGGGGGGGTCTTGTTATGTTGTCCAGGCTGGTCTCGAACTCCTGGACTCAAGCAATCCTCCCACCTCGGCCTCTCAAAGTGCTAGGATTACAGGAATGAGCCACCGTGCCCGGCCTTGGTGATTTCTTAAAAAAAAAACAACTACCATACAACTGAGCAATTGCTGGGCATTTATCGCAGAATGAGAAAACCTGTGCTCACGTAAAACTATGTATATGGATGCTTATAGCAGCTTTATTCATAACAGAACAAAACTGGAAACAATTCAGATGTCTGTCAACAGGTGAATGATTAAACCACTGTGGTCTAGCCATAGCAGTCATACTGTTTCCACTCTCCCGGGTGACTCTTTCCCACTTTCCTCTCTCTACTTAACCTCCAACAACTGGGAGCCTCCCTCAGTCTCATTCTTAGGTCAGGTGATAACCTCGCTTTCTAACTCAAGGAGAAAAAAAAAAAAAAAAAAAATCAAAGCAATTTGGAGTCCGTCCAAGGCTCGGACCACCAAATCTACCCACCTACCAGCACCTGTACCTGTAGAGAGATAATGCCTTCTCTCATGCTGCTACAAACCTTCATACTCCTACCCAAAGTGAATCCCTCTGGTTGTTGAATTGGATTCCATGGAGTCCAATTCAGTAATAAAAAGAAACAAACTATTGATACACACAGCAATCTCCAGAGAATTGTGCCAAGTGAACAAAGCCAATCTCAAAATGTTACGTACTCTATGGTGCCATTTATTGAGCATTCTTGAAATGATAACATGATAGAAATGGAGAACAGATTAGTGGTTGTCGGGGTCTAAGAAGGGCATGGGGGCAGGAAGGAAGTAGGCGTCGCTATAAAAGGACAATGTGGGCCAGGCACAGTGGCTCATGCCTGTAATCCCAGCACTTTGGGAGGCCAAGGCGGGTGGATCACGAGGTAAAGAGATTGAGACCATCCTGGCCAACATGGTGAAACCCCAGTCTCTACTAAAAATACAAAAATTAGCCAGGCGTGGTGGTGTGCACCTGTAGTCCCAGGTACTCAGGAGGCTGAGGCAGGAGAATCGCTTGAACCGGGAGGCGGAGGTTGCAGTCAGCCAAGATTGCGCCACTGCACTCTAGCCTGGTGACAGAGCAAGACTCCGTCTCAGAAAAAAAAAAAAAAAAAAAAAAAAAGGCGGGGGAGGTGGGTCAATGTGAGGGATTCTTATAGCAATTGAAAAAAAATTTTGACATGACTGTATCAGCGTCCATATCCTGTTGTTACCCTTGCAAGATGTTACCCTTGGAAACTGGATAAAGGCATCTCTCTGCATTTTCTCTTACATCGGCATGTGAATATACAATTATCTCAAAATAATAAGTTACATTTTTTAAAAAAAAGAAAAATGCACTGATGTAAGTATACACATCACTTACACAGTATTTTTGCCAAAAAAAATAGCGTAATGCAAATTAAAAATAAACTGAGATACCCTTTCCCACCTATCAGATTGGCATAAATCCACAAACTTAACAACACTTTCCGTTGGCAAGGCCATAAGAAAATAGGTACTCTCATAAGTTGCTAGTGAGAATGCAGTAAGATATAATCTGTATATATTTATAAATAAAGGGGAATTCAGCAATATCTAGCAAAATTACATATACATCTACCCTTGACCCAGTGTCCACTGCTAGGAATCTATCCCAAAGTCAAACCAGCAAAAGTACAAAAAGATGCACACGTAAGGCTATTCATTGTAGCTCTCTGTGATAGAAAAAAGTAGGAATAATCCACATGCCCATCAAGAGGGAACTGGTTGTAAAAAGCAAATAACAACAATCTCCATGTACTGCAGTGGGGTTATCTCTATGATGTATTTTTTTAGTGGAAAATAAAGGTACAGAACATATATATTTGCCTGTATACATACACGTACGTATAAATATAACAGAAGGAGAAACAAAAACTAATGAAAATGGTTACCTATGAGGGAGAGAGAAAATAGGGCAGAAAGGATGAAGATGGAAATGAGACCTTTCGAAATGTACCTGGTTTTATAGTTTGGCATTGGAACTCTTTAAATGTTTTCCATAATTATTGCTATGGTTTGAATGTGCCCCTTCCAAAACAGGTGTTGCCAATGTGATCGCATTAAGACGTGGGGCTTTAAGAGGTGGGTTGGCCTACAGGGCTCCTCCCTTGTGAATGGGATTAGGGGCCCTTATAAAAGGACTTGGCAGAGGGAGGGCTTCTCTTGCCTTTTCACCTTACGAGGTTGCAGCCTTCCCCCAACTCCAAGTGCCAGTGCCTTCTTCTTGGACGTCCAGCCTCCAGAACTGTGAGCATTAGATTTCTGTTCTTTATAAATTACCCTGTTTGTGGTAGTCTGTTATAGCAGTGCAAAACAGACTAAAGCAATTATAAAACAAATTTAAGTCAACTGTTTTTTTTTCTTGAGATGGAGTTTTACTCTTGTTGCCCAGGCTGGAGTGTAATGGCGTGATCTTGGCTCACTGCAACCTCCACCTCCTGGGTTCAAGTGATTCTCCTGCCTCAGCCTCCCAAGTAGCTGGGATTATAGGCACTCGGCTAATTTTTGTATTTTTAGTAGAGACGGCGGTTTCACCATCCTGGCCAGGCTGGTCTCGAACTCCTGACCTCAGGTGATACAGTCTCCTCGGCCTCCCTAAGTGCGGGGATTACAGGCATGAGCCACCACACCCAGCCTGTTAACATTGTAAAAAGCAATCCCTAAATGTAGGGAAAAAGAGGGGAGGAGAAGAATTGGAGCTGATAAGTTTGGACAATTTTTAAGGTAATTTTGCTCAAGAGCAGGAAACAGCTGGGGCAATAGTTCATGAGGCCAATATAAGTTGCTGGGTTTTTTTTAAGGCAGAAGAAATAGCATGCAGGAATGATGTACTTAATCTGAGCTACCAAACAACTAGAGGGATTCACTTTGGGTAGGAGTAGGAAGATTTGTAGCAGCATGAGAGAAGGCATTGTCTCGCTACAGGTACAGGTGCTGGTAGACAGCTAGATTTGATGGTCAGAGTCATGGAAGGACTCTAAATTGCTTTGATATTCCCCTTGAGTTAGAAAGCAAGGTTATCACCTGACCTAAGAATGAGACTGAGGGAGGCTCCCAGGTGTTGGAGGTTGAGTAGAGAGAGGGAAGTGGGAGTCACCTGGGAGAGTGGAAACAGTATGACTGCCAGGCAGTATGAAGGCAGGCTGCTCGAGCTTCACGATAGCGAATTTAAGCTGAGCCATAGTCATCATGGTTATATGATTTTCTCTAGCCATGTCCAATTGTGTGTGTGAGAAACTCTTGCTCGTGTATGCAAGGAGGCATGTTCAAGAATGTTATTGCCAGACGGGCGTGGTGGCTCACACCTGTAATCCTAGCACTTTGGGAGGCCAAGGCGGGCACATTACCTGAGGTCAGGAGTTCAAGACCAGCCTGGCCAACATGGTGAAACCTCGTTTCTACTAAAAATAAAAAATTAGGCGTGGTGGCACGTGCCTGTAATCCCAGCTACTCGGGAGGCTGAGGCAGGAGAATCACTTGAACCCAGAAGGTGCAGATTGCAGTGAGCCCAGATCGTGCCATTGCATTCCAGCCTGGGCAACAGAGCAAAAATTGTCTCAAAAAAAAGAATGTTATCATCCACCTTCTGAACTCTTTTATCTCTACCAATGAGAGTTACAGAACTCAAAGGAGAATATTACGCTTAGTATGGAATTTTCCATTTATGCTGGAGGTTGCAAACTTTTTTGGTGAAAAATCAGACCCTGGCGATGACCTTAAGCAGTAGGATGTAAATAACTCCACATGCCTAGTGTTCCAATAATGGAACACTAGGCATAAATGGGTTAATGAACTTCTCAGTGTTGACCCAACTAGTGAACTTAATTTGAAATGTGGGACACCATAATGTGAGCAGAGCAAAAGGGCTACTGCAGAATTCTTAGTGTCCTTAAAAAACTGGATAGGAATTTTTAATTTGTGTTTTCCTGATTATCACATACGTGCATGTAATGATGGTTTTATAGACTTGTAGCCATAGCTATAACCTATAAATTAACTTGTGTGTTGGCTTTCAAATAGGTGACTTTTTGGACGGAGATGCCCATTATGAAAGAAATGGAAATAATTCCCATTTGTACCAGAGACACAAGAAGACAAAAAGAGGAGTTGCAATAGCAAGAGACAAAATGCCCCCAGGTAATGCGTTACTCCTCTAGTAACCTTAAAAATCCGTGGAATCAATTTCTGCTAAAAGAATGCACAAGACTGAATTAATGCTGAAATGTGTTATAACATGTGCCCAATATTCGTTGCATTCTATTCTGTCTGATCTTAATATGGCAGTCTTTGCCTTCATTTTATGTATGTGTTTTCTTGATATGCCCTTGGCCGCCGTCTTTTCATATATTCCCAAATAAAAGACAAGGTTTTATTCCCACAAAATTTTTCATCAACAAAGTAGTCGTCTTAAAGTTCTTGCAAAGTCTTTCAAATTATGGTGTTATCACTTGTTTATTTAATTTTGAAAAACAAGTACTATTTGGGAAGGATGCATTAGCCTGAAATGACGGCAATCAATATCGGTGGATGGGTGGTTATAGAGATCAACTGAAAGAAAGAAGTGAAACAGATCGATTTAAAGTGGATCTCGTGATCACTCTTCGGGGTATGACCTCACAGCTGCAAATGTTAGATGTCCTGATCAACAAACCCTTTAAATATCACTTAGCAATATAGAAGGTTTTATTTAGAGACATGAATATATATTTAAAGAACAAATGTAAAATCCAGCTTTTCTCAATCCTTTGTAAATTGGGACTTGTGAGTTGTAGGAAAATGTTTAGTGATAGCATTAGGTGGAAGTAAAGATGACATATTTTGGAAAACTGTTAAATCCAAAAGTTGTTCTGATGATAATTAATGCAATGATGTTAAAGACACATTTGAAATGTTTAAGCTGTGTCCCGCAATGTGAGTTTAGTGAGAGCAATGCTTCCATTATTACCTTACGTAACATGTGGCTTTAAGTGTCATAGTAAAACTAAATTACTGAATTAAATAGACATTTGACTATTTCACCTATATCCTTTAAGTTTATATTGTCAAGCTTGCCCCAGGAATACTTTTTAAAATCTCCTCATTGGGAAAAATGTAGACTGCCTTATTGTGGGGCAATTTACCTAACAAGCAATATGCCTAATATTTATGTACGTAGGGTCCTTTAAAAAGTTTGCGGGCTGGATCTCCCCTCAGCAGACATTTGCTCACACCTGTAATCCTAGGTGTGGCTTGGGTGTAATACGGTGGCTCACACCTGTAATCCCAGCACCGTGGGAGGCTGAGTTGGAAGGACTGCTTGAGGCCAGGAGTTCCAGTCCAACCTGGGCAACATACTGGGTCTCTGTCTCTACAAAAAACTTTTAAAAATAAAAATTAAAAAAATTAGATGTGGTGGTCCATGCCTATAGTCTCAGCTACTCAGGAGGCTGAGGAAGGAGGATAGTTTAAATCCAGGAGTTAGAGGCTGTTAGAGCCATACCGCACTCCAGGCATCCTTTTAAAATCTCTATCAGATTGCTTGTAAAAGTTTTTTGTAATTCAGAAATTTTCTCAGTGTGTATCTAGGTTACTTTTCACTAATTGTGCTTAGAACATGATGCTACATATACACATCTTTTTTGAATCAAGAATATCCTACGTATGTATCACTTCTATTTCATTTGTTGTGGTTTTGTCCTTAGGAAATACCAGATATCTACGTGCCATATTGCTGCTTCCTACCCTCTGTGTCTTTCCTGTACTCTTTAAATGAAAAAGAATGGTTTCGTATTTATCACCCTTTTTGTTGTTAGGAGAGCACCTTACATTTATCTTCCATATCAGGGACTAATTTTTCCACATCTGCTCAGTATTCCCTCCCATGTGGATTTTAATTTTTCTACAGTATTTTTTTTGTCATCTTGAAATCCTTTGATATCGTTTATTTTTCTTTTAATGTACCTCATTCTGGTGCATGTTAGCTTCAAGTGGTTATCCTTAGGATTTTGTTTGGTTACCTCTACCTTTCTCCATCATCATGGTGGGTGTGGTTGACTCGGTTTCTTGCCATGTCTTCTCACAAGACTTTCAGGATCATGTGATTCCTGGCCAAGAAATAAAAGCAAAATCATTTTATTCCCCAGTGGATTCGGATGAAACCGGTGATAAAATCAGGTACAACTCCAAGAGGAGACACTGGAGAACAGGCATGCTGGGTCTGTAAGGAACTGCACGTTAAGATGGCACATATACTTATGCTGTATCAATCAAGGTCGTCCCTGTATCAATCACTGTCATCTTACCTTTTCAAGCTGAAAATGTCCCATATGTTCAGGCATTTTTTACTGGGAAAATGGTTTTTCTCTTTGTTTCTGTGTTCTTCACTCATAAGCTGATGCAGTAATAAATAGGTGAGACCTTTTATTTGGGGAAATAACCTTTTTCGTTCTATTAAGGATGTTCTTATTAAGGATGTATTAACAGCTTTCTGAACTTTTTTTCTGGATTTTGTTGTTGATAATTTTCAGGGCTGTGCTTTCCTTGGAGTCCTCTGGATTCCATTCCCAGGTCCTCGAGTGATCATCATAGGTTCCCTTTTGTCTTTTCCTTCCTTACCTTTATTTTTTTTTGGCAGGGGGTGGGGGTGGAATCTAGCTCTGTTGCCCAGGCTAGAGTGCAGTGGCACAATCTCGGCTCACTGCAACCTCTGCCTCCCAGGTTCAAACAATTGTCCTGCCTCAGCCTCCCGAGTAGCTGGGATTATATGCATCCGCCACCACGCCCGGCTAATTATTATGTTTTTAGTAGAGATAGGGGTTTCACCACACTGGCCAGGCTGGTCTCAAACTCCTGACCTCAAGTGATCTGCCTGCCTCAGCCTCCCAAAGTGCTGGGATTACAGACATGAGCTACCATGTCCGGCCTTGGTTTTCTATGTAAAACAATTTGCATTATTTTTAGCCATGAATAAGAAGTCCTCAAGTAAAACGAATATTTCTGTCTTAGGCTTTTACTTGAACTTAGTCTGCTTTCTTTTTTCTATAGGACCTGGTCATCTTCCAACCACATGTCACTATCCTCTTCCTGCTCATCTTGTAAGTGCTTCCCTTGACAACATACATTGTGAAATGTTGATCTCTTTGTCATACCTAGTAGATCTGGTTAGAGCTCTATCTTGTAGAGTGTTCTGAATATAGTTTTCTAATAAGGAAAATAAAGTACTTACGTGCAAGAAAAAAATTGGATTTAATAGGTACTTCATTCAAGGATTTTTTTTTTTTTTTTTTTTGGTGGGAGAGACAGGGTCTCACTTTGTCACCCAGGCTGGAGTGCAATGGTGCCATCCATCTTGGCTCACTGCAACCTCTACCTCCCGGGTTCAAGTGATTCTCCTGCCTCAGCCTCCCAAGTAGCTGGGATTACAGGCCTGCGCCACCACACCCAGCTAATTTTTGTATTTTTAGTAGAGATGGAGTTTTGCTATGTTGGCCAGGCTGGTCTCAAACTCCTGACCTCAAGCAATTCACCTGCCTCAGCCTCCCAAACTGCTGGGATTACACGTGTGAGCCACCACCTCCAAACTTGGAATTTTTAAAGCCTCTCTTTCTGGCTTTCATGCTGATGTAATTATCAAGTGTTTGTTGGTTGGGTATTTATTCCCTGCTTCATTCCAGAAAGGACTTGTGGCATCTTACAAAAATACAATGCAATAAAACGTAAACATCTAACAGAAAGGGAAAGGAAATAAAGGTAGAAACTGTCCACATAATCTATAAAATTTCACCTTCAAGAAATCTCTCAGCATTCTTGCCCTTGTGTCCTATGTAGAAACCCTTTAGTTGATGCCTAAACACAGATATGCATTTGTTTGACTCAATGCTCGCTGCAAAAATAAGTGTTTCTAACAGTATAAAAGAACAGAGGCTGGGCACGGTGGCTCACGCCCGTAATCCCAGCCCTTTGGGAGGCCGAGGCGGGCGGATCACCTGAGGTCGGGAGTTCGAGACCAGCCTGGCCAACATGGTGAAACCTCGTCTCTACTAAAAGTATAAAAATTAGCCAGGCTTGGTGGAGCGCCTGTAATCCCAGCTACTTGGGAGGCTGAGGCAGGAGAATCACTTGAACCCAGGAGGCGGAGTTTGCAGTGGGCCAAGATTGTGCCATTGCACTCCAGCTTGGGCGACAGAGGGAGACTGCATCTCAAAAACAAAACAAAACAAAAAAACCCTCAGTATTTCCCACGCTGTTTTCTGCAGAGCAACAACCACTAGCCCTTGAAATTGAAAGAGATAAAAATATGCCACTCTGCTATATTGATGATTTCAGTTAAAGGCATTTGAAAAATGGCAGGTGCAAAAACAGCACTCTGACCTTGGTACCGTTTCTTAAAAACAAGGTAAAATTCTCTTGTGAAATATGCAACATTGTTGTCCTCCAGGAGAAGTCAAGACCTGGAGAATTCTGCACAGGACTTGTTAAGATAACGCTTATCTTTTAAGCCTCCCCACATAATTTCACTTCTTCACAACTATTTGTCCAATTCAGCATAGGAGAGATGGACTCTAACTGCTGCTTCAGGTCTTCATTTTTTTTATGAGGGCTCCTGTGCCACATAAAACTTGGACTCAATAAATGTGTGTGCTTTTCTCCCGTTTATCTTATGTTAGTTTAATTCTCAGGCCCAGCTGGAGCCCTAAGAGAATGGAGGTGGAGTTTTGCCACCCCTATAATATGTTGCTGGAAGAGAAGACAACAAAGGCTTTTGACTATAGGACTTTGCAGTCTTTCACAGGTCCCAAATCTAACCCCTTCTCACCATGGTCACCACGATCACCACATGGTCCAAGTCACCATCTCCCATCTGAACTTTCACGTTTGCTGGCTTGGTGCGGTGGCTTATGCCTGCAGTCCCCATACTTTGGGAGGCCAAGGTGGGTGGATCACTTGAGGCCAGGATTTCGAGGCCAGCCAGGCCAACATGGCGAAACCCCATCTCTACTAAAAATATGAAAATTAGCCGGGTGTGATGGCAGGTGCCCGTAATCCCAGCTACTGGGGAGGGTGAGGCAGAAGAATTCCTTGAACCTGGGAGGTGGAGGTTGCGGTGAGCCAAGATCGCACCGCTGAACTCCAGCCTGGGTGACAGAAGGAGACACGATTTCAAAACAAAAAAAAAATTTACAAATGAACTTTTACATTTGCCTCCTACTGATCTGCTTCTACTGTTGCCCCCTTTTCTGACCCTTCTCAACAGAATGGTTGATCATTTAAAACACAGAAGGATCCGTGAAAACAAGTGAAATCATGCCACTGTTCTGCAAAGCCCTTTGTCTTCCTGCCTCATTAAAAATAACATCTGCATTCCCTTCAACTGCCTGATATATGACACTCCCCTGGCCCTGGGATCTTATTGAATCCCCCTCCTGCCACCATCACTCCTCTAGCTTCCTTGGTCTTCCTCAGAGCTAGCTGGCTGTGGGCTTGGGGGCCTTTGCACTCCTCACATACCGTCACTAACCTATGGGCAGAGCTCTCTCTCTCCCTGTATTCAACTCAGCAAAAATGTCCCTCCATCAGACACAGTGCCTCATGCCTGTAATCTCAGCACTCTGGGACTCCGAGGCAGGAGGATCGCTTAAGCTAGGAGTTCAAGACCAGCCTGGGCAACGTAGTGAAATCCTGTCTAAAAAAGTGAAAAAAGGCCGGGTGCAGTGGCTCACACCTGTAATCCCAGCACTTTGGGAGGCCGAGGTGGCGGATCACTTGAGGTCAGGAGTTTGAGACCAGCCTGGGCAACATGGTGGTGAAACCCTGTCTCTACTAAAAATACAAAAATTAGCCGGGTGTGGTGATGTGGTCCTGTAGTCCCAGCCACTCAGGAGGCTGAGCCAGGAGAATTGCTTGAACCGGGAAGAGGAGGCTGCAGTGAGCTGAGGTGGCGCCACTGCACTCCAGCCTGGGTAACAGAGCAAGACTCCATCTCAAAAGTAGCCAGGCATGGTGGTGTGTGCCTGTAGTCCCAGCTGCTTGGGAGGCTGAGGCAGGAGGATTACCTGAACCCAGGAGGTCAAGGCTGCAAGGAGCCATGATTGTGCCACTGTACTCCAGCCCGGGTGACAGAGTGACAACCAGTCTCAAGAAATCCTCTCCTCAGCCGGGTGCAGTGGCTCACGCCTGTAATCCTAGCACTTTGGGAGGCCAAGGTGGGTGGATCACAAGGTCAGGAGATCGAGACCATCCTGGCCAACATGGTGAAACCCCATCTCTACTAAAAATACAAAAATTAGCCGGGCATGGTGGTGCACGCCTGTAATCCCAGCTACTGAGGAGGCTGAGGCAGGAGAATCACTTGAACCCAGGAGGCGGAGGCTGCAGTGAGCCGAGATCGTGCCACTGCACTCCAGCCTGGGAGACAGAGTGAGACTCTGTCTCAAAAAAAAAAAAAAAAAAAAAAAAAAAATCCTCTCCTTACCACTGAACATCCTCCATGACATCCACTTTCTCTCTGCTTAGCATTATTGTTTTCTTCATAGCACGTATTTAATATGTGACATAATTTGTTTCTCTGCCTCTACCACTAACACAGGGGCTCGACAAGCGCAGGAACTTGGCTCCTTTTGCTCATTGCCATATTCAGTTCTCTAGAACATTCTTAGCAACTTATAAATGTTTAAGAATTTATTGAACGATTGACAATAAATACACTAATATAAATCATGAATCTCAAGTAATATGCAGATTTCTTGAAATTTCAAAATTCTGTTTGAGCACAGAATTTTTTTTAACAGAAATGCCTATTAGTATCTCATAGGACAGAGTTTCAGAGTATTTGGGGAAATGCTGCCTTAATTATAAAATGGTAAAATCAGATTCAGTCTTTTCCTTTACATATTTTTATCTTTTAGTCCAAGACCCTGTGTCATCCCATCAGCCAGTTTCCTTCAGTACTATCAAGTATCACATCACAGGTAACATCAGCCGCATCTGAACCCAGCAGCCAGCCTCTCCCTGTGATAACACAGCTCACCATGCCCGTGTCTGTCACGCATGCTGGGCAATCTCTGGCAGAAACAACTTCAAGCCCAAAGGAAGAAGGTCATCCGAATACCTTCACCTCTTATCTACAAGTGTCATTGCAGAAGGCATCTGGTCAGGTAAACATGGGAAATTCAAGTCACAGGTAGCTTTGTGACCCCCAAAAAGTACTTGGTTCACCCATTTGCCTCCCTGCAGAACTACACCTAAGAATGCCTGACAGACCAGCGTATATGCCAATCCAAAACAAAAACTAAACAAGTCCATGGAAACAGCCAATTTGACAGCACATATACAGCCCAACGTTTCATTAATGACACTATTTAATGCTATTCTATTTAATGCTTCAGATGGGGAAGAAGTTCTGTTCACCTACCCTGCTTTTTCAG
The DNA here is from genome assembly GCF_000001405.40 of Homo sapiens. Taxonomy (NCBI): domain Eukaryota; kingdom Metazoa; phylum Chordata; class Mammalia; order Primates; family Hominidae; genus Homo; species Homo sapiens. The sequence continues at coordinate 71,985,950 of NC_000016.10, read as the reverse complement.
CAGCAGCAAACCTCTAGACAATTCCTCCTACTCACTGTCCCCTCTCTCCGCCTTGTTTCCTTCCTCCCAAAAACATGGACAAGGCAGCCAGGCTCACTGAGTCACGCCTATAATCCCAGCATTTGGGAGGCCAAGGTGAGAGGATCACTTGAGCCCAGGAGTTTTAGACCAGACTGGGCAACGTAGCAAGACCTTTCTCTACTAAAGTTCAAAAAAATTAGCCAGGCACAGTGGCTCACGCCTGTAATTCCAGCACTTTGGGAGGCCGAGGTGGAGGATCACGTAAGCCCGAGTTTGAGACCAGCTTAGGCAACTTTATGAGACCTTTTCTCTATTAAACTTCAAAAAAAAATTAGCCAGGTGTGGTGGCATGTGCCTGTAGTCCCAGCTACTTGGGGGTGGCGGGGCAGGGGCTGAGGTGGGAGGGTTGCTTGAGCCTGGGAGGTCCAGACTGCAGTGAGCCATGATTGTGCCACTGTATACTGTAGGCTGGGCAACAGAACAAAACTCTCTCTCAAAAAAAGGCAAAGTCCCTTTGACAGTATTGACTGAAGAAAATAATCCTGCTTCCCTCATGCTTTTTTTTCCCTAAACTCAAACGAGCCCTGTTTATATGCAGTTGAACATTTCCCTGCTAAAACAATCCTGTTCACTCTGGATCTGCTTGCAATGGTAATGGAAATTCAGTGTTCTATTTGGGGGAGAAACTGACCTACAGGAGTTTAAACAAAGATTTTTGTTTTTGTTTTTGTTTTTCTTGGAAATCCTGAAGTACAGAATATCTAAAAGGATCTATAATAAATTATTAGAAATATTAAGAGGATTTAGCAATGTCAGCATTTAATCAAGATTTCTTGAATATGTGGTTGAATTAGGCTGTGAGTGAGGTATTCTCCAGAAATGGACCATGTAGTTGGCATTAATGGTGATTGTCTCAGGGTTGGACTTTGAGTTCAAGTGCAGTAGCCACTTAAGCTTTGGGACCGCGGCCATTTGCTCAGTCTGTTTCTTAGGGCAGGGAGGTTTTCTGCTTCCCACCTCTTGCTATGAGTCATTTTAAGTCATTACCTCTTGAATATGGACTCTTTTTTTGAGACAGATTCTCGATCTGTCGCCCAGGCTGGAGTGCAGTGGCGCAATCTCGGCTCACTGCAACCTCTGCCTCCCGGGTTCAAGAGATTCTCCTGCCTCAGCCTCCCGAGTAGCTGGGACTACAGGTGTACACCACCAAGCCTGGTTAATTTTTGTATTTTTAGTAGAGACAGGGTTTTGCTATGTAGGCCAGGTTGCTCTTGAACTCCTGACCTCAAGTGATCTGCCTGCCTTAGCCTCCCAAGTGCTGGGATGACAGGCGTGAGCCATCACGCCCAGCCTTAAATACGAATACTTGAATGGAGGGAAACACACACACAGGGAAGCCTGAGAGGAAAACATACTTCTGAATAGAAAAGTTTGGTTTTGGCTTTTTAATTTCCAAGTTTCCCTCATCTTCATGGCCTTAACACTTAAAGTTACTGCTATAAATCTTATTTCCAGACTCATTTGCCCTTGGAGCAATCATTATATAATCTCGTTATTCATTTTCTCTATCGTATGGAAGAAGTAGAAATAAATTCTGTCCACTCGCAGAAAAGCTTCTGAAAGTAATCACTGTTTTAGAGAGCTGTGGTTCATAGGGTTTATAAAGTTACCCAAGGTCAACTTGGATGAAAATAATCTCCCTGACTACTACAGTACAGTAATTTTGTATGAGTAATTTTGACAACTTCTTTGTTCCCAATAGGTCATAGATGAGATAGCAGGGAACTTCAGCAGAGCAGTTCATGGTTTGCAAGCTCTTAACAAACTACAGGAAGCTTGTGAGTTCCTCCAGAAACTAACAGCCTTAACCCCAAGATTTTCTAAGCCAGCTCAGGTAAGTGGAGGGTGACTGGGAGGGAAGAAGGTAGGAGAGAGGGAAAAGCGGAAAACAGAAAAAGAGAATCTGAGGCTGGGTGCGGTGGCTCACGCCTGTAATCCCAGCACTTTAGAAGGCCGAGGCGGGCGGATCACATGAGGCCAGGAGTTCAAGACCTGACTGGGCAACATGGCAAAACCCGTCTCTACTGAAAAAACAAAAATTAGCTGGGCTCGGTGGCGGGCACCTGTAATCTCAGCTACTTGGAAGGCTGAGGCACAATAATCACTTGAACCCAGGAGGCAGAGGCAATGAGCCAAGATCCCGCCACTCCACTCCAGCCTGGGTGGCTGAGAGACTGTGTCTCCAAAAAAAAAAAAAAAAAAAAAAGAAAGAGAATCTGGAGATTGTGCCTTATGCCAAGCTTAGCATTATAAAGACTGTATTTAAATTTTAGCAAGCATATTTTTTTACCTTTAAATCTGGAAAGTTATGAATTAAATTGATCAGTAGTGACATTGTTGGATATACTGTGTTTATGTTCATTTGTTGATTAATCAGCTGGTACTGCCTTGCTGATGCATTTGTTAGAAGTCTGTCGGCATTCAGTGGAACACATTGGCTCCCACCTGTAGTCCCAGCACTTTGGGAGGCTGAATCAGGCGGATAGCTTGAGCCCAGGAGTTCGAGACCAGCCTGGGCAACATGGTGAAACCCTGTCTCTATCAAAAATACAAAACTTAACTGGGTGTGGTGGTGCTCACCTGTAGTTGCAGCTACTTGGGAGGCTGAGATGGGAGGATGGTTTGAGCCCGGAAGGTGGAGGTTGCAGTGAGCCAAGACTCTGCCACTGCACTCCAGCCTGGGTGACAGAGCCACACTCTGTCTGAAATTAAAAAGACAAAAAACTCAGCATTGGTCTTTTCTTCATTCCTTTTTTTAGTCTGATGGTATTAATTGGATATTTGGTCTACTCACCACTCAAAAAGAATTGTCAGTTTGTCAGAATAACATGAAATATGAATCCTCCCTTATAGGTTATATGAAATAATATATTCTCCTTCCCTGTCAAATTGTAACTTTTTTTTTATAAAATGCATTTGAAATGTATAACGAATATTAAGCTGCTAATAAGAAGTATGCAAATTGAAAATAATCATGTGCTAGGTGTGTGGCTCATGTCTGTAATCTAAACACTTTGGGAGGCCAAGACAGGAGGATCTCTTGGGGCCAGGTGTTTGAGACCAGCCTGGGCAATACAGTGAGCCCCTGCCTCTACAAAAAATTTTTAAAAATTAGGTGTGGTGGTACCCACCTGTGTCCTAGCTACTGGGGAGGCTGAGGAAGGAGGATTGCTTGAGTCCAGAAGTTCGAGGCTGCAGTGAGGCATGATTGTACCACTGCACTCCAGACGGGGCAACAGAGCAAGACCCCATCTCTTAAAAGTAAAATTTTAAAAAGCAATCATAGGCTGGGCGTGGTGGCTCACACCTGTAATCCCAGCACTTTGGGAGGCCAGGGTAGGAAGATCACCTGAGGTCAGGAGTTGGAGACCAGCCTGACCAACATGGAGAAACTCCATCTCTGCTAAAAATACAAAATTAGTTGAGCATGGTGGCTCATGCCTGTAGTCCTAGCTACTCAGGAGGCTGAGGCAGGAGAATTGCTTGAACCCGGGAGGCAGAGGTTGCAGTGAGTCGATATCACGCCATTGCACTCTAGCCTGGGCAACAAGAGTGAAACTCTGTCACCAAAAAAAAAAAAAAAAAAAAAAAGCAAACAATTCAAGGGTGTATGTTTGCTTTCTAATCCTCCCAGGTTAATCTCATCAATTCCCTTATTTACCTGAGTGAGGAGTTACTCAGGATCCCATTTCAGAACAACAACAGTCTGGGCTTCAAAGTTCCTCCAACTGTCTGCCCCTTTCATTCCCTCAACAATGTCACCAAAGCTGGAGAAGGAAGTTGGCTGGAATCCAAGCGTCATACTGAGCCGGTAGGTGCCAGATATGCAGGTGGCCAGATCTGCTTAGAAGCATTTTAATCTTGACAGGTCCAGGTATCACAGCCTCTCCCCAGACCTTTAAAGATAATCTTGCTGAAGTTTCTGCTGCAGAAGAAACTCCTCTGCCATGCCTTCTCCAAGGTCTCCCTCCCCACCCCACCAGTGAGCCAAGACTCCCTAGTGCTGTAATCAAGTGAAAAGGACTTAGGGGCTGGACCCGGTGGCTCACACCTGTAATCCCAGCACTTTGGGAGGCCAAGGCAGGCAGATCACCTGAGGTCAGGAGTTCGAGACCAGCCTGGCCCACATGGCGAAACTGCATCTCTACTAAAAATACAAAAATGAGCCAGGCATTGTGGTACATGCCTGTAATCCCAGCTACTCAGGAGGCTGAGGCAGGAGAATCGCTTGAACCTGGGAGGCAGAGGTTGCAGTGAATCGAGATCATGCCACTGCACACAGCCCAGACAACAGAGCGAGATTCCATAAAAAAAAAAAAAAAAAAAAAAAAAAAGAATTTAGGAAAGTGTTGGCATAAAGCAAACACTCAACAGGTTATGTTTGCTATTCACATGAAAAGATGCTCGACATCATTGGTCATTAGGGAAATGCAAATCAAAACTAAAATGAGATACCACTTCACACCCAAAAAGACAGAAAATAACAAGTACTGGCAAGGATGCAGAGAACTTGCCACCCTATCCATTGTTCGATTGTAAAATGATGCAGCCACTTTGGAAAACAATTTATCAGTTGCTTAAAATGTAAAAAATAGAATCGCCATGTAACCTAGCAATTCTACTCCTAGTGTCTACCCAAGAGAGTTGAAAACATGTCCATACAGAAACTTGTACACTCAAGTTTGTAGCAGCATGGTTTAATAGCTAAATAGCCAAAAAGTGGAGATAACCCACACATCTATGATCTAATGGATGGCTAAGTAGAATCTGGTCTATTCATACAATGGAATATTATTCAGCAACAAAAAGGAATGAAGTCCTGGTACATGCTCCAACATGAGCTTTGAAAACATTATGCCAGGTGAAAGAAGCCTATCACAAAAGACTGTATGTTGTGATTCACTTATATGAAATGTCCCAAAGAGGCAAATCTGTAGACACATAAAGTAGATTCGTTGTTGCCTAGAGCTAGAGGGACTAGGGATGAGGGAATGGAGAGTGACTGCTAATGGGTACCAGGTTTATTTTATTTTATGAGACAGAGTCTCGCTCTGTTGCCCAGGCTGGAGTGCAGTAGTGTGATCTGGGTGCTCTGCAACCTCCACCTCCCGGGTTTAAGCAATTCTTCCACCTCAGCCTCCCAAGTAGCTGAGACTACAGGTGCACACCACCATGCCTGCCTAATTTTTGGTACTTTTAGTAGAGACAGGGTTTCACAATGTCGGCCAGGTAGGTCTCAAACTTTTGACCTCAAGTGACCCACCTGCCTCAGCCTCCCAAAGTGTTGGGATTACAGGTATGAGCCACCACACCCGGCCACCATGTTTATTTTAGGGAGGATGAATCCTAAAATTAGATTGTGGTGATGGTTGCACAATCCTGTGAATATACTAAAAAACGTTAAATTATATACTCTGAGTGGATGAACTGTATATGTGAAAGTTACCTCAATAAAGCTGTCATTTAAAAACTCTATCGTGAGCAGGTCTAGGGCAATTATATGATGGGGCAAAGGCATATTTCCTTGGCCAGCCCTCTTAGTTTGGTTCAAAGGATGCTAAGTCTTTAGCCAGGTTGCAAGTACTTTCTGTGAGATTCCAAGGTCCTCTCTAAGGAATACTACCCTTCATTACAACACTGTGAAAATTCCCCTTCCAATCTTCTCCAAAACATTATTTTACTAACATAAGACACTGAGGTTTTACAAGTCACACACTGTTTTCCTTTCCATGCAGGTAGAAGACATCCTGGAAATGTCCTTGGTGGAGTTTGGGAATATCGGGGAAGCATTTCTAGAGCAGAACCAGTCTCCCGAGTCTTCAGTGACTTTGACCTCTGCCAATGCTACTCTGCTGCTGAGCAGGTTAATGGGAAGAAGGAACGGGGAGAGTTTCACTGTGTTTTTCACTTTCAGAGGACACACAAAAATTGACTTCCATTTTAACTTTTCTCATTAGACAAAACATATCAACTTTACCGCTGAGCTCTTACACTCTGGGTCACCCAGCCCCTGTGAGGCTAGGCTTTCCGTCGGCTTTAGCTTTGAAGGAGCTCTTGAATAAACATCCAGGAGTTAATGTCCAAGTGAGTGTGAAATTGATTGTGATCAGAATGAAAATGGGATCTGATGGCCATGTAGGCATTTGGGTGAAAGTAATGTATCATGAAATGTAAACTGAACAGACCAGATCAGATGAGAGAGTTTATGTAGCATTCATTTTTATTTTACACTGGCAGGGATAGAGGCCTCTTAAAAATGATCCACTGTAGAAGTTGGGAACATTAAACAGATTTCTGGATTTAACTAAATTTGTGTTGTAATTTGAATTGATTTCAACTCTGCAGTTTGTTTTTTGTTGTTGTGTTTTTTGTTTTCTTGTTTTGTTTTGTTTTGTTTTGTCTTGTTTTGTTTTGTTTTGTTTTGTTGAGATGGAGTCTCAATCTGTCACCCAGGCTGGAGTGCAGTGGCGTGATCTCGGCTCACTGCAACCTCTGCCTCCCAGGTTCAAGCGATTCCCCTGCCTCAGCCTCCCAAGTAGCTGGGATTACAGGCATGGGCCACCATGCCTGGCTAATTTTTGTATTTTTAGTAGAGGCGGGGTTTCGCCATTTTGGCCAGACTGGTCTCAAACTACGGACCTCAAGTGATTCACCCACCTGAGCCTCCCGTAGTGCTGGGATTACAGGTGTGAGCCACCATGCCCAGCCTCTGCACTATTTACAAAAAGCTGAGACTATCTAAATAATTATTGACTCAGTATACCAACCCAGTCATATCAATATATTGTATTCCTTTCAGCAGTTACCTGACAAATACAAGTAGCATTGTTGCCTTATCCTGAAGAGCAGAACAGTTACTTCCTAGTAAAATAGAATCCTCTAGATATAAAGATTAAAAATAATAATTCTGGGGATCCCAACGATAATTCATCTTTAATTTACTGTTTCTCATAGAGGTTATAAATGGGGAATGTTATTTCATTTGCGGTATTAGTAGGGGGCACATCCCAATATTTAATATATGATATCCGGCTGGGCATGATAGCTCAAGCCTGTAATCTCAACACTTTGGGAGGCTGAGGCAGGTGGATTACTTGAAGCCAGGAGTTCGAGACCAGCGTGGCCAACATAGCGAAACCCTGTCTCTACTAAAAATACAAAAATTAGCCAGGCATGGTGGTGTGCACCTGTAGTCCCAGCTACTTGGGAGGCTGAGGCAGGAGAATCGCTTGAACCTGGGAGGTGGAGATTGCAGTGAGCTGAGGTTGTGCCACTGCACTCCATCCTGATTGACAGAGTGTGACTCTTTCTCAAAAAAAAAAAAAAAGTATGTATGTATGTATGTATGTATATATATATATATATATATATATACACACACACACACACACACATATATACATATGTATATATGATATATCTTTCTAGTGGGGTCACTTAAAAATATTTCAGCAATGGATAAAACTGGGCTTCTCTTTGTCTTTAGATAACAGGACTAGCTTTCAATCCCTTCAAGGATTTGGACAACAGAAACATTGTTGGAAGCATTGGAAGTGTGTTACTAAGCGCTAATCGTAAATTGCTCCAAGTCCATGATTTAATGGAGGACATTGAGGTAGGAACTGATTCTTAGGGAATAAAATAGAAGAGAATGGGATATTCTGCAACAGGATGGAAGGATGCAACAACTTAAAGGGAATTATGTTAGATTGATGGCAGTGCCATTGTTTTGTTATTAACATCTTAGGAACTTTTACAAAGAGATACACCTTATCCTTAGAAAAAGTGTTTTAAAGGGCTGGGCGCAGTGGCTCATGCCTGTAATCCCAGCACTTTGGGAGGCTGAGGCAGGCAGATCACTTGAGGTCAGGAGTTCGAGACCAGCCTGGCCAACATAGTGAAACCCCATCTCTACTAAAAATACAAAAATTAACTGGCATGGCAGTGGGTGGCTGTTATCCCAGCTACTCTGGAGGCTGAGGCAGGAGAATAGCTTGAATCCAGGAGGTGGAGTTTGCAGTGAGCTGAGATCGCACTGCTGCACACCAGCCTGGGTGACAGAGTAATGCTTGGTCTCAAAAATAAGAAGAATAAGAAGTGTTATAGGTCTGGGACTATGTACTTATCCTTAACCCCAGCAGTATTAGCTACTAACATCCAATGAGGAAGACCTGGCTGGGCACAGTGGCTCATGCATATAATCCTAGCATTTTGAGAGACTGAAGCGGGAGGATTGCTTGAGACCAGGAGTTCAAGACCAACGTGGCCAACATAGCAAGACCCCATCTCAAAAAAAAAAAAAAAAAAAAGAGCTAGGACGTTTCCTTACCTTATCAATATAAAGGATTTTGAAAGACATCAATGGATGGACCATTATAATGATTAACTGTCTCTTATTCTAGATCATGCTCTGGAGAAATGTTAGCTTGGAAACCCATCCCACCAGCCTCAACATGAGCACACATCAGCTTACAATCACAGTGAACGTCACTTCCTTGGAGAAATCCTTGATAGTGAGCATAGATCCTGACAGTCCCCTTTTAATGACACTCTACCTGGGGTTCCAGTATCAGCCTAACTGCACTCACTTCCACCTGAACATCACCCTTCCAAAGGATAAGGTGTGGCAAAAAGGTAAAACCCAATCAGCTGTCAGAAACTTACTTTGATTTCTTTTTGCCTAGGATGTAGTGCAGTGGCACCATCATTGTTGACTGCAGCCTCAAACTGTCAGGCTCAGGGGATCCTCCTGCCTTAGCCTCTTAAGTAGCTGGGACTACAAGTGCGCACCACCACATCTGGCTAATTTCTTAAAAAAAATTTTGTGGGCCGGGCGCGGTGGCTTGCGCCTATAATCCCAGCACTTTGGGAGGCCGAGGCGGGCAGATCACAAGGTCAGGAGATCGAGACCATCCTGGCTAACACAGTGAAACCCTGTCTCTACTAAAAATGCAAAAAAATTAGCCAGGTGTGGTGGCAGGTGCCTGTAGTCCCAGCTATTTGGGAGGCTGAGGCAGGAAAATGTCCTGAACCTGGGAGACGGAGCTTGCAGTGAGCTGACACCGTGCCACTGCACTCCAGCCTGGGAGACAGAGACAGACTCCGTCTCAAAAAGTGGAGACAGGGTCTTGCCATGTTGCCCAGGCTGGTCTTGAACTCCCAGCTTCAAGCAATCTTCCTGTCTCAGCCTCCTGAAGTGCTGGGATTACAGACATGAGCTACTTCATGTGGCCACTTTTTTTTCTTTTTTAAAAAAATTTTCATTTTGAGATAATTGTAGATTCACATGCAGTTATAAGAAATAACAGAGACAGGCCAGGCAGAGTGGCTCATACCTGTAACCCCAGCACTTTGGGAGGCTGAGGCGGGTGGATCACCTGAGGTCAGGAGTTGGAGACCAGCCTGGTCAACATGATGAAACCCCATCTCTGCTAAAAATACAAAAAATTAGATGGGTGTGGTGGCGGGCACCTGTAATCCCAGCTACTTGGGAGGCTGAGGCAGAAGAATTGCTTAAGCCTGGGAGGCAGAGGTTGCCGTGAGCCAAGATCGCACCATTGCGCTCCAGGCTACAGAGCAAGACTGTCTTAAAAAAAAAAAAAAAAGACAGGCTGGGCACTCAGTGGCTCATGCCTGAAATCCCACTGTAATCCTAGCACTTTGGGAGGCAGAGGCAGGTGGATCAACTTAGGTCAGGAGTTTAAGACTACGCTGGCCCACACGGTGAAACCCCATCTCTCCTAAAAGTATAAAAATTAGCTGGTCATGGTGGTGCACACATGTAATCCCAGCTACTCGGGAGACTGAGGCATGAGAATCACTTGAACCCAGGAGGCAGAGGTTGCAGTGAGCTGAGATTGTGCCACTGCTGTCCAGCCTGGGTGACAGACCCTGCCTCAAAAAAAAAAAAAAGAACAGAAACAGCTTGTATACCTCTCATCCAGTTTCTCTGAATGGTAGTATCTTGCATAACTAGAGTATATCACAACCAGAAAATAACATTAATACAATCACTGATTTTATTCCGATTTCACCAGGTTTACAAGCACATTTCTGTATGTGTGTGTATTGAGTCCTGTGTGATTTTACCACATGTGTAGACACGTGACCATAAAATCATTTTTTTTTAAAGATGGATTATAGGATGGATAAGGATATGTATGTAAGGAAGCAGACTTAGTAGGATGTTAATTGTAGAATCTAGTTAATGGTTATATGGTTATTCCCTGTAAAATTCTTTGTATGGTTGAAGATTTTCATAATAACATGTTGAGACCCACAGCAGAAGTAAGGCTCACAGCACCATGAGTTAAATATACTTCACATTTATATATTGTAGATGACTATATATGAAATATGTCCTATGTATTTCAACTTTATTTCTAATCTTAGATTTGAGGAAGAAAGGCCTGATGATATCTCAGTATGCCTTGGTATAAAATCAGAATGAATGTATTGTAGTTTAGAAAAGTTAAGAATTTCTGAGACATAACATTACAGTTAAAAATGTCTGGCCTGGTGTAGTGGCTCACCCCTGTAACGCCAGCACTTTGAGAGGCCAAGGCAGGAGGATCACTTAAGCCCAGGAATTTGAGACTAGCCTGGGCAACAGAGCGAGACTCTGTCTCCACAAAAAAAAAAAAAAAATTAGCCGAGCGTGGTGGCGTGCACCTGTAGTCCTAACTACTTGGGAGGCTGAGGCAAGAGGATTGCTTGAGCCAAGGAGTTCAAAGCCACAATGAGTTTCGATGATACCACTGCACTCCAGCCTGGGTGACAGAGCAAGACACTGTCTCTAAAAAATAAAAATTCCTGATATATATAAATAGTGCCCAGATATACTTGATCAAAACCATGCTCTGTGGGTATCAACTTTAAATATAGTACTGAAAAGTCTTAATAAGAGCTACACTTCTGTATTTATTTTTACGTTGGGAAAAATCTGAATGGAGAAAGCATGCTACAGTCTCCCGTCATGACCACCTTCCATACTGGAAAGAACTTTCTCTGGCTCTCGCATGGGCACCACTCACACAGGAACAATCACTTCTAAGTTCTTGCTTTTAGGCAAAGTCCCCGAGGCAGCAATGCTCACTACCAGGCTGCCCACTACAGAATCTGTGGAAATTACCAACGGGCCCTTTCCCAATTCCAAAGGTGTACTCAGTTTTGTTTCTGTTTCTGTTTTGAGACAGGCTCACTGTGTCGCCCAGGGTGGAGCGCAGTGGTGCGATCTCCACTCACTGTAGCCTCCGCCTCCTGGGCTCAAGCGATTCTCATGCCTCAGCCTCCCAAGCAGCTGGGACTGCAGGCGCATATGCCACCATGCCTGGCTAATTTTTTGTGTTTTTAGTAGAGACAGGGTTTTGCCATGTTCGCCAAGCTAGGTCTCAAACTCCTGGGCTCAAATAATCCTCCTGCCTTAACCTCCCAAAGTGCTTGGATTATAGGCCTGAGCCACTGCGCCTGGCCATGGACTCAGTTTTTCTTGGTGATCTTGGCAATGATATGTCATTCAGAGCCGGAAGGGGCCTTCAGGAACCTTTTTTTGAGAGACAGGACTATTTGAAAGATGAGAAAGCTGAGGCCCAGAGAGACTGGATGACTCACCTTAGCCCCTACCAGCCAGCTGGTGACAGAGCCAGGCCCGACCTCCGGTCCCTAGCGTGCAGTCCTGGGCTTTGTTCCTGAAGCTGCCCTATCTCTATGTTTGCTTCACCCTGGGGTTTGTTACCTTAGTCTTCTATCTGCTAACTTAGATATGTGCTCATTTCATTTTTCTAAACCTCGTAATACATTCTAAATCATTAGACCTAAATGTTCACATGTTCACATACCAGAAGAATATATATATTTTTTTTTTTTTTTGAGACAAAATCTCACTCTGTTGCCCAGGCTAGAGTATAGTGGTGCGATTTCGGCTCACTGCAACTTCCACCTCCCAAGTTCAAGCAATTTTCCTGCCTCAGCCTCCTGAGTAGCTGGGATTACAGGCTCACATCACCACACCCCACTAATTTTTGTATTTTTAGTAGAGATGGGGTTTCACCATGTTCACCAGGCTGGTCTCGAACTCCTGACCTCAAGTGATCCGCCCGCATCAGCTTCCCAAAGTGCTGAGATTATAGGCGTGAGTCACCACACCTGGCCAAAAGACTGTAGTTCTTTACTGGAACAGTAGTAATCCAGAGCCCAGGGTTGTATCACTGGTCATTTTCTTTCAAATCATTTGTGACTCTAGTTTCATCATGGTCTCATTTGTAAAATATTAATAATAGATCCTTTAGAAGAGAGGTTCATTGGTGTTTTTGTTCCATTTGATATACAAGTAAGCACTCTTCTTTGTTCTAAGATGAGGAGTACACGTGGGTGCTGAATCCAGAGCATCTGCAGCACGGGATTGGCACCTACTATATAACAGCTGTGCTGAGTGAGAGGCAGGAGGGTGCTCAGCAGACACCCAGCTTGGTCTCGGTCATCACCGCCGTCACTCAGTGTTACTACTGGGAGATCCACAACCAGACATGGAGCAGCGCCGGATGCCAAGTAAGAAACTGAGCCGCTTCTTGGGCCTCTCTTCTGCCATAGCTACTGTTAAGCCCAATGCATCCGTTATCTCATTTGGGGCAGCCCAGAAAGAAAAATAATCAGGTGGTTTGAAATAACTCTGCCTGGGCAAAAGGAGGGAGGAGGGTTGTGTGTGGTGGGCAGGGCAAGTGTGCCTCTTCGAAGCAGGAGCAGCTTTGTGCTTTATCTTTGTGATTTCTTTCTCAAACACAGTCCAGGGTGGATCTGACAAGTGTGGATAAAATAGCGTGTGGAAGCCATAAAATTCTACAAGTATTAAATATGTTGTGGGTGGGTAAAATGAAACCTCTTGCTAAACGAAGGAGAACTTTCATAGCTCAAGAAATACATTCTCAGATTCTTTTACGTTCCAGGCCAGGTGAGGACAGGTTGTCACTTTTGTAATTATCACCTTGTTCCTGGTGTCCAACTGCTTTAAACCAGCACTATTATATTTGCACACTCGTGATTCTGTGAGATCCTGCCTGATGAAAGTCCTGGTTTGGTTGCTCAAAGAATGTGGTGTAAGGTCTTGCAAATCAGCAAGCTGTTCTAAAAAGAGCTGAGAAAGTGCCATCTAGATTGGAAAGAGAAGGAAAGATAATTTTCTTTTTTTTTTGAGGTGGGATCTCATTCTGTCCCTCAGGCTGGAGTGCAGTGGCATGATCACGGCTTACTGCAGCCTCAACCTCCTGGGCTCAAAAGATCCGCCTGCCTCAAACTTTCAAGTAATGAGGACCACAGGCATGTGCCACCATGCCTGGCTAATGTTTTAGATTTTTGAACAGACAGGGTCTCGCCATGGTGCCTATGCTGGTCTTGAACTTCTGAGCTCAAGCAATCCTCCCTCCTGCACTTTGGGAGGCCAGAAGGAGGAGGAGGAGGATGATGATGATTACTTATAGAGGGAGTTTCCCTCTTGTTGCCCAGGCTGGAGTGCAATGGCATGATCTCGGCTCACCGCAACCTCTGCCCCGCTGGGCTCAAGCGATTCTCCTGCCTCGGCCTCCCCAGTAGCTGGGATTACAGGCATGCACCACCACACCCAGCTAATTATTGTTTTTTTTTGTTTTTTTGTGTGTTTTTTTGAGACCAGTCTTGCTCTATCGGCCAGGCTGGGGTGCAGTGGCGCGATCTTGGCTCACTGCAAACTCTGCCTCCCAGGTTCATGCCATTCTCCTGCCTCAGCCTCCCAAGTAGCTAGGACTACAGGCACCCACCACTGCGCCCGGCTAATTTTGTGTATGTTTATTAGAGACAGGGTTTCACCGTGTTAGCCAGGATGGTCTCGATCTCCTGTCCTCGTGATCCGCCTGCCTCGGCCTCCCAAAGTGCTGGGATTACAGGTGTGAGCCACCGTGCCCGGCCTAATTACTGTATTTTTAGTAGAGATGGGGTTTCTCCATGTTGGTCAGGCTGGTCTCAAACTCCCGACCTCAGGTGATCTGCCCGCCTTGGCCTCTCAAAGTGCTGGAATTACAGGCATGACAGAGAGAGGATTCTTAGGAAGGCATCTGCACCATTCATAGCCTCAGGCAGTCATAGCTGGACAATGGCTATCAAGCAAATCTATAATCAGTTTGTTAAAATGTAGATTCTGAAGCAGTAGCTCTGGTCAGGCCTTTCTAACAAGCTTCCAGCTGATCCCAGTGCTGCTTGTTAGGGAAACCATACTTTGAGTAGAGAAGCTTGAGAGCTTTTCTCCTCTCACAGCACAGACCAGTTGATTGCAGAAGGCATCGGATATTTCCCACCTCCTTGAAGCACGCTGAAGTGCTTGGACTCCATGAAAGGAATTGAGCTGCCCCAAATACAGCGCAAGAGTTCTTCCAAAGGCAGACTAGATTGGGCCTCCAGGACTTAATTCTGTGCCATGGAAAGAAGTAGTCATAATGACAGTACTGGAGGCTTTTCACCCACGAAACCAAACACAGAATTGGTAGCTTCCATGTAATCACCTACTGACATATTTTTAAATATTATGCAGAAATGTTCCAACATATGGAAAGCCATAAAGAATAATAAAAAACATTGAATGCACATTCAGCTTTATCAAAGTTAGTATTTTGCTCTGCTTCATATTTTCTTAAATAATAAAACACTCATGAATAATTGAAGCCCTCTGAGTATCCCTCTCTAGTCTCTCTCCTTCCTTCCCTTCCACCAAAGGGTAACTACTGGCCTGAATTTGAGGGGGGAATTCATTCTTTCACCGAATATTTATTGAGTGTCTTCTACGTGCCATGCCCAAGTCTAGGAACTAGAGACACAGCAGTGAACAAGACAATCGCCTCATGAACTGACATTCTGGAGAGGGAAACTGACAATGAATAGATAAATAAGTGTTTTGCATGCTTCTTAGGCTTTGGGCAAATGGCATTATACTGTACATATCTCTTGTTGTATTCACTTAGCATTTATCCATGTTGATACATCTACCTCTAATTCATCCATTTTTTAAAATTTTTATATTTATGTATTATTTATTTATTTTGGAGACAGAGTCTTGCTCTGTCACCCAGGGTGGAATGCAGTGGTGTGATCTGGGCTCACTGCAACCTCTGTCTCTCAGGTTCAAGCAATTCTCCTGCCTCAGCCTCCCAAGTAGCTGGGACTACAGGCATGCGCCTCCAAGCCTGGCTAATTTTTATATTTTTAGTAGAGATGGGGTTTCACCATGTTGTCCAGGCTGGTCTCAAACTCCTAGCCTCAGGTGATCCACCTGCCTCAGCCTCCCAAAGTGCTAGGATTACAGATATGAGCCACCACACCCGCTGATTCATTCATTTTTAACTGCTGTATAGAATTCAATCAGTTTGCCTCTGCTTACTTATGTACTTGTTCATTTGTATGTTCTGCTATTGAACATGTAAGTTGTTTCCTATTTTTGATAATTATAGACAAAGGTGACAAAACATTCCTTTTCATATATCTTCATACACATGTGCACAGTTCCCCTAGAACATGTATACACTCAGAACTGGAATTGCAGGATTCAAAGAGTTTGTTCTGCTTCAGCTGTACTAGATGTTGCTAAATTACTTTCCACATTGGTTATACCAATTTACGCCATCACCAGCTGTGAATGAGAGAACCAGATACCTCTTTCCATCTCTAAATTGCTGGTGTTTGTTTTATGTCTGTCCCCTCCTTAGCACTCTGTCTGACTAGAATCAACGTCTTGATTCTAATTCCAGGTTGGGCCACAGAGCACAATTCTGAGGACACAGTGTCTCTGTAACCACCTGACCTTCTTTGCCAGCGACTTCTTTGTCGTGCCCAGGACCGTGAATGTTGAAGACACGATCAAACTGTTCCTTCGCGTGACCAACAATCCTGTTGGGGTGTCACTGCTGGCCAGCCTTTTAGGATTTTATGTGATCACAGTTGTGTGGGCTCGGAAAAAGGATCAAGCAGATATGCAGAAGGTAATGAGACTTTGATTTCAACAGATTTGCCATGATGTTTTGAGTAATTAAATAAGATGAAGGAAAAAACACCTTCGTCAAAAGCAGCAGGAAGCCTGGTACTGGGAGGCATAGAAATTCAAGTGAAACTTTTCTTAAATTTATCTTCGTGTCTGCTGACTCAAGACCTGAGAACTTTTTCTCTCTATTTTTTTTTCCTTTGGTTCCAAGATTGGACCTTGCAGGACTCCTTTTAGGACAGGAATGAGCCAAAAGAAAACACTAGCCAGGTGTAGTGGCTCATGCCTATAATTCCAACACTTGGGGAGGCCAGGGCAGGAGGATCACTTGAGCTCAAGAGTTCAAGGCCAGCCTGGCCACCATAACAAGACCTTGTCTCTACTAAAAAAAAAAAAAAAAAAAAGAGCCTGGCATGGTGGTGCATGCTTGTAGTCCCAGCTACTTGGGCAGCTGAGGTGGGAAGATCGCTTGAGCCCAGGAGCCTTGAAGCTGCAGTGAGCTATTGTGCCATTTTACTCCAGCCTGGGCAACAGAGACCCAGTCTCCAAAAAGAAAAAGAAAAGAAAAGACCTAGAGAGCTTAACTAAAGTTAAATGCAAGTTTATCTTACTTTATACATTGGATATGAAAGTTACATGTAACTTGGCTGGGTGCAGTGGCTCACGCCTGTAATCCCAGCACTTTGGGAGGCCGAGGCAGGTGGATCACCTGAGGTCAGGAGTTTGAGACCAGCCTGGCCAACATGATGAAACTCCATCTCTACTAAAAATACAAAAATTAGCCAGGCATGGTGGCATGTGCCTGTAATCCCAGCTGCTCGGGAGGCTGAGGCAGGAGAATTGCTTGAGCCCGGGAGACAGAGGTTGCGGTGAGCTGAGATCGAGATTGCCCCACTGCACTCCAGCCTGGCCGACAGAGTGAGATTCTGTCTCAAAAAAAAAAAAGTTATATGTAAATCAAATTGTAACTTAATGTAACTGGCTGGGTGAAGTGGCTCACGCCTATAATCCCAGCACACTGGGAGGCCGAGGCAGGTGGATCGCTTGAGGTCAAGAGTTCAAGACCAGCCTGGCCAACATGGTGAAACCCTGTCTCTACTAAAAATACAAAAATTAGCCGGCTGTGGTGGTGCATGTCTGTAGTCCCAACTACTCAGGAGGCTGAGGTGGGAGGATCACTTGAACCTGGGAGGCAGAGGTTGCAGTGAGCCAAGAATGAACCACTGCACTCCAGCCTGGGCAACATAGCAAGACTCCGTCTCAAAAAATAAGAATATAACTATAATATACAAGAAATTTATATGGCATGTTTTTTAAAACAAAAATCTTTTGACAGCCTCTTCTTTCCATGTGTTTGTTCTTCCTATGTTTTCTTGCACTTGGAAATTCTAGAATACGCCAAGTGTTCACTTCTTGTTGCCCTGGGTGTAGGGTTGTCAGCATTAGTAAACAAAAATACAGGCTACCTAGTTAAATTTGCATTTTAAATGAACAGTGCATCGTTAGTGTAAGTGTGCCCCAAATTATTCATAGTTTATCTGAAATGCAGATTTAGCTGGGTATTCTCTGTTATCTGGTGACTGTACCTAAGTGGGAAGGAGGTGGAAGGATTTAGAGGCCCAAGACCTGATCGGGTGATTCTATGACTGTTTCACTTGAGAGGCACAGGCCCTGGAGGTTCAGGCCTCATCCCCACTTTAGTGACTTAGGTCTGCTCATGTGTCTGTCTGCTGCCCACACCTCAGCCCTGCTTTCTGCAGGGCTGCCAGACACCTGCCGGAGTTCATCCTCCTGCTCCTCAGCTGGAGGAGGCAGGAACTATACCAAGTGGAGGCCTAGTAAGTTGCATGGTTCTGCTTTTCTTGCAGGTGAAGGTCACTGTCCTGGCTGATAATGACCCCAGCGCTCAATTTCACTACCTTATTCAGGTCTACACCGGATATCGAAGAAGCGCTGCTACAACAGCTAAGGTTAATGAAATAAATGTTTTTCACATTGCCTTGTGTCTTCTGCCACATGAGACACACTCTGAGTTGGTGATATCCTGGCAACCAATAGCACTTTAAAAGAGACTAGAGATTGGTATTTTCTAGTTCTAAACTGTACATGTGGGCCGCACATGGGGGTTCACGCCTGTAATCCCAATACTTTGGGAGGCCAAGGTGGGGAGGTCACCTAAGGTCAGGAGTTTGAGACCAGCCTGGCCAACAAGGTGAAAACCCTTCTCTACTAAAAATGCAGAAATTAGCTGAGCGTGATGGCCCATGACTATAATCACAGCTACTCAGGAGGTTGAGGCACGAAAATTGCTTCAACTTGGGAGGCAGAGGTTGCACTAAGCCAAGATCACACCACTGCACTCCAGCCTGGGTGACAGAGCAAGACTTCATGTCAGAAAAAATATATCTATACTGCATATATGAAGAATTATCTATGCTTGTCTAAGATCCGAAAGACTTGATCTAAATAGTTTTCTATGTCTTCGTCTTTCTCCTTAGGGATAAACCCAAAGAATTGTGTTAAAATTCCTTATATTTTATCTTTCCCTGTCTCATTGTAGGTTGTCATCACCCTCTATGGATCAGAGGGACGGAGTGAGCCCCATCACCTCTGTGACCCCCAGAAGACAGTCTTTGAACGAGGGGGCCTGGATGTCTTCCTTCTCACCACTTGGACCTCTCTAGGGAACCTGCACAGCCTTCGGCTCTGGCATGACAATTCTGGCGTCAGTCCCTCCTGGTGAGTACTTATATCCTGTTGGCTGTTGCTGCTGCTTTGTGGATCCAAGAGAGAAGAAAGAAGATCACCACAATAAATCACAGTAAAGCTTTGAGCCAAATAGTAACAAATGACTATTAGATTTCAGTTTCAAAGCTGTCTACACAGAATAAGCCCTGGAAAGAAGTGTGAGAGATTAACAATGTGATTTTTTTTGGATAGTAGAATAATAGATGTTTTGTTTTCTCTAATCTCATTTTCATTAAATGTCATGATTGTGAACAGCAAATAACACCAATGAAATATTGCCTGAAAGTGCCACAAATTAAAAGTATTTCTAAATATGAAAAAATATCCTTAAAGACTAACTTTAGTAAACAACTGTCTACTGACAGTCAAACTTTGAGTCAAATTTAAGAGCTTAAGGGCAGGGCGCAGCAGCTCACGCCTGTAATCCCAGTACTTTGGGAGGCCAAGGCAGGAAGATCACTTGAGGCCAGGAGTTTGAGAACAGCCTGAGCTACATAGGAAGACCCCACCTCTACAAAAAAAATTTCAAAAAAAATCGCCAGGCATGGTTGTGTGCACCTATAATCCCAGCTACTCAGGAGACTGAAGTGGGAGGATAACTTGAGCCTCGGAGGTTGAAGCTGCAGTGAGCATGTCTGCACCACTGCACACCAGCCTGGGCAACAGCAAGACCCTGTCTCGGAGGGAAGGAAAAAAAAAAAAAAGTCAAGATCTTAAGGAAGGAGAAAGAATTACTGTATGAGATGTGCCTAAGGAGTTAGAGAAATAACTAGACGATGATAAAGTCCTTGAACCTAACGTGTTAGGTTTGAATGATTCAGTATCTTCCTTGAGCAGCACCCAGAATTAGGAGAGGTGCTAGAGAAAGTAGATGATACAATTAATTAAGAATGAGGATTACTGGTTCCTTGGAGTTAGGAAAAAAGAGAAAAATGAAGTAGAAGTCTTAAGGCTCAGGCACTCAATCTGTTGCCACATGTTGCCCACCCACAAAGAGCATATGGTCTCCCTAAATTTGTTAGCAAAATACATTTTTCCCCCTAGCTAGACATACCAGCCACTGGGCTGGTAGAGCCTAATAACTTCCTTGCTGCTTCCATTCTGTTCCAGTATGCACAAATCAGCTTGTAAACCATCCTTCCAGTTTTATTTAAAAAAGTGAATAATGTATAGTAAGCACTTGAAAAGATGTTCAACCTGGTTAGTCATCAGTAAATGAAAATGACAGCACTAGCCATCCATCAGAATGGCTTAAATTAAAAACTCTCACAAAAGGCCAGGCACAGTGGCTCACGCCTGTAATCCCAGCACTTTGGGAGGCCGAGGTTGGCAGATCACTTGAGGTCAGGAGTTTGAGACCAGCCTGGCCAACATGGTGAAACCCTGTCTCTACTAAAAATACAAAAATTAGCCGGGCATGGTGGTAAATGCCTGTCACCCCAGCTGCTCGAGAGACCGAGGCAGGAGAATTGCTTGAACCTGGGAGGCAGAGATTGCGTTGAGCAGAGATGGTGCCACCGCAGTCCAACTTGGCAACAGAGTGAGACCATCTCCAAAAAAAAAAAAAAAAAATTCTCACAAAACCAAGTTTAGGGGAGGATGGGGAGCAACTGAAACACTCACACGCCCCTAGTGAGAGTGTAAAATGGTATGGCCACTTCAGAGAACAGCTTGCCAGTTTCTTGTGAAGTTAAACATACACTGACCATGTGACCCAGAAATCACACTCATAGGTATTTACCCAAGATAAACAAAAACATGTGTCCACTGCAAGACCTGTACACATATATTCATAGCAGCTTTATTAGTAGCCCAAAACAGAAAACATCACAAATGTCTATTGAATGAATAAACAAATGTTAGTGTATTGATTCAATGTAATACTACTCAACGAAAAGGAAACGATTGTTACATATGACTACGTGGATGAATTTTTTTAAATTATGCTTAGTGAAAGAAGCTGTACATAAAGAATGTATAGGCCAGACACAGTGGCTCACACCTCTAATCTCAGCACTTTGGGGGGCCAAGGTGGTTAGATCACTTGAGGTCAGGAGTTTGAGACCAGCCTGGGCAACATGGTGAAATTCTGTCTCTACAAAAAAATACAAAAATTAGCTGGGCGTGATGGCTCATGCCTGTACTCCCAGCTACTTGGGGGGCTGAGGCGGGAGAATCACTTGAGCCCAAGAGGTGGAGGTTGCAGTGAGCCAAGATCGCACCGCTGCACTCCAGCCTGGGCAACAGAGCAAGATCCTGCCTCAAAAAAAAAAAAAAATACATATATATAGAGAGAGAGCATATGATTCCACACACATAAAATTCCATAAAAGGCTAACTATTCTATAAAGACAGAGGACAGCAGATCATTGTTCTCCTAAGGCCAGGAATGAGGGGGCAGGAGGTGACTGGAAGGAGGGATAGGGAGCTTTTGGGGGTGATATTTTGATGGTGCTGGTGTATAAACGTTTGTCAAAATACATTGAATTGGCCAGGCATGGTGTCTCATGCCTGTGATCCCAGCACTTTGGGAGGCCAGGGCGGGCAGATCACGAGGTCAGGAGATCGAGACCATCCTGGCTATAACACAGTGAAACCCCATCTCTACTAAAAATACAAAAACTAGCCGGGCGTGGTGGCTCCTTCCTGTAGTCCCAGCTACTTGGGAGGCTGAGGCAGGAGAATTGCTTGAACCTGGGAGGTGGAGGTTGCAGTGAGCCAAGATCACACCACTGCACTCCAGCCTGTGCAAGAGAGTGAAACTCTGTCTCAAAAAAAAAAAAAAAAAAAAAAAAAAAAAAAAAAAAAAAAAAAAAAAGATTTTGACGAGAGAAATTTAAGTGGTTTCATGACAAACACAGACCCTTGGGGAAAATAGCATCATTACAGTAAAGGAGGAGGTTTGCCGAATAGTTGTGAGGTGAAATCAAACAGGTTGAATAATCAGGTGTCCCAGAGGACAGGGGTGTGAACGGCTGAAGTTAGCAGAGAAATTAGTGATAAAACACTGGTTGGGAAAAGGATGAGCTCTCAGGGCCTATGGCTCTGTGAAGTGGAGATGAGGCCTGTGAAGCGGAGATGAGACTAAGTAGAGTGAGAAGTCATTAATGTAAATGATAAAGACTACAACCCATTTATGCCCCCTGATGATGAAAGGCAGATGGGATATTTGAAAAGGTGGCAAGCCACTGTCACATATGGGACAGAGAAAGGTTATAAAATGTGTAGATACATACTTATCTATTCATAGGTGAGAAAGGTTTGCAGTCTGGTGTCTGGTACATGAACTCCCTTAGAAGTTGGGAAGGGAAAGATAAGATCTACTCTCTTTTCTTTTTGTTTTTTTTGACAGAGTCTCATTCTGTCACCCAAGCTAGAATGCAGTGGTGCAATTTCAACTCACTGCAGCCTTGACCTCCCGGGCTCAAACAATCCTTCCACCTCAGCCTTTCAAGTAGCTCAGGACTACAGGTGCACACCACCACGCCCAGCTAATTTTTATATATTTTGTAGAGTTGGGATTTTGCGACGTTGCCCAAGCTGTGCTCAAATGCCTGAGCTCAAGCAATCCACCTGCCTCAGCCTCACGCAGTGCTGGGATTGTAGGTGTGCATCACCATGTCTGGCCTCAACTTTCTTTCCTTTCCTTAGTTCTTGCCTTGCAATGAAACAGTTCATTTACTTGGACAGTTTACTAATGGTCTGAGATTACGTCTTACTACAGACAACTGATTCAAGCCCATCTCCCTAATGTGGTTATCTTCATTTTACTATAGGTATGTCAGCCAGGTAATTGTCTGTGACATGGCAGTTAAGAGGAAGTGGCATTTCCTGTGCAATTGCTGGCTGGCTGTGGACCTCGGAGACTGTGAGCTTGACCGGGTCTTCATCCCAGTTTCAAAGAGAGAGCTCTTTTCCTTTAGGTACTGTTGGAAAATTACTATTAACAGTGAATATTGATGTTCACTATTAATTGAATTGTTCACGATTGAATTGTTTTTAATGCAAATTAACATTTTATTAATGTATTATTTCAAACATACATAAGCATTACTGTTGTGGTTGTAACTGGTGTAACCATTACCTTAAAAATCAGAAGGAAGACAAAAAGAGATTCGAAGTATAAAAATTATAAATATTGCCCTTATTTTCTGAAACTGTTTACCTAGAGAATCATTTATAAATTTACTAAGATATCTAGGAATAAAAGAATCACTCAGATCAATGGAATATAAAAAGGATACCACTACTTCGATGATACAAATATTTATGAGAACAAAATATAAAAATAAAGGAAAGTATTAGAGGGCTGTAGCCTTCAACTGACTTTCAAAGACACTAGTAAACTGGCCAGGCACCGTGACTCATGTTTGCAATCCCTGCACTTTGGGAGGCTGAGGCAGGCAGATCACTTGAGGTCAGGAGTTCAAGACCAGCCTAGCCAACATAGCAAGACCTACTAAAAATACAAAAATTAGCCAGGCGTGGTGGTGCACACCTGTGATCCCAGCTACTCGGGAGGCTAAGGTAGGAGAACTGCTTGAACCTGGGAGGCAGAGGTTGCAGTGAGCCAAGATTGCCACTGCACTCCAGCCTGGGCAACGGAGCGAAACTCCATCTCAAAAAATGCAAAGATGTTAGTAAACCAAAATAATTAAAGCAATGTACTGGTGAATTCACAGACCAGGAGAACGGTATAATATACGTATCAACTTCTGTATCTTTCTAGGTATCCATGTATCTTTCTATGTCTCCTGAATGCTAAAGATGAGAATATTCCTAGGAGAATATACCTCTGCTATCTGACCTCCTTCTTACCTTCAGCTTTCTGGTTCAATATTACGGCTCTCGGCTTTTTCCTCATGGGAACAAGATGATTGCAAGAGGCCCACACACCATGTCCTAGCCGGGCATGGTGGCTCACACCTGTAATCCCAGCACTTTGGGAGGCCGAGGTGGACAAATCACTTGAGGCCAGGAGTTTGAGACCAGCCTGGCCAACATAGCAAAACCCCATCTCTACCAAAGTACAAAAATTAGCCAGACTTGGTAGCATGAGACTGTAGTCCCAGCTACTTGGAAGGCTGAATCAGAAGAGTGGCTTGAACCCAGGAAGCGGAAGTTGCAGTGAGCCGAGATACAGCCACTGTGCTCCAGCCTCAGTGGCTCTATCAACCAAACACCACGTCCTTACATTAAAATGCCTAAAGGCAAAAAAACATGGAACTGTTTCTTCTGGTACTTGACTCCCAGAACAAACAAGAAATGTGTATTTCTTTGTTAAGATCTGCTCCAATTACAATTGCGGCATATAAGAAATTACTCCCAAAACTGAGTGGATTAAAACAACCATGTTACTTTTCTCCTGGTTTTGTGGGTCAGAAATTCAGTGAGGCCATGGCTGGGGAGTTTTCCCTTGGGATCTTTCATCCTGGCTGGGTCTGTTACTCATCTGTAAGCTCCTCTGTGTTAGATTTCCAAAAATGATTCGCTCACAAGGTCAGCAGGGGGCGCTGGCTGTCAACTGAGAGCTCATCTGTGGCTGTCAACAAAGCACCTATGTATGGCTTCTGCGTGGCAACCTCAAGAGAGTGGCATTTTTCACAGGGGTGGCTGTCTCCCTCCAGAATGGGCAGTTCAACAGAACTAAGTAGGGGCTTTAGCCTTTTATGTCCTAACTTTGAAAATCAGATTCAAGGAGAAGGGCCAAGGTACGGTGTCTCACTCCTGTAATCCCAACATTTTGGGAGGCTGAGGTGGGCAGATCACCTGAAGTCAGGAGTTCGAGACCAGCCTGGCCAACATGGTAAAACCCCTTCTCTACCAAAAATACAAAAGTTAGCCATGCGCAGTGGTGCACGCCTGTAGTCCCAGCTACTGGGGAGGCTGAGGCAGGGAAGTTGAACCCGGGAGGTCAAGGCTGCAGTGAGCTGAGATCACGCCACTGCACTCCAGCCTGTGCGAAGGAGTGAAGACTCCATCTCAAAACAAAACAGAGAAAACAAATAAGTCTTGAAACTAAAAATCATGGACTCTCAGCAAGAAGTGGGAAAAAAAAAATGAGATCCTGTCTCTAAAAAACAAACCAAAAATATATGTTTTAAATTGTGTGTTGCTTGTGTATAGGAATAAACTGGTAGAAATTTTCTCTCCTTCACCAAAACTTAAGGGGTAGCGAATACTATTTCCCCTCCCTAGACCTGATACAGTTCTAGGTTTGTTTTGTTTTGATTTTTGAGATAGGGTCTCACTGTGTTTGCCAAGCTGGTCCCAAACACCTAGGCTCAAGCAGTCCTCCCACCTCAGCTTCCCGAGTAGCTAGGATTACAGGCATATACCATTGCATCCAAAGTTCTAGTATTTTTAAAACATATATAGACATATTTATTCAAACATACTCATTTTTGTTGCAGAAATGTGATTTTTTATCTGTTTAATCTCTGTGTTTCCAATAGAGGAAAGACTGTGAGTTTAATTCTCCTTCAGTTATGTAAGTTTTTACCGTATAGACATATTTTATATGTCTATTGGATGTTTATTAGGAGCATTTAAGTGTATGTTATTTCTTCTGGATACTTTTTTTTTTATTATATAGGTCTCCCTTTGATCCTGTTGACACTTTGTATCTTAAATTCCATTTTATATTAACTAAAGAAAGTTGACATACTGATATTATTTCTATTGTTTGTTCTTATCTTTTTACTTTCAGCCCTTTTTATGGTTTTGCTTAGAGTTATGTCTTGCAAGCAACATATAACTGGATGTTTAAAAAACCAGATCTAATAATCTCTTTTAATACATGAGTTTAATATGTTTACATTAACCATGATTACCAATCCATTTGGACTTAATTTACCATATTATTTTGCATTATTTGTTATAATCCATTCTCTTTCCTTTATCTACTTTCCACATTGTCAAATTGACAGGTTTTGTAGTTTTTTTTGGTTTTTTTTTTTTAAGGTTCTCTGCCTCTTGGTTTGTTGGTTGGTTGGTTGTTTCTTTCAGATGGGGTCTTGCTCTGTCACCCCAGCTGGAGTGCTGTGACATGGATCACAGCTCACTGTAGCCTCAACCTCGCCAGCCTCAGGTGATCCTCCCACCTCAGCTTCCTGAGTAGCTGGGACTACAGGTGTGTGCCACCATGCCTGGCTAATTTTAAAACTATTTTTGTAGAAACAGGGTCTCACCATGTTGCCCAAGCTAGTTCTTGAACTCCTGGGTTCAAGTGATCTGCATGTCTTGGTCTCCCAAAGTGCTAGGATTACAGGTGTGAGCCACCATGCCTGACCACTTCTTGTATTTTTAATCTTTGCTGGTTTAGAAACTATACATTGTATTTTTTCCTCTTTCTCCTCTTGTTTTTCCACTTCCTGCTTCTGTTCCTCTTCTTCCTCTTCTAATTCTTTTTATTGGTTACTTTTAATTTTTAACACACTTTTTCTCCATATTAATTTTCTAAGAATAACGTTTCTTCTGCCTGAACATGACAAAGAATTAGCAATGCTTTAACCGTTCTTGAGTAACCTCTCTCCCAATTCCCATGTTTTAAATTACTCTCTAGTGTTATGGTTTTACCATTTTGTTTTTAGATGCACAAAAAAGGTTTTTCCTTTCATATTTCACAGTTAATTAAATAATTAATATCAATTTCTCTGTTTATTCTAGTTTTCTGTATTCTTTGTTTTTTGTTTGTTTGTTTAGTTGGTTGGTTTTTGAGACGGATTTTTGCTCTTGTTGCCCAGGCTGGAGTACAATGGCACGATCTCAGCTCACCACAACCTCCACCTCCCAGGTTCAAGTGATTCTCCTGCCTCAGCCTCCTGAGCAGCTGGGATTACAGACATGCGCCACCATGCCCGACTAATTTTGTATTTTTAGTAGAGACAGGTTTCTCCATGTTGGTCGGGCTGGTCTCAAACTCCTGACCTCAGGTGATCCACCCACCTTGGCCTCCCAAAGTGCTGAGATTACAGGTGAGGGCCACCGTGCCCAGCCTAGTTTTCTGTATTCTTTTAGTGTCTTTTTTTTTTTTTTTTTTTTGAGACGGGAGTCTTGCTCTGTCATCCAGGCTGGAGTGCAGTGGTGCAATCTCAGCTTACTATAACCTCTGCCTCCCACGTTCAAGCAATTCTTTCTCAGCCTCCGGAGTAGCTGGGATTACAGGCACACGCTGCCATGCCTGGCTAATTTTTTGTATTTTATTAGAGACGGCGTTTCACTCTGTTGCCCAGGCTGGTCTCAAACTCCTGCGCTCAAGCAGTCCACCTGCCTCACCCTCCCAAAGTGCTAAGATTACAGGTGTGAGCCACCGTGCCCGACTTTTTTTTTTTTTTTTTTTTTTTTTGAGATAGAGTCTTGCTCTATCGCCTAGGCTGGAGTGCAGTGACATGATCTCGGCTCACTGCAACCTCCGCCTCCTGGATTCAAGTGATTCTCCTGCCTCAGCCTCCTGAGTAGCTGGGATTACAGGCGCCCACCACCACGCCTGGCTAATTTTTCTATTTTTAGTAGAGATGGGGTTTCACCATGTTGGCCAGGCTGGTCTCAAACTCCTGACCTCAGGGTGATCCACTCACCTCGGCCTCCCAAAATGCTGGGATTACAGGCATGAGCTACCACGTCCAGCCAGTTTTCTGTATTTCTTATCATTACTCTGGGCTTTTTTCTCCTTGTTGAAGTAGCTCTTTTAATAGTTCTAATGAGAAGTGTGTGTGTGTCCATCTTTTTTTTTTTTTTTTGAGACGGAGTCTCGCTCTGTCGCCCAGGCTGGAGTGCAGTGGCGGGATCTCGGCTCACTGCAAGCTCCGCCTCCCGGGTTCAAGCCATTCTCCTGCCTCAGCCTCCCAAGTAGCTGGGACTACAGGCGCCCGCCACTACGCCCAGCTAATTTTTTGTATTTTTAGTAGAGACGGGGTTTCACCGTTTTAGCCGGGATGGTCTCGATCTCCTGACCTCGTGATCCGCCCGCCTCGGCCTCCCAAAGTGCTGGGATTACAGGCGTGAGCCACCGCGCCCGGCCGTGTGTGTCCATCTTTACTCTTGACTCATAGTTAGCTATTTAAGTGGATAGAAATTTTTTGTTATTTTTCCCTTAACACTTTGAAGATTTTAATACATTGTCTTCTGCCTGTGGAGCAGTTCCTAAGCAGAAACATTGTGACAGCTATATGGCTGGCTAGCAACACTTCCACTTGGCTTGTAAGAAGACAGCACAGATGAATTTATCTTCTTAATTGACCCTTTAATAAAATGTCTTTGGCTCTAGTAATAATTCTTGTCTTGAAGTATATTTTGTCCTATATGAGTATAGCCACTCCAGCCCTTTTTTGATTGCTGTTTACATGGAATACCTTCTTCCATCTTTTTAGTCCAGTGGCTTGATCTTGGCTCACTGCAACCTCCTGGGTTCAAGCAATTGTCCTGCCTTAGCCTCCCGAGTAGCTAGAAATACAGGCATGTGCCACCATGCCTTGCTAATTTTTGTATTTTTTTAGAGATGGGGTTTCACCATGTTGGCCAGGCTGGTCTCGAACTCCTGACCTCAAATGATCCTCCCACCTTCTCCTCCCAAAGTGCTGGGATTACAGGTGTGAGCTACCACTACTGGCCCATCCTTTTAATTTCAATTCATTTGTGTCTTCATATCTAAATTATGTCTCTTGTAGACAGAATACAGTTGGATTAGGCATTTTTTTGGTCCATTCTGCCAATCTCTATCTTTTAATTTGTGAGTTTAACCTATTTACATTTGATATAATTACTAATAAGGTAAGGTTTATATCTGCCATTTTGCTATTTGTTTTCTATACGTATTGTATCTTTTTTGTTCCTCTGTTTCTTTATCACTGCCTTTTTTTTAATCACCATCACAAATGGGGTTCAACAGTTACCCACACCTACTGGCATAGAATCTCCCAGAGGACATCACTGCCTTCTCTGTGTTAAATGGATATTTTCTAGTCTACCGTATTCTTTTGTCGTATCTTTTACTATATATTTTTAAATTATTTTCTTTATGCCTCCCCTGGGGATTATAATTAAAATTCTAATTTATGAAAACCTAGCTGGATTACTATCAACTTAATTTCAATAGTATACAAAAACTTCACTCCTGTAGCTCAGTTCCTTTCCCACTCTTTTGTGCTATTGTTGTCATACAAATTACATCTTCATGCATTGTGTGTCCATCATATAGATTCTTAATCACTGCTGCATGTAGTTATTTTTTAAGGCAGAAGAGTTGCAATCTATATATTTATTTATGTGTATGTTTACACTGTTTTTACAACTTTTAAAATTACGGTAAAAACACATAACATTTACCATCTTCACCATTTTTAAGTGTGTAGTGCAGTAGTAGTATATATATTGATACTGCTGTGCAACAGAGCTCCAGAGCTTTTTCACTTTGCAAAACTGAAACTCTACACCCATTGAACAACTTCCTGTTCCCTCCCCCTTCCAACCCTTGGCAACTATTCTTTCTATTTCTATAAATTTCATTACTTCACATTCCTCATGTAAGCAGAACCATACAGTATTTGTCTGTCGGTGACTGGCTTATTTCATTTATCACAATGTCCTCAAGGTTCATTCATGCTGTAGCATGTGCAAGAATTTCCTTCCTTTTTGGGCCGGGTGCGGTGGCTCACACCTGTAATCTCAGCACTTTGGGAGGCCGGGTCGGGTGGATCACCAGAGGTCCGGAGTTTGAGATAGCTTGGCCAACATGGTGAAACTCCATCTCTACTAAAAATACAAAAATTAGCCAGGCATGGCTGTGGTTGCCTGTAATCCCAGCTACTTGGGAGGCTGACACAGAAGGATTGCTTGAACTTGGGAGGTGAAGGTTGCAGTGAGCCAAGATCAGGCCATTGCACTCCATCCTAGGTGACAAGAGTGAAACTCCATCTCACAAAAAAAAAAAAAAAAAAAAAAAATTCCTTCCTTTTTAAAGCTAAATGATGGGCCAGGTGCAGTGGCTCACACCTGGAATCCCAGCGCTTTGGGAGGCTGAGACAAGTGGATCACTTGAGCTCAGGAGTTCGAGACCAGCCTGGGCAACATGGTAAA
This sequence comes from Homo sapiens, assembly GCF_000001405.40. Taxonomy (NCBI): domain Eukaryota; kingdom Metazoa; phylum Chordata; class Mammalia; order Primates; family Hominidae; genus Homo; species Homo sapiens. The sequence continues at coordinate 71,956,051 of NC_000016.10, read as the reverse complement.
ACTCCATCTCTACAAAAAATACAAAATTTAGCCAGGTGTTATATTTAGTCTATTCTCATGCTGCTATGGAGACGTACCTAAGACTGGGTAATTTGTAAAGGAAAGACGTTTAATTGACTCACAGTTAAGCATGGCTTGGGAGGCCTCAGGAGACTTACAATCATGGCAGAAGGGGAAGCAAACACATCCTTCTTCACATGGCAGCAAGGAGAATGAGTGCCCAGTGAAGTGGGGAGCACCTTATAAAACCATCAGGTCTTGTGAGAACTCGCTCACGATCACAAGAACAGGATGGGGGAAACTGACCCCATGATTCAGTTATCTCCACCTGGTTCCTCCCATGACAGAGGAGAGGATTGTGGAAACTACAATTCAAGATGAGATTTGGGTGGGGATACAGCTAAGCCCTATTAGGTGTAGTGGTGTGCACCTGCACACCACTGAGGTGGGAGGATCACTTGAGCCAGGGGGATGGAGGTTGCAATGAGCTGAGATCTCACCACTGCACTCCACTCCAACCTGGGTGACGCAGCAAGACCCTGTCTCAAAAACAAAAAACTAAATGATATTCTGTTATGTGTGTGTGTTTATATACACCCCTTTTTTTGTTTGTTTTTTAGATGGAGTCTCTCTGTAGCCCAGGCTGGAGTGCAGTGGTGCGATCTCAGCTCACTGCAACCTCTGCCTCCTGGGTCCCATTAAATTAATTTCTTTTGGGCTGGATTATTACTTTCCCTCTCCCTCCCACTCCTCTCCCTGCCACTGCACCTCCACACACACACACATACCATCCCTTCCACCCCTTCCACCACAAACACCACCCGTGACTGGTTTTGCTACTGTTTTCATTCCAACCCTTCACATCTCCAGTCTAGAACTGGGCCTTATTATATGGGACCTTGGAGCTCCTATTTTTCAATGAAATTAATGGAACTAGGAGTATTGCAGATCTTGTCATGAGCCTTGGATCTCTTGACTTAGTTCCTGGTCATGAAGCTGTCCTTTTTTTCTCACCTCCTTACTATAAATGTGTAGCCCTACAGAGGTTTTTTTGTTCTCAAGTATCCTTTCATGAGCTCCAGGCTCAACACTGGCTTCTAGCAATGAAGTTGGCTTTGTCCCTCCCTTTTCTGCACCCAGTGAATCATTTTTAGTTTCAGTTACTGTACAAAAGTCAAACTCCCACTTTTGTACTACCTTCCTCCAGGTCTGGAGCTCAGTAATCCTGTGGCTTCTACCTCACTCTGACCACCTTGTTTTCTCATTCTGCTTCTCTTCCTCAGAAAAGGTTTATTTTGTGTTTAAGCCCAGCAAAGTCTTTTTGGTTCTTTCTTTTTATATATTATTTATAGTTCCTCCATATTTGGAGTAGAGAAAGTGCTCAGAGTATGAATTTACCAAACTATTTTGAGCAGAAGTTTAATGTAAACTTTTGAAGAGTAAAAAATTCATCAAAACTCTTATAAAGCTAAAACAACCATTTTTAATTTTAAACTCGCATAGCATATAAATTATCCTCAACAACCTTTTATCCTAAAACAACAAAAGAATCTTACATGGACACATTCGGGTGATGGTAAAAGAATTTAAAATAAAAAAAGAATTAAAATATCTGAAAGCTTATTCACAGAGGTGTTGAATAGAGGCTTGGGAGTTGCTATGTCGCTTGTTGCTGGGCAAATCACATCTTAAACTGGTGCACTTTCAGAATAAAATCTCATGTATTTCCTCTTCTGATTTCTCTTTTCAGACATCTGTTTTCCTCCATGATTGTGGAAAAGTTCACCCAGGATTATCTGTGGCTTTCAATTGCAACTCGGCATCCCTGGAACCAGTTTACAAGGGTCCAACGGCTGTCTTGCTGCATGACACTGCTACTCTGCAACATGGTCATCAATGTTATGTTCTGGAAGATAAACAGCACCACTGCCAAGAGAGATGAGCAAAGTATGGATGAGCCCTGATGTGTGTTGTTTGTAGTAAGCAATCCTTTTTTTTTTTTGAGACAGGGTCTTGCTCTGTTACCCAGGCTGGTCTAGAACTCCTGGCCTCAAGTGATCCTCCTGCCTCAGCCTCCTGAAGTGCTAGGATTACAGGCACGAGTCACCATGCCCAGCCTACTATGCAATACTTTAACTAAACTCCACTACCCTTACTTTCAGGATTAGAAAGAAACAGAATCATGTGGTGTGATATGGTTTGGCTCTGTGTCCCCACCCAAATCTCACGTCCAACTGTAATCCCCCTGTGTTGGGGCGGGGGGAGGACTTGCTGGGAGGTGACTGGATCATGGGGGCAGTTTCTCCCATGCTTTTCCCATGATAGTGAGTTCTCATGAGATCTGATGGTTGAATTGCTTAAACCCAGGAGGCGGAGGTTGCAGTGAGCCGAGATTGCACCACTGCACTCCAGCCTGGGTGACAGCAAAACCCCGTCTCGGGGATTAAAAAAAAGTGTGTGGCAGTTCCCCTGTCACTCTTCTGCCACCATGTAAGATGCTTTGCTTTGTAAGGCATGTAAAGTGTTAATGCCAGGTAAGGTGCTTTGTAGTGCTTTGTAATGCTTTGTAATGCCATGTAAGGTTTCTTGCTTCCTCTTCACCTCCTGCCATGACAGTGAGTTTCCTGAGGCCTCCCCAGCCATGAAGAACTTTTCTTTATAAATTACCCAGTCTCAGATAGTTCTTTATAGCAGTGTGAAAACAGACTAATACATTGTGCCTTCATTTTTCTTCCACTGCCCTAACGTTAGAATACTCTAACAAATTTTCTCAGTGTTCTCATTCATTAACAAATGAAGCAGTATTAGGAACACAACATGGTCTTTACTGCCAGGATAATTTTATCTCTAGATAAACGTAGTTAACTTCCTCAGTAAATAGTTAAACCTAGGAGAGGAATGACTTTGCGATTATTTTAATTGTTGAAGATGAAAGTTGATGTCATGCTTTTCTTTCAGTGCGTCCATTTGCTGTGGCCTGGTCTGAACTGCTGGTCAGCATCCATACTGCTGTCATCCTCTTCCCAATCAATCTTGTCATAGGGCGGCTCTTCCCGTTGATTGAGCCACAGGAGACTCTGCCCCTCTTTCCTCCCATCCAGGCCTCCTGCCTCTCAGATGCTTCTGTTGAGCCTCTCTCTGCCACAATGGTAGTTGAGGTAAGATTGGTATCAAATTTTATTTTATCTTATTTTATTGCCTGCTTGTTTGTTTTGACATAGGGTCTGGCTCTGTTGCACAGACTGGAGTGTAGTGGTGCAACCTCGGCTCACTGTGGCAGCCTCAAACTCCCGGCTCAAGTGGTCCTCCCACCTCAGCCTCCCAAGTAGCTGGGACTACAGGCATGTGACACCATGTCTGGCTAATTTTTGTATTTTTTTGTAGAGACAGGGTTTCACCATGTTACCCAGGCTGGTCTCAAACCCTTGGGCTCAAGCCATCCTCCCACCTTGGCCTCCCAAAGTGCTGGGATTTCAGGCGTAAGCCACCGTGCCCAGCCAGTATCAAATTTTACAGATAAATTACGTGCTCCCAGCTGGGCACGGTGGCTCACGCCTGTAATCTCAGCACTTTGGGAGGCCGAGGCAGGCGGATCACGAGGTCAGGAGATCGAGACCATCCTGGCTAACATGGTGAAACCCCGTCTCTACTAAAAAGACAAAAAAATAATAATTAGCCAGGCGTGATGGCATGCATCTGTAGTCCCAGCTACTCAGGAAGCTGAGCCAGGAGAATCACTTGAACCCAGGAGGCGGAGGTTGCAGTGAGCCAAGATTGCGCCCCTGCACTCCAGCCTGGCAACAGAGACAGAGCAAGACTCCGTCTCAAAAAAAAAAAAAAAAAAAAAAAAAAAAAATGACATGCTCCCTTTCCCCACGCAGTGGAAGAGAGCAGTGGGAAGAATCTCATGGGAGGCTGTCAGGGTCCTGTTACCTGTAATATATTTTTCCCAATTCCTGTGCCCTGAGCCGTGATCAACCACATGCTTAGCTTTTACTCTTGATGATTAAGTATTCTGAGAACTAAATGGGAGTGCATGGTACCACTCTGGCCTTGCTTTAGTCTTTGATGTTTGATCAAATTGTCTCTTTTTTCATTCTGTATTGTCTCATAAAACTGGTATTGCAGCTACCATGAGCTGTGAGGTGACTGCTTTCTGAAAAATTAGAGGAACATGAAAAATTGAGGTTCTTTGTGCTAAGCATATCCCCTTCTGACGAAAGGGAACGGCCTTACCACCTGTAATTGGTACAAATCCTGGGTTAATGAAAAACAGGCTGATTTTTCTCATCTGGTCCTACATTCAGGAATTAAAGGAAACTGTGAGATTCCTGCTCAGGAGAAATACATACCTACTCTCCAAGTGTGAGCAGCCGCCATGGAGTTCTTGGGACATTACTAAGCTGGTGAAACTTTTATCCAGCCTCGTATCATCTCACTTGGAGGGTCAAGGCTGTCATCAGCAGGGAGAGCGCCACTGGGCACGTGGTAAACTTCAGTAGATTTCAGTAACGAATCTTCCATCTGCCTCCCACTCCCTTGCATATGTCTTACTTTCTTACTCATTCATAACCGACAGGCCTGATACAACCTTCTGGTTGTTTTAATTTCCTTAAGCTTCTAGTATAGAGTTGATAGCTTTGTTCTCCTTGATGACTTGTAGACAATCTTTCTCTATCTGGTGAAACAAAGTACAGGATTAAGAAAAAAACACAAGCCAGATGTGGGTCACGCCTGTAATCCCGGCACTTTGAGAGGCCGAGGTGGGCAGATTACCTGAGGTCAGGAGATCAGGGCCAGCCTAGCCAACATGGCGAAACCCTGTCTCTACTAAAAATACAAAAATTAGCCAGGTGTAGTGGCGGGCGCCTGTAATCCCAGCTACGGGGGAGGCTGAGGCAGGAGAATTGCTTGAACTCAGGAGGCAGAGGTTGCAGTGAGCTGAGATCGCGCCACTACACTCCAGCTTGGGCAACATAGGCTCTGTCTTGAAAAAAGAAAAAAACACAGGTCGGGCAGGGTGGCTCACGCCTGTAATCCCAGCATTTTGGGAGGCCAAGGCATGCAGATCACCTGAGGTCAGAAGTTCAAAACCAGCCTGGCCAATGTGACAAAACCCTGTCTCTACTAAAAATACAAAAAAAAAAAAAAATTAGCTGGTCATGGTGGCAGATGCCTGTAATCTTAGCTACTAGAGAGGCTGAGGCAGGAGGATCACTTGAACCCGGGAGGCAGAGGTTTCAGTGAGCCAAGATCGTGCCACTACACTCAGCCTGGACGACAGACCAAGACTCCATCTCAAAAAAAAAAAAAAGAGAGAAATACAAAAAAAAGTTTTCTGTATTATACCCACATATCCTTTCTGCTTTGTCAAAGGCTGTTGAAACTTGTCATCCTTTTTCTTTTATGAGATGATGAGATTATGGAATTTATGGATTCTCAAATACTGTTTGAGTCTCCTGGGCACTTACTAGTATAGGTCACATGTACTGCCATTCTGGTGAAGAACTCAATAAGGTTTTAAAAGTCTTTAGATCAAAGCTTAGAATTTTACAATTGTTAAAAATTCACCAGCATCCTTAGAGAAGATGGTAGTACTGCAAATGTGGGGTACGGTCCAATCTCTGCTAGTAGTGGGAAAATATAGCCTCATCATCCATCAATGAATTGTTAATCTCTACCACTAATTGCTTCTTATTGAAATCCACTTGTGAAAGTGTCAACTTGAAATATATTTTCAGTTGTTCCTGAAAACCACCATCATTTCTGCTGTTACCTGCATAGAGTTCTGCAGAGGCTGAAATCTCACTTAGGCACGCTGGGTCTCACCCAGGGTCACCAGTCCTGTGACTTCCTAGATGCAGCCAGCCAACTTCAAAAACTCCAGGAACTCTTGGAAACACATATTCTTCCCACGGAGCAAGAGCCATCCAGGTAATGCACCACACCAAGCCTTCTTTATCCCCTGTAATCTTCCTCATCCTCTATCTCAGCCGATGCATACAAGATTATTCCCTCAACTTTTGTGCTTCAGGGAAGTCACCAGTTTTGCCATCCTGAGCTCAGAAGAAGGAAAAAAGCCCATCTCAAATGGCCTGTCCAAATGGTTGACTTCAGTCTGCTGGCTCCTCTTAGGTTTCACTAGCCTGGCTTCAGCCTTTTTTACAGCACTTTATAGCTTGGAATTGAGCAAAGACCAAGCCACCAGCTGGATGATTTCAATTATTTTATCAGTGCTTCAGAACATCTTCATCAGCCAGCCAGTAAAGGTATGTGAGGGATGGGAAGAACCATTGGAGTTGCAGAAGTTAGGGGAACTGAGGTCCCTGGGTGTCAATCCAAGGTGCCTAGTGGTTTTGACAATGTAACATAAACAACAAAAAACAAATAGGCAAACCAGGCTGGGTGTAGTGGCTCACACATGTAATCCCAGCAATTTGGGAGGCCAAGGCAGGCAGATTGCTTGAGTCCAGGTGTTCGAGACCAGCCTGGGCAACATGATGAAACTCCATGTCTACAAAAATTAGAAAAAATTAGCCAGGCATGGTGGTGTGCTCCTATAGTTCCAGCTACTTAGGAGTCTAAGGTGGGAGGATTGCTTGGCCCAGGAGGTCGAGGCTGCAGTAAGCCGTGATTGCGCCACTGTACTCCAGCCTAGGTGACAGAGTGAGACCCTGTCTCAAAACTAAAAAAAAAAAAAAAAAAGCAAACTGACATTTAACTGACATTTGTTAGGGATAAGTGTAATTCATGACAGAAAAAACTAAGAAGTATGGCAGAAAAGGATTGAGGAGTGAAGAGGACAGTAACAAATCAACAACCCAAAGCACTTTGAAAAAAATAAACAACAAAAAACTTAAAATGTTTTTAATTAAGAAAAATGTCAAACCCACACAAAAGTGTAGAGACTAGTACAATGCATTCTAAAGTCGTACCACCCAGCTTCAACAATAACCAACTCATGGCCAATTTGTTTCATCTATTATTTGGGGGGAACAATATCAGACTTCATATCATTTTATCCATTTCATGTACTTCAGACTTTATATTTCTAAAAGATACAGACTGTTCTGTATCTTTTAGATATGGAAAATAAATATAAATACAAAGGGACAGCCTGAGGGAATTTTGGGGGTGATGAAACTACTTGGTATCTTGACTGTAGTGGTGGATATACAACTCTAAGTATTAAACAACACTCATGGAATTACACACCAAAAAGTGACTTTTTTTTTTTTTTTTTTTTTTACTATATGTAAGTTAAGATATAAATTTTTTAAAGCAAAACCTGTAATTGCAGTGGCCAAAACACATGTAAGAAATTCAGTTTCACTAGTCCAATAAAATGATAATATTGCATTTTTGTTTTAATAATGGCAAAGAAAAATAATAATACACAGTAATGCCAAGGAAATGAACAGCCAGTGCTCGTTAAGGAAAATCTGGCAATATGTAGTGACAACCTGCAACTTCTGCACCTTTTGCTAGAGAGGTTTCACATCTAAGGATCCATCTCAAGAAAATCCATAGTGGCTGGGCGCAGTGGCTCATGCCTGTAATCCTAGCACTTTGGGAGGCCAAGGTGGGCAGATCACTTGAGGTTGGGAGTTCAAGACCAACCTGGTCAACACAGTGAAACCCTGTCTCTATTAAGAATACAAAAATCCCAGGCCAGCTGTGGGGGCTCACGCCTGTAAACCCAGCACTTTGGGAGGCCGAGGCAGGCGGATTACCTGAGGTCAGGAGTTTGAGACCAGCCTGGCCAACATGGCGAAACCGTGTCTCTACTAAAAATATAAAAATTAGCCAGGTATAGTGGTGAGTGCCTGTAATCCCAGCTACTCAGGAGGCTGAGGCAGGGAGAATCACTTGAACCCGGGAGGCAGAGGTTGCACTGAGCCAAGATCGTGCCGTTGTACTCCAGCCTGGGCAACAGAACAAGACTCTGTCTCAAAAAAAATAATAATAAAATAAACTGGGTGTGGTATGCACCTGTAGTCCCAGCTACTCGGGAGGCTGAAGGAAGAGAATCGCTTGAACCCAGGAAGCGGAGGTTGCAGTGAGCCGAGATTGCGCCACTGCATTCCAGCCTGGGTGACAGAGCGAGACTCCGTCTCAAAAAAAAAAAAAAGAGTCTGGATCTTTATCAGAGGTTTTCCAAAGATACTGAGAGATGTTATTGAATAGACAACACAAATCGTTTGACAGTGTAAGCTCCCCCAGCCAACCAGATTAAGAACTATAAGCAAAAAATATGAATATTAGCATTATTTAGAGTCTGATGGTCCTTCTCCTGGTACCCATCATTGTGCAAAAATTAATGTGAAATTAGTTTTTCATTAAAATGAAGAGCCAAATAATTGAAGTTTTTCATGAGTGCCCACCTCTTCCTTTACATACGGTATTATCTTCCTGGGTCTGTAATGTCTGCTCACGATGTTCTGTGATTCTCCTGCCCAGGTGGTCTTCTTCACATTCTTATACTCACTGATGATGAGCAGGATGCCACGGCTTAACAAAGAGAATGAACAACAAACAAAGAGGATCTTGGCACTCTTGGGTAACTCAAGTAGTTCTAACAACTACCTAATTTTGCAAAAAGCAAATTAGATCTGGCCACCTTGCTGACTCGATAAATTAACCCATTCAAAGGACTTGTCTCTAACCAACTGGTTATTTCTCCTTTTCTGCCCAAGACTAATGCCCTTCCAGATGAGGATCTTCACCTCAGTCATCACATCCTCTCTCCCAGTGCTTCATCTCTCCCCTGCATTTTATTTAATTTTATTTTTTTGAGACGGAGTTTCACTCTTGTTGTCAAGGCTGGAGTGCAATGATGTGTTCTCAGCTCACTACAACCTCCACCTCCTGGGTTCAAGCGATTCTCCTGTCTCAGCCTCCGAGTAGCTGGGATTACAGGCCTCTGCCACCATGCCTGGCTAATTTTTTTGTAGTATTAGTAGAGACAGGGTTTTGCCATGTTGGCCAGGCTGGTCTTGAACTCCTGACCTCAGGTGATCCACTCTCCTCGGCCTCCCAAGTGCTGGGATTACAGGCGTGAGCCACCGCCCCCGGACTCCCCTACATTTTAGATCTTTTTCATCTCTCTCTCCCTCTCTCTCTCCCTTTCTCTCTCTCTCTCTCCCCCTCCCTCTCTCCCTCTCTCTCTCCCTCTCTCTCTCCCTCTCTCTCTCCCTCTCTCCTTCTCTCCCTCATCCCCTTCTCCCTCCTCCTCCCCCTCTCTCATGAGCCCCAGGTGCTGTTCTCCACTGCTCCCTATCTGGAGCTAGATGCCTCCAAGTATGTCAAATTAAACTGAATTGTTTGCCTGCCCCACAAATCCACTTCTTTACTATATTTTCTCATTTCAGTCAAGAGCATCAGCATTCTCTGAAAAAGTCGGAGTACATAATCCTAAATTCCTCTGTTAGTTTCCACATTTAGTCACCATGCTGGAGAGTGCCTACCCTCTAACTGGCTAAGGCTAACTGGCCTACCCTCTAACTGACTAGGGCTAACTTATCACCTGGATGAACCTCACAAACACAATCTTGGGCAAAACAAGAGGTTGCAGAAAAATTGGCACAATATCTTAATCATGTAAAAACGATGCATGTCTTGACAAGAGGTTATATATGTATCTCCTCTATGCATTTATAGATAAAGTATAAAGAAATGCATGGGAATGATAAACTCCAGAATTCAGGAAAGGACTACCTGTGAGGGAAAGAAGGAATGCCATCACAGAGGGGTACACAGCACACTTTATGTTGGCAGTCACTTATTCTTAAGTGGTGATCTACTGCTAAGCAGTAGGCACTCCATTCCTTGTGAGATGAAAAAACTTAATCTGACTTTAAACTGCCTTCCATTTGTGACCAGCCTGGCCAACATGGTGAAACCCTGTCTCTACTAAAAATACAAAATTAGCTGGGTGTGGTGGTGCATGCCTGTAATCCCAGCTACGTGGGAGGCTGAGGCAGGAGAATCGCTTGAACCTGGGAGGCGGAGGTTGCAGTGAGCCAAGATCGTGCCATCGTACTCCAGCCTGGGTGACAAGAGCGGAACTTCGTCTCAAAAATAATAATAAATTGCCTTCCTTGCACTTATTTTGTTTCTCTGTGCATTCTGAACTGTTGGTTTCTCTGCCTAAAAGAGACTTTTTTCCCCTTATCATCACCCTTGTTCATCTGGAGAGCTCTGATTCATCCTTCAAAACAAATGTCAAATGTCACTTCCTCTGTGGCGCCTTCTCTGACTTTCTTGGAGAGATTTATTTGCTCACTCTTCACTGATCCCATGGTGCTTGGAACACACATGCTGGCAAGTTTCATGCCCTCCTCTAGTTATTTTTATTTTTATTTATTTATTTATGAGATGGAGTCTTGCTCTGTCGCCCAGGTTGGAGTGCAGTGGCACAATCTCGGCTCACTGCAACCTCTGCCTCCCAGATTCAAGCAGTTCTCCTGTGTCAGCCTCCCGAGTAGCTGTGATTACAGGTGCACTCCACCACGCCTGGATAACTTTTTATTTTTAGTAGAGACAAGTTTTTCCCATATTGGCCAGGCTGGTCTTGAACTCCTCAGCTCAGGTGATCAGTCCTCCTTGGCCTCCCAATACATATATAAATAAATAAATAAATAAATAAATAAATATATATATATATATGTGTGTGTGCGTGTGTGTATATAAATACATATATAAATATATGTGTGTGTGTGTGTATATATGTGTGTGTGTGTGTGTATATATATATATATATATATATATATATATATATATATAGTTAAGAAATTCAGAATCTTAGGCCTCACTCCAGAATCCATATTTTAATAAAATTCCCAGATGATTCCTATGCACATTAAAATCTGAGAATACCACTATAGAACAGTGCTCCCAAAGTGTGATCCACTGACTAGAACAGTTTGTTTCTAGTCTAAGTACAGGAATCAGGAATGAGCATTTAAAAACTTTAACAATTTGGCAGATTAACTTTATATGTACTAAATCTAATTATCAAAAACAGGGCTTGTATTTTGCATGCTTCTGCTTTATTTTTTTCTTTTTTTAATATATGTTTTAATTTTTTTTTAAGAGACAGGGTCTCGGGTTGATCGCCTGAGGTAGGAGTTCGAGATCAGCCTGGGCAACATGGCAAAACCCTGTCTCTACTGAAAATACAAAAATTAGCCAGGTGTGGTGGCATGTGCCTGTAATCCCAGCTACTCAGGAGGTTGAGGCAAGAGAATCGCTTGAATCTGGGAGGTGGAGACTGCAGTGAGCCAAGATCATGCATTGCACTCCAGCCTCGACAACGAAGTGAGACTCCGTCTCAAAAAAAAAAAACAAACAAAAAACAGATATGGTCTTGCTATGTTGCCCAGGCTGGTCTCAAACTCCTGAGCTCAAACTATCTGCTAGTCTCAGTACAACATCAAACTCCTGGGCTTAATCAGTCCTCTCACCTCAGTCTCCCTAGTAGCCGGGACCACAGGCATGAGCCACTATGCCTGGCTAATTTTTTATTTTTTTGTAGAGACAACGTCTCACTATGTTGACCAGGCTGGTCAACTCCTGGCCTCAAGTGATCCTGCTGCCTTGGCCTCCCAAAGTGCTAGAATTGGAATTACAGGCATGAGCCGCTGTGTTCAGCCTAGTAACTCATTTTTACTGTATTGTACAAAAGTATCAGTCCCCAATTGATTGGAATTTTTTAAAAAACAGGTCCTTTATAATAGAGAGTTTAAGAAGCACTGCATAGGTAGTTTTATTCCTTGTTTAACATTTAAAAGGAGGTGCTCACAGTAGATGCTCAATGAATGGTGAGTGACTGCTTAATGAAATATAACATTTCTTTGGTCTATATTTGAATTTTTGACAGCAAAATGTTCTTCGTCAGTACCAGGTTCAAGAGATAAGAACAACCCCGTCTATGTAGCCCCAGCTATAAATAGTCCAACTAAGCACCCAGAAAGAACCTTGAAAAAGAAGAAACTCTTCAAGCTGACTGGAGATATTTTGGGTATGGAGAGGAAATGGCAACATACTGATAACACAGCACCTTTTCCAGAAGGGAAAGGAAGAGAGAGAATAAAATGGAAAATAAAGAAGGGTTAAAAAGCTGTCTTTTAAAATCTTCACCCTGTGAGATTTGGGATTCCAGTAAAGCAGGTGGGATGGTAACTGGACAGATCCCTGACCTTGGAGTCTAGAGGTTTTATTGTGTGCTTGAGTAAGTCACTTTCTCCACCTGCAAAATGTAATAACACTTGATCTATGGAGGGAAAATGAAAATGCTTTGGCAGATGGCTCTTCTGTAGGTGCCAGTTGACTGGCTTCAACACATCTAGTTCATTATTGGATTCCCTAGTCCAAATAAGACAAATTCTGCTTTTATCATGACTTCACTTCTTGTAAACACAATCACATGAGAGACAGAGTGCATGCTTAGTCCTTAGAGCTAAACACCATATTTCTTGTGCGGGATTTTATGTTTTTTTTTTTTTTTTTTTTTGAGACGGAGTCTCACTTTGTTGCCCAGGCTGGAGTGCAGTGGTGCAATGTCAGCTCACTGCATCCTGTGCCTCCTGGGTTCTAGCGATTCTCCTACCTCGGCCTCCTGGTTAGCTGGGATTACAGGCACAGACCACCACGCCCAGCTAATTTTTGTATTTCTAGTAGATGGGGGGGTTTTACTATGTTGGTCAGGCTGGTCTCGAACTCCTGACCTCAGGTGATCTGCCCGTCTCAGCTTCCCAAAGTGCTAGGATTACAGGTGTGAGCCACTGTGCCCAGCCACAGCCATTGTATCTTATTTTAAGTAAAATGTATCATTAGTGGCAGAATAATTCTGGGAAGGAAATGTGTATGTATGTATTTATAATTATTAGATTGAACCATATGAAACAGCCAGTTTTTGACTGGTTTTGACCTGCATAAGTCTATAGACTTAGGAAAAATGAAAAAGACATAGAGGATTTCTAAGTTAACCACTCAACTATGACATTTTTTTCCTCTTCTAAACAAGTACAAATCCTCTTCCTTACCCTGTTGATGACTGCAATCTACTCTGCAAAGAACTCCAATAGATTTTACCTCCACCAAGCTATCTGGAAGACATTTTCGCACCAGTTCTCGGAAATCAAACTTCTTCAGGATTTCTACCCCTGGGCCAATCATATCCTTCTTCCTAGCCTGTATGGGGATTACAGAGGTAAGAATGCAGTCCTGGAGCCCAGTCATTGCAAATGTGGGGTACAATTAATTTTCCAAATACCCCGTACCAAGACCTATGAGAAAGTGGACGAAGGTCAGCTGGCGTTTTGTGATAACGGCCATACCTGTGGGCGTCCCAAGAGCCTATTCCCTGGACTTCATCTAAGGAGGTTCAGTTACATCTGTTCACCCAGGCCCATGGTGCTGATTCCCACTGATGAGCTTCACGAAAGGCTGACAAGCAAGAATGAGAATGGATTCAGTTACATCATGAGAGGTAACTGGAGTGACCCCTGGAATTCAACCACACGTAGCAAAGAAGGCTGTTCAATAAGTGCAAAACCAGGAATGTGGTTTCATTGAAGGTAACTTCCTGGAAGAGTACAAGAGAGGTAAATTTGTTGGAGACTTACATCTCCAAAAGTGTTTTTATTCTCCCATCACATTAGATTCTAATTTATCTGTATATAATTTCTTTCTTGCAGGATTTTGGTTCGTTTGTTTGAGACGGAGTCTTGCTCTGTCGCCCAGGCTGGAGTGCAGTGGCACCATCTTGGCTCTCTGTACCCTCTGCCTCCTGGGTTCAAGCAGTTCTCCCTGCCTGAGCCTCCCAAGTAACTGGGATTACAGGTGCCCGCCACCATGCCTGGCTGATTTTTTTATTTTTACAATTTATGTATTTACATATTTTATGGGGTTTCGCCATGTTTGCCAGGCTGGTCTTGAACTCCTGACCTCAAGTGAACTGACCACCTTGGCCTCCGAAAGTGCTGGGATTACAGGTATGAGCCACCGTGCCCAGCCAGAATTTTGAAAAGTGTAGCTCCATTGCTTTCTAGCTTTTCATGTTAGTGTTAAAAAGTATTATGCTGGCATGCTGATTCCCAGTCCCCAACCCCAAAAGTTTTTAGGTTTTTTTCTTTGTCCTCTGAGTTATGAAAGAATGTCATAGAGGTCGGGCACGGTGGCTCATGCCTGTAATCCCAGCACTTTGGGAGGCCGAGGCAGGTGGATCACAAGGTCTAGGAGTTCGAGACCAGCCTGGCCAATATGGTGACACCCCGTCTCTACTAAAAATACAAAAATTACCCAGGCATGGTGGCTCGCGCCTGCAGTCCCAACTATTCGGGAGGCTGAAGCAGAAGAATCGCTTGAACCCAGGAGGTGGAGGTTGCAGTGAGCTGAGACGGTGCCACTGCTCTCCAGCCTGGGTGACAGAGCGAGACTCCATCTCAAAAAAAAAAAAAAAAAAAAAGAATGTCATAGAATGTTCTATCATCTGGAAACGTGACCTTAAGTTCTGAGGAATTTTCTTGCATTTTTTTGGTTAATTTCTTCTCCATTTTTTCTGTTCACTTTTTCTGATTTTCTAGCATTTTGACATTGTAACTCCTGGAGTTCTGATTTTCTTATATTTTTGCTTCTGTTTTCCATCTTTTTCATCTAATATCTGCAGTATTTAATTTTTATCTTCTAAACTATTTTTTCTTTCTATAATATTTAATTTCCAAATTGTTTTTTTCATAGTCTCTTATTGTTCTTTTACGGATGCAATATCCTCTTAACTCTGAGGATATTATGGTGGTTTTTTTCCTTCTGATCCTTTACTGTCTCTAGTTTTTTGATTTGTTGTTTGTTTTGATCTACAGTTTTCAGCATTAGAGGTTCAAGTGCCTGGCTGTCCTTTTAAAGAAAGGCAGGCTGGGTGCGGTGTCTCAAGCCTATAATCCCAGCACTTTGGGAGGCCAAGGCAGGAAGATCACTTGAGCCCAGGAGTTCGAGACCAGCCTGGGCAACATGGTGTGAAACCTCGTCTCTACCAAAAATACAAAAATTAGCCTGGCATGGTGGTGTGCACATGTTGTCTCAGCTACTTGGGAGGCTGAGGTGGCAGAATGGTTTGATCCTGGGAATCAAAGGTTGTAGTGAGCTGAGATCATACCAGTGCACTCCAGCCTGGGTGAGAGCCAGACCCTGTATCAAGAAAAAAAAAAGGCAATAAAAAGCAAATAAATGCTAATTATAAGCTCTGTGCCTGGCTGGGCATGGTAGCTCACACCTGTAATCCCAGCACTTTGGGAGGCCGAGGCAGGCAGATGACCTGAAGTCAGGAGTTTGAGACTAGCCTGGCTAACTTGGCAAAACCCCATATCTACTAAAAATACAAAAATTAGCCAGGCATGGTGGCACATGCCTGTAATCCCAGCTACTCAGGAGGCTGAGACAGGAGAATTGCTTGAACCCAGGAGGCGGAGGTTGCAGTGAGCTGAGATCGTGCCACTGCACTCCAGCCTGGGGGACAGAGTGAGACTCCATCTCAAAAAAATAAAAAAAAAATAAAAAACAAAGCTCTGTGCCCATGCATAGAGCTTATCAACTGGGTATCTAAGTCTCTCTTTTTGGGCAGTCAGTTTTTAGAGACCCTACAAACTCCAATCTTGAGTATATGAGCCTATTATACTTATCAGAGCAAGTTGAGGGAAGGGATCTGGGAAGTGTCTCACCATGCAGCACGTAAACTTTCCCTTAATCCCCTTTTCCAGTAAACCATTACTCTCAGAGGTAGCTGGTGCCCCCAAGTCCAGATTCTCTCATACAGCATCACTGGGAAACAAACCTTTAGTCATGGGGTGGTAGAAGGCAAGATAGGTAGCAAATACCTGGTTGTGAATGGTGAGGGAGGAAATTTGGAATCTAGTTGTTGTTTATATATATATTGACTTTCAGTTGATGCTATTTTCAGTTCCACCTGAACTTCTACCTTCAGAAGTACCTGATGCCTGCAATTTCTGAGGCTTTCCAAGGTTTCTTGGTTAGAATTAGCTTGCTTCCGGGTTTCCTGTACAGCTGCCTTAGATTTCAGCTTTCTTGAACTTGCTAAGTCAATGTGATTCCTCTACTTTTCAGCTTCCAGCAGTTTGTTGCTCTCATCTGCCCTCCTTTTCTTCATCTATTGAAGTTTTTACTTTATCCTGTCACTTTCATTATAGTGGCATTTTGTAAGGGATTGGAGTTAAACTGGTCCATTCAGTTCCCCCACCTTTCACAGGACATCTATCCTAATCCAACTTCTCTTTCTTCTCCCAGAATTGGCTCACAAGTATCCTTCCATTTTCCATCACATCTTTCTCCTAATCAAGAATTCTTCTCTCAGACCTGCAGAGAGTAGACCACTTCTCTTATGCTTGTTTCTAATGAAGCACAAAGGCTTCCTAAGGGTCTTCATGGGGTTTTTAGTTACTAACAAAATATAGACAGGGATTAAAATAAACATGGGAAAAGTTCCAGTCTTGAGAGCTAGCTAGGTGAAATAGAAATTCCTTTTGTTCTTAAATGTCTTTTTTACCTACAAGGGGTACATCTTAGTTCTAATGTCACAGCATCCTTAGGGTGTTGCTTTGCCAGCCAGAAACCTCTGTGGCCGGCAGCACCTTCTGCCTGAGTATTGCTTGCAGCCACTGTGCTCGTTCTGCCGAATTGGCCTGGTAGCCTGTACTCAGCTCCTGCTACTGGCCTGGATCCCACACCTGCCAAGAGACAGCCAGGTACAGAGCAGTGAGGTATGTATGGATGAGCAAGCACGGGGTCCAGCCATTGCACACAGCCAGGCACGCTGGCTGCTGCAGTGAGTTGGGCAGCTCTATGTGCTGGCACAGGTGCCGGCTCCCTGAAAGACTGAAGCTGGACCAGATGTACTGCATGTGGTTTCTGCTGTGGGTAACTGCATCTGAGGAATGCCATGGTGCCTAGAATCTTCGAGATGCCAGAAGCACAGAGCCCCAAAGAGGGTGTCACAGCCCTGGCTCAGGGAGCCTGTAGGTCTGGGCTCCCCCAAAGGGCCACAGCTATTCTGTCCTTCTCATTGCTTGCAGTGTGGCAAGCAAGGGGGTGTGTTTCAGCCCTGTTTGTGTTACAGCTCTTTCAGTCCCACCACTCAGCGGGTCCCGAGTTCTTGTCCTGCATCCAGGAAGAATGAGGTACACTGACAACTGGAGGGTGAGAGAGGTGGAGAGGAGCTTCATTGAGTGACAAGACAGTTTTCAGGAAACCTGGAGTTGGTAGCTCCTATCCACAGGCAGGTCGTCCCATTGTTTGTGTAGCCCTCAGCAGAGAGATCTGGAGTGGGTAGCTCCTATCTGCAGGCAGGTCATCCTGCCATCTGCCCAAGTCTGGCTGAGTCTGGTGTTTTTATGGGCTTCAGAGGGGAGTAAGTGTGTGCTTATTGGTCCATGGGCAGCCATGGGTGGGCCCAGAAGAAGCGCCATAAGTTCTCAATTGAGTTAGTGAAACTGGCAGGTTCCAGAACTGGCAGCCCAGCCCCCAGGCTTCAAATGATCCCTGGCTTTAAAGGTGGGGCTTTACTGGGGACCTGCCCCTTTCTGCCCAGGAGCCTGTCTGCCTCCTGCTGCCATCCATGTCACCCATGGTGCCCAGGCTGTTTGTGCCAAGGGGCACCTGCGGGCCCATGGCAAGCCACCCTCAGCCCCCCCTTACCCTCCCTGCCTCACATGCTTGTCCGTGTCCAAAGTTCGGAGAAGGCCGAGGCAGTAGGGGGCTGCTTGTCAGCACTGCCCCAAGCGCACACACACCCAGGCTTGGCCAAAACTTTGCTCCAAAATCAGAGCAGGTGCTGGGAGTGGGGAGAGGCCATGCAGTGGGAGCAGGCACTTCTGAACCTGCAGGGGCAGGGGGGTTTCCTGAGCCCCCGAGTGCAGGGATGCCCAGGTCTGCAGCTGTGGCTGGGCAGCTGCAGCTCTGCCCAGGAGTGTGGGGCTCCCAACCCTCCAACTCAGAAGGGGGCAGGGCTCCCACCTGTTACTGGCTCCCGCAGCTCAACAGCGCACAAAGCCCCGGCCATGCCTCCCACTGCAGCCGATGTCATGGCAGCAGCCACTCCAGACAGGGTGCTGCTGCCATCACTAATATTTTGAAGCTTTGTGAAAGGTTTGTATTCACAAGACCTTTCATGATTTTATAAACGTCAACATTTTCAATGTCCTTCCAGGTGGAGGCTGAAGCCTTTTAGTCCATCCTTATGTAAATGACTGAGTATCCATGGGATACCGTTAGTACTCGTGGGGTATCAGTGCTTTAGACCTCTCTCTGCAGCCACTCTGACATGGATAGGGTAACATCTATAATAACTGTTAAGCCACCGACACCTCCCTTCAAGGTAGGGTCAACAGCATATCCTTTCCCACTACTGACTTTTGTAAAACCAGTATTTCTCCAATAGCTTTGCATACATGATCTCCTTTAATGTTCATGACAGCTCTAAAGGAAATACTAAGTGGAGCACTGAGACTCAGAAACATTTGATGATACAGGAAGAGTTGGGGTTATTCAAAGACAAAGTTTAACAAGAAGAGGGCAAAAGTTTTAGACTCTTGACTCCAGGTGTTCTTTGTTATTCTCAGGTGCTTTCTTCACCTCTTTGAGACTGGAAAGCTTCACTTCCCTTCAGATGTCAAAGAAGGGCTGTGTCTGGTCTATCATCTCACAAGTCATCTATTATCTACTGGTCTGTTACTATGCCTTCATACAGGTGAGTCAATAATGTTAGATGTCAGCCTGGGCAACATGGCAAAACCTCATCTTTACCAGACTACAAAAATTACCCAGGTGTGGTGGCATGCACCTGTGGTCCCAGCTACTCGGGAGGCTGAGATGTGAGAATTGCTTGAGCCTGGGAGGCAGAGGTTGCAGTGAGCTAAGATCACGCCACTGCACTTCAGCCTGGGCGACAGAGCAAGACCCTGTCTCAAAAATAATGATGATGATGATGATGGTGTTAGATGTGAGAAATAAAGGTTGCCACATTTTATTTGGGAAGCTCTACAATGACATGTTACTAGAATTATGGCTATAATTTTGGTCCTTTTCAGAAACCTGAATTCAGTTAAAGGCTGACTGGTTTTCCACCAAATAGATTGGCTCTTTCAATTTTTCAGGAGCTAAAGAATTAAGTCTATAGAAATAGTACTTTTGTAGTTTTATTAGCCCTATATGAAGTAATACCAAGCAAGTATGATGAACAAAGAGCAAGCACTCAAAAATACAAATGATTGGCTCATGCCTGTAGTTCAAGCACTTTAGGAGGCCGAGGCAGGCGGATTACCTGAGGGAGTTCGAGACCAGCCTGGCCAACATAGAGAAATGCCGTCTCTACTAAAAATACAAATTTAGCCGGGCGTGGTGGCATATGCCTGTAATCCCAGCTGCTCGGGAGGCGGAGGTTGCAGTGAGCCGAGATCGCGCCCTTGCACTTCAGCTTGGGCAACAAGAGTGAAACTGCATCTCAAAAAAAAAAAAAAAAAGAAAAAAAAAAGTGATTGGCCAGGCACAGTGGCTCACGCCTGTAATCCCAACATTTTGGGAGGCCAAGATGGGTTGATCACCTGAGGTCAGGAGTTCAAGACCAGCCTGGCCAACATGGCGAAACCCTGTCTCTACTAAAAATACAAAAATCAGCTGGGCATGGTGGCGGGCTCCTATAGTCCCAGCTACTCGGGAGACTGGGGCAGAATTGCTTGAACCTGGGAGGCAGAGGTTGCAGTGAGCCAAGATGGCACCACTACACTCCAGCCTGGGTGACAAGAGTGAAACTCTGTCTCAAAAAAAAAAAAAGAAAAGAAAAAAAAATACAGATGATTACACTCAGAAGAAAATATATTTATATCTTAAGCCAAACATAGTATTTTTTTTTTCATTCTCAGGCTTGATAACTAATTTAGAAATTTTTGCTGGGCATGGTGGCTCACGCCTGTAATCCCAGCACCTTGGGAGGCTGAGGTAGGCAGATCACTTGAAGCCAGGAGTTCAAGACTAGCCTGGGCAAAATGTCAAAACCCTGTCTCTACAAAAAATACAAAACTTAGCCGGGCATGGTGGCATGTGCTCGTGGTCCCTGCTACTTGGGAGGCTGAGGTAGGAGGACTGCTTGAGCCTGAGCCTGGGAGGTTGAGGCTGCAGTGAGCTATGATCGCACCACTGCACTCCAGCCTGGGCAACAGAGCGCGACCCTGTCTCAAAGAAAGAAACTTTTGTATTATTGATTTTTAAGTGACAGTTTATGATCTCCAAGAAAAAGAATAAATGTATCCAATGGAAGTTGTTTGAAGATAACTTTTTTGTAAGCAGCATTTCTGAAGACTACAGACCTGAACTAAGACCATAACCCATTTGTCCAAGTGAGATCTGATAAATGCCTGGCAGTGTGCTTTGCCCACAGACATCAGCTGCGTTCATCACACTTGAGCAGGGAGAGACCTAGCTAATCTCTCAGACAAGCAACAGTGACTGTGCTGTCTATGTTTAGGGTTGTCAGCTGAAACAGCAGAAGTGGAGGTTCTTCACTGGGAAAAGAAACATTCTGGACACAAGTATAATCCTCATTAGCTTCATCCTCCTGGGGCTTGACATGAAGAGTATTTCTCTACATAAGAAAAACATGGCACGATACCGCGATGACCAGGACAGGTGAGAGGAAGCCTGAGGGGCACAGCATATTCCTACCTCATGTCTAAAGTTTCCTGTTTATACACAAGTATTCTTCAAACTCCCCTACCAGATCTGTATTTGCATAACATTAGAGTTAAAAGAGAACTTGGACTCATGTCCACAGCAGAGAAGACAGTGAACTAGAAGCCATTTAACTGCTAGTCACATTGAAGAGCTCTTCTGCCTTCATTAGTGCTTAGGTATGTGCTTAAGGATAATGCATTTAAATTTCAGAAGGGCCTGGAATTGGTCATTATTTTGCCCTCTGGCGAAGGCATAAAGCCTAACGCACGACAAATAATCCTTTAAATAAAACCACAACACATAGTCCCATCCTTTAAATGCAAAGGGAGCTGCTTTCTGGGTAGGGATGTTCATCTATTCACTCATCCATACTAAGAGATTTTTGGTGCCTCTTTGGGCACCTTCTCTGGTTTTTCCCATGGAGAGGAACATCTATGTTTCCCATGCCAAGTGTTGCCAAGTGGTGCTTTGCTAACCTTTGCATCAGTGGCCAACAGCCTGGGTGGTGATCTGTGTAACTTTTCCTGAGGCATTGTTTCAAGTAGGCCTTATGGAGAGCAGTTTATGCAGTGACAGCGGATCTGTGCAGAGTGCCACTTGCTAGTGTCTGTGGGGCTCCTTCCAAGTAACCTGGTTGCTGCAACCTAAAATTATGAATGTCTCTCTCTCAAAACAAAACCTAATTGCTAAGCAACACCCCTCGCCTCTAGTCTACCACCCATCATTTTGTTCTAAGCTTGATTGCACCTATTACAGCAATCCTGTACTGCCAGAGAACACAGGATTAGTGTGCCACAGAAAACAGACCAGCAGCATGGCTCCTCTCTCTGGGCTGAGTTAATCTCCTTTTGAGAGGAGAGATTTGGCTCAGAGCAGTGCAGGAGGCTGGTTTTGCTTCCCAGGATGAATTTGGAATAAAGAAATCAGCTAGAGGTCACATTTTAAGGCTTCTTCGGCACAGCTCCCAGTGCAATCTGCAGCAGGTAGATCACTTGAATAGTATGTGGCCTTCTGTTACTCCCATATCCACAACTCACAGGAGGCCACAATAGAAAGCAGTTCTCACATCAACAAGCATTTGACCTCACAGGACTCAGGGCTGCCACGATCAGCAGCAGGGGCGCTGGGGAAACTGCAGTATAGGCACATACTTCTTGCTGAGTAACTGTCAGCTTTCCTTGGTGCAGATTCATCAGCTTCTATGAGGCAGTAAAAGTGAACTCTGCTGCGACTCACCTTGTGGGCTTCCCGGTTCTCCTGGCAACTGTTCAGTTATGGAACCTGCTGCGTCATAGCCCCAGGCTGCGGGTCATCAGCAGGACACTGAGCCGAGCCTGGGACGAGGTGGTGGGCTTTCTGCTGATCATCCTAATCCTGCTGACAGGCTATGCCATTGCCGTAAGCCCCCACGTTGCTGTCTCTCCTTCTCCGTGTGCTGTGGTCTTGGAATCGCATCGCTTCCCATAGAAATGGTCACAACACAGAAACCCGAGGTGGTACAGTAGGAAAGCCGGGTTTAGATCTAGTTCCACACTTAACTGGTATGACTTAAACCCACATATTTTTCTCTAAAATGGGGATAAAACTTAGCTCACACGGTAATATAAAGGTCAAATAAACTTCTATGAAAACACTATGTTATTACAAAGGAAGTTTATGTATTCTTTGGGCATAATTTGGCCACAAGGAATTTCTGTTCCATTGCTTCTATGTTGGCCACATCCCCAAGCACCTCAGGATAGAAAGATGTGCGCTCGGCTTGCACTAACTGGCCTTTCTCCTTCTGTTCAGTTTAACCTGCTGTTTGGATGCAGCATCTCTGACTACCGGACATTTTTCAGCTCAGCAGTGACTGTTGTTGGTCTCCTGATGGGAATTTCTCACCAAGAGGAGGTAAAAATAATAATTTGTTTCCTCACAGAATTCAATATATTGAACAAGGAAAATTGGGGGGGTCCTTATGAAAACAGCCCCCTACTGTACACTGCACACTGGAAAAGGGGGAAAATTTCAGTCCTTTGCTCTACTGCTTTATGGTACTGCCTATGCATACAGCATTTACATGGCTGTTGCTTTCAGAAACCTGCCCTTTCCTAAGCACTCAGTCCCTCCTTCCTCACTTCTTGTGTCCTTAATCTTATTGGCAAAGGACACTGAGCCGAAGCTTGTGCTCTTGTGCTTGGCCAGATTAACAAGATTCTCTGCTTCTCAATGGCCCCTTGAAAGTGCATTAACAGGGTAGGGTAAGTTGGTTCAAGCCATGAGAGGCCAAGAAGGGGAGGACTGCTTGAGGCCAAGAATTTGAGACCAGCCTGGGCAACATAGAGACTTTGTCTCTACTAAAAATAAAAAATAAAAATTAGCCAGGTGTGGTGGCATGCACCTGTAGTCCTAGCCACTCAGGAGGCTGGAGGCTGAGGAGAGAGAATCCTGTGAGCCCAGGAGTTGGAAGCTGCAATAAGCCATGATCATGCCACTACACTCCAGACCCTATGTCTATTTAAATTAAAAAAAAAAAAAAAAAAAAAAAAAGGCCAGGTGCGGTGGCTCATGCCTATAATCCTAATACTTTGGGAAGCCGAAGCCAGCGGATCACTTTTGAGGTCAGGAGTTCAAGACCAGCCTGGCCAACATGGTGAAACCCCATCTCTAATAAAAACACAAAAATTAGCCTAGCCAGGCGTGGTGGTGCACACCTGTAATCCCAGCTCCTCAGGAGGTTGATGCAGGAGAATTGCCTTAACCTGGCAGGCGGAGGTTGCAGTGAGCTGAGATTGTGCCACTGCACTCCAGCCTGGGCAAGACAGTGAAACTGTCTCAAAAAAAAAAGTGACATAATGGAAGTGACAAAGAATTAGGAAGGTACAGTTCTAAGAGAAACTGCGTTATTTCTGTTGAGTTAATAACTACTCACTTCAGAGAGCCTATTATTTCCTCCCAGGAACTACCAACAGAAATCCCTGCCTTCCTCCTCAACATATAAAGTAGGAAACCCAAATGAGGCACTGGGCTCCAAACCCTGGTATGTAAAGGGTAGATATGACCAAGCAAGGAAAAACCTGCCATTTAAGCAGTGAAACTGGCAAGATTTTGATCATGGTTGATCATTCTAATGATCTAGAATTCCAAAATTACTAATTAAAATGGGTAGGTTCAGTTTCTAATGTTGTATCTGCAGGGTCTGCATCCACAGATTCAACCAATCCCAGAATGAAAATATTTGAAAGGTAACAATAAAATATAACACACATTTTAAAATACAGTAGAAGAGTCAGGCATGGTAGCATGTACCTGTAGTTCCTGTTACTTAGGAGGCCAAAGTGAAAAGATTGCTTGAGCTCAGGAGTGAGGATGCAATGAGCTATGATCATCCCACTGCCCTCTGAGCGAGACTGTCTCCCACAAAAAACCACAAACCGGTGTAACAACTATTTTACGTAGCAGTTCCACTATAAAGTACTAGAGGTAATCTAAAGTTTATTTCAAGTATAAGAGAGATGTATATAGGGTTTATGCAAATACTGTGCCATTTTTAAAAAGGGACTTTGAGCCGGGCACAGTAGCTCACGCCTGTAATCCCAGCACTCTAGAAGGCCAAGGTGGGGCTGATCACTTGAGGTCAGGAGTTCAAGACCAGCCTGGCCAACATGGTAAAATCCCGTCTCTACTAAAATACAAAAATTAGCCAGGCATGGTGGTGGGAACCTGTAATCCCAGCCACTCAGGAGACTGACTGAGGAGAATCGCTTGAACCTGGGAGGTGGAGGTTGCAGTGAGCCAAGATCACGCCACTGCACTCCAGCCGGGGTGAGAGCAAGACCATTTCAAAAAAAAAAAAAAAAAAAAAAAGTGGGGGAGAAGACACTTTCTTAACCTTTAGGGAAGCTTGCAATTAAAAAATAAAAATAAGGGACTTAAGCATCCTCAGATTTTGGTACCTGTGGGGGCCCTGGCGCCAATCTCTCTCAGATACTAAGGGACAACTGTAACTGCTGTTTTGGCTGACTAGGCTGTGTTCTGTTGTGGTTCTAGCTCCAATAACTAGGGGATGAGCCTTTGCCACTGCAGCACTTCGTATCCTAAAGCTGTGAAGGAAGTAATCAGAGTAACAAATTTTTGCTGACACCTCCTTTTGGGGATAAAAAAGGAACTTTTCTGCTTTGGATGTAATTGTACATAAAAATACAGTAAACATAAAGTAAAAAACATTAAAAAACAAATAGAGCAAACAAAAAATAAACAGTAAAATTGTACATAAAAATAAACTTATTGGAAATAAGTCTTGTATCACAAACTCAGAGATTGCCCACATTATCTGGTTGACCTGAAATTGTTATAATAATCATTTTTAAGTAGGTAAAACAGTTTGGTGCTTGAAAATATTTTGCCATATAGATTTCCATCAGGGTGGCATTGACTGTAATCAACCCCTCTGTTGGGATATTTTTAAACAGTGCCCTAGTGGCAACAATGAATGGGCCAATACCAAGGGAAAATAAATACCATTTGTTGAAAAAGAACATCTAAATTTTAAACAACAGTTTTTGTTATGGGAACCATTCCAATAAGCCCAGAACTTGATATTTATGTATGCAGAAAAGTAAAGAATGGCAGAACTCAATGCTTGTACCTTTAAAAATGACAATGGAAAAAAAAAAATACTAAAAAGCCAGTTTTCTGTGGCCAACCTGTTAACTTTTATTGGAATGCTCCTGTGTTTAGGGTTGTAGTTTCTTGATATGGCAGAGACAGTGTGCATTCTCATTTCTGGTATGCATTTAATCTTTCAGTGTTTGCTTACCCCCCTCCCACTTTTAGCTTCCATGATTAGATGTATTTTTTGCCAAAACTCATGTGACATTTGAATCATTTCCAATTCCACTGCAACTCACCTGTTTTCTTGTGAAAGCCCTGCAGTCACAATTATCTTAACCTCCTTAAAATGAGTCATTCCTGCTCTTCTGTCCATTTAAAAGTATTTTCCTTCTTATTATCTTTTGACTCTCTCCCTAAGTTTCCTTCGGATAAGCTTTTCTTCTGATAAGATCCCAAACACTAGCATATAGCTTATGTTTGTAAAGTATAAACTAAATTGTCAGTCACTGCAAGTGTTCTTATTGTTTTCCCAGGTTTTCGCTTTAGACCCAGTCCTGGGCACCTTTCTGATCCTCACCAGTGTCATCTTGATGGTACTTGTGGTAATTAATCTTTTCGTTTCGGCCATTCTCATGGCCTTTGGAAAAGAAAGAAAGTCGCTTAAGGTAGGTAACTAAAAGATAAACTAGCATGCTGTTATATCACTGGGAAAGCTCCACTGTAACTGCCCCTAAGATGACGGGCTGACATAATTTATAATGCACAGTATCATATTCCCTTTATTAGTTTCAAAAGCTCTGCCAGCTATCTTCCTAGGAAACCCAATTTATAAGACTACATAATATTCTATAGCCATTGTCCTATAAATAGTTGGCTCGCAACCATTAGTGGAAACACTCCAATGCCTGACTGCAAATTATTAAAGAAATAGTATCTTTACATTTACTAATTTTTTAAAAATCTTTGGTACTTTTTTTACTCCACTATTAGCAGTAATTTCAATTTTCTCACTTTTCTCTTTTTGTCTTCAATACTCAGAAAGAAGCTGCACTAATAGATACACTGCTACAGAAGCTCTCAAATTTGTTAGGAATCAGTTGGCCCCAAAAAACCTCATCTGAGCAAGCAGCCACGACAGCAGTGGGCAGTGACACTGAAGTTTTAGATGAACTACCTTAATCCTGTTATCTCCTACTTGGCTTAGTATTTATTAGCGTATTACTACTTATCTTTGCATGGCATAGCTTTAAAATTATAATATACTTTGTTTTTAATTCTGTAAGTTAGGAATCAAAATCCCCTTGGTCCCAAGTTCTTATGGATCTTGGCACTGTCAAGATAGGATTAACAATGCAAGAATACTACGAGACAAACTAGCTCTGCTGCCAAGCAGCAAGTAACAGAACTCACCACCCATGGCCCAGGATGGCTGCGGGAAATGAAGCAGTCAGAAGTGAGCTCACTGCAACTTACTAAAAATAAACATCCAAGGATGAGGCATGGCAGATGCGGAGCCCTGCCACTGAGGAAGACCAAGGAAATTCACAGATGCTATCTGGGCTATCTAAATACAGAGATCAAAATGAGCTCTGTACTGCTCCAGGAATCCTGAAACTAAGGGCTGGTTTACATGGATCACTTGGTTAAAATATTCTCCACTAAAATCCAGATTTATACTTCATCATCTGACCAAACAGTAGAGAAAGCAGGACACAGGATCTTTAACTTTATTAGCAGCTACTGAGCTACAGAATACAAACCAACTGAAAACATTAAAGAAAGGCTGCCTGAAACAAGTATGTACAGGTATACTACACAGAAGCAAAAGCTGTATCATCCAATCCCAAAGCCACCCCTGTGGGGAAGGATGACCTTAGCTATGGGCCAAAGGAGTAACAGAAGTTATGACATAAGAGTCCCATCCATCCAGGAAAGCAGTGAACAACTACAGCTGCATGGGCACCAAAAATTTTTCTGAGATTAGTTTTAAAGGTTCCATGAATCAAAGTTTTCAAATGAAAACAGGTACCCCTCTTTTCCTGTAGGCTTTCCAGCTCACTACCCAAAAGACTTGAGTACTTCTATTAAGGCAGCTGGAAGCCCACCCTAGGACTTGAATGGCACCTTGTCCTTTCTCTG
Organism: Homo sapiens; assembly: GCF_000001405.40. Taxonomy (NCBI): domain Eukaryota; kingdom Metazoa; phylum Chordata; class Mammalia; order Primates; family Hominidae; genus Homo; species Homo sapiens. The sequence goes on along the minus strand of NC_000016.10, from coordinate 71,928,577 downwards.
CCAGTAATGCAATCCAACACAATATGCTACAGGGAAAACAGAATTTCCACGGTGCCGCCCTCTGGTACAAGGGAAACAGCACGCAAAGCAAAAGGCCACAGAGGGCTCCCTGAGAATCCAGTACAACTAAGCGAGGCCTTCAACTGTCAAGACAAACTTTGCAACTGGATCCCGGTGGGACAGTGCCCTGCAGCGAGGAGTACTGTATATGCCAATGAGAGGGCCCAGCTTCCAGGAACCGTTACAATGGCGTCCCGAGTCATTTTCCCTCTCCCACTTGCATTCGAGAGTGAGAAAACACACAAGGTGGCCTTGATTCTCACTCACCACAATCCCCCTGTACAGAGGGGTCTGTTTCTAAGTCTGGAACCTCAACACGAGGCTGGGATGCTTCACAACGTGCTCTCTCCCACTGTCCAGCCATCTTTGGTGGTCTTCCCACAGTGCTTCCCCCATCCTCTCACACTCCTGTGGAGGGACCATGGGACGGGCCAGGAGGAAACCTGGGATCACTCTGACAGGAAACGGACAAGCACAGCTGCCAGGAGCCAGTTGCTCTGGCCTCAGTCTCCAATTGTTAGTCTCAGGATCAACAGAGAACTGGAAAGCAGCAGAATCTGGAGGAGCAGGAAGAGAGCCCAGAGGGAGTGTTGTGCTGAGTGACGGTTAACAGATGAAACAGAATTTCATGGAGATTCTTTGTTACAAGGAGAAATTGCTCAGTCTCAACTCCCAAAACGTGAAAGTTGCCTGGTTTAAGAGACCTATGTTTTCTTTTTCAGCTCTTCAAACCTCCGGGAAAGATCATCAAAGTCAATGTCTTCAGATGCTGAGGTGCTGGCACCAGCAGATGCAGTTGGTAGTGTGTCTGGCACAGATGGCAACTCTGGTAGGACAAAGTTGTCATAGTTATCTGCAGGTCTGGAAGGAAGCTTTGCAGAGGCTTCTGGCTTGGGTCCAGGACCTAATTAGGGCAAGGAGCACAACGTTACAAATACCAGAGAAATGACTCAGATCCCCTTTGGCAGTAAAAATAAAATGATCAAAACACAGGAGAAAACCTTAGTTCACAAACTTTTTTTTTTTTTTTTGAGACAGTCTCCCTCTGTCACCCAGGCTGGAGTGCAGTTGGCGTGATCTCAGCTCACTGCACCTCTGCCTCCTGGGTTCAGGCAATTCTCCTGCCTCAGCCTCCTGAGTAGCTGGGATTACAGGCGCATGCCACCACACCTGGCTAATTTTTGTATTTTTAGTAGAGAGAGGGTTTCACCAGGTTGGCCTTGAACTCTGATCTCAAGTGATCCACACACCTCAGCCTCCCAAAGTGCTGGATTACAGGTGTGAGCCACCGCATCTGGCTAAAAAAAAGTTAATTCTAGAGGCTAATAAACATTTGAATGACAGTTAATATCTACATTTTCTAATTAGGGTTGAATCCTGTTTTACTTTCCTGTGGTGAGAAAAAAGTTTAAGGGAAATCAAAGTGGGATACATGGGGCCACATCCACAGAGCAATCGACTGTTCCTTTTCATAAGGTCTGTTACTTTACCAACTAAGTCCAAGGAGTGATAATAGGATTCTGATAGAACAAACACTGCTTCCTTAAGAACCAACATTCTTTAGGGATTGGGGGCAAAGTTTTTTTAAAGGAATATAATGTCCAAGTTATTTTGTTATAATAGTCTGATCTGTATTTCCAGTCTTCCATCTAGTATTTTATATTAAGATCATGCCCCCACACACATCTACTGTATGTTTCCTTAAGTTCTAGATTCAGGAAAACTAAATTACAAAAAAATCAAAATAGTGCTCTGACTCTGGAGGGAAGGGCAGAGTTGACTGGCAACAAGGGAACTTTGAGGTAAGAGTAATGTTGTATACCTTGATCAGAGAGTGGAATTGTCTGTGTATACACTTAAAATGTATGGGTTTGCCGGGCGTGGTGGCTCACGCCTGTAATCCCAGCACTTTGGGAGGCCGATGTGGGCAGATCACAAGGTCAGGAGATCAAGACCATCCTGGCTAACATGGTGAAACCCCATCTCTACTAAAAATACAAAAAAAAATTAGCCAGGCGTGGTGGGGGATGCCTGTAGTCCCAGCTACTTGGGAGGTTGAGGCAGGAGAATGGCGTGAACCCGGGAGGTGGAGCTTGCAATGAGCCGAGATCACGCCACTGCATTCCAGCCTGGGTGACAGAGCAAGACTGCCTAAAAAAAAAAAAAACTATGAGTTTTTTTAAAATGTAAATTGTATCTCCATAAGACAACTGTCTAATATTATTTATATTCTTTTTAGACAAAGTCTCACTCTGTCGCCCAGGCTGGAGTGCAATGGCATAATCTTGGTTCACTACAACCTCCGCTTCCCGGGTTCAAGAGATTCTTCTGCCTCAGCTTCCCGAGTAGCTGGGATTACAGGCGCCTGCCACCACACCCAGCTAATTTGTGTATTTTTAGTAGAGACAGGGTTTCACCATGTTGACCAGCCTGGTCTTGAACACCTGACCTCAGGTGATCTGCCCACCTAGGCCTCCCAAGGTGCTGGGATTACAGGGGTGAGCCACCGCACCCGGCCTCTAATTTTAAAAGTATTCTTCCCTCTGGTTTTTGCTGGTAGGTATTATCTTAATTTTTGTTTTTTAAGACAGGGTCTCACTTTTGTCCCCCAGGCTGGAGTACAATGATCACTCACTGTAATCTTGAACTCCTGGGCTAAGAACGCCTCTTGAGTAGCTGTGACCACAAGTCCATACCACCAAGCTCAGATGGGTTTTTTAAAAATTTTTTGTGGAAACAAGGATCTTGCCCAGGCTGTTCTCAAACTCCTGGCCTCAAGTGATCCTCCTGCCTCAGCTTCCCAAAGTGCTTGGATTACAAATGTGAATCACCACACCTGGCCAGTACTTTTTTAATTGAGTGGTAGCTACATGAACATGATTGCTTTACAAAATTCACTGAGCTGGCCGGGCACGGTGGCTCATGCCTGTAATCTCAGCACTTTGGGAGGCTGAGGCAGGCGGATCACAAGGTCAGGAGTTCAAGACCAGCCTGACCAACGTGGTGAAACCCTGTCTCTACTAAAAATACAAAAATTAGCTGGGCGTGGTGGCGTGTGCCTATAATCCCAGCTACTCAAGAGGTGAGGCAGGAGAATAGCCTGAACCCGGGAGGCAGAGGTTGCAGTGAGCCAAGACTGTGCCACCACACTCCAGCCTGGGCAACAGAGCAAGACTCCGTCTCAAAAAAAAAAAAAAAAAATCAGCTGGGGGCAGTGGCTCATGTCTGTAATCCAAGCACTTTGGGAGGCCAAGGCAGGCGGATCTCACAAGGTCAGGAGATCGAGACCATCCTGGCTAACACGGTGAAACCCCGTCTCTACTAAAAATACAAAAAAATTAGCCAGGCATGGTGGCGGGCGCCTGTAGTCCCAGCTACTCAGGAGGCTGAGGCAGGAGAATGGCGTGAACCCGGGAGGCGGAGCTTGCAGTGAGCCAAGATCACAACACTGCACTCCAGCCTGGACAACAGAGCAAGACTCCATCTCAAAAAAAAAAAAAAAAAAATCACTGAGCTATCACTTAGGATTTGTACTTAGAAGCAGGATATCCTGAGTTCTATTTTAGCATTTGGGAAGAGAACAGGGCATGCAGATAGAAGTCCATGGACATGGAAACAGTCTCTAAGGGAGGAACAATAATGAGAAAACAGCAGAGGGTTCAGCACTGAGCTCTGCAGGTTTCTGATTGATACTACTCACCAACAATCTGTGCAGAAGAGATATTCTTATCAGCATTAATGTCATCTACCTGAAACACAAAGATTGTTACCAGAGGAGACAGCAATAGTGTCACTGGAGAAAGTACTGGTGTAAGCCCCTGTGTTTCCAAAAGTTAAGTTGCTCACCAAATGCAACAGAGCCTGTTCCAAAGAAACTGCCCCTGCATTTTTTCCAATCAGGTAGATACTATGTTGAACTCCTTTGATTTTGAGACAGGGTCTCCTGTCACCCAGGCTGGAGTGCAGTGATACAATCACGGCTCACCACAGCCTCCACTTCCTGGCCTCCAGCCATTGCCCCGCCTCAGCCTCCTGCATAGCTGGGACCACAGGCATGCAGCACTATGCCTGGCCAATTTTTGTATTTTGGGTAGAGACAGGGTTTCGCCATGTTGCCCAGGCTGGTCTCGAACGCCTGCCTAAGCCTCCCAAAGTGCTGGGATTACAGGCGTGAACCACCCCGCCCAGCCCCATGTTGAACTCTTAACTGCCAAGCAGAGAAAAAAAAATCCTTACCATACTAAGACAACTTTAATGATACTTTCACCTTTGGGCAAAGGGAAAGCATTCTTGAATATATCTTAAGAACCAAGTCCTCAAATACTGATGAAGATTTTCGACCTCATTCCTACCAACGGCTGTGGGTTATGTGACGCATGCAAAACCAAAGCATAAGAAAAACTCAGGCCCAAGGTAGAACACATCAGCTACAGATGGGAACCAAAGGAAAGAACAGAAAGCAAGCTCAGGAACAGGAAGATCTTCCTAGATGAGTAATTTACATAGCAAATGCCACACCAATTTGTTTCTCAGTAAAATACTAGATGGAGACAGGTCTCAAAAGGCCTACAGTAACTGAAGAAACAAGGCTGGTCAAAAACAAGTAACCTGAACCACCTACAGTTCGAGGTATTATATTAGCTATTCATTAGCAAATTTTAACTAGAATACTAAAATGTGAAATCAATGCTGTCGGCCGACATGTAACTGGACATTTCTGATTAAGATCAATCTGGTCACTCTTCCTTTACATGTGTTGAGAACACATAGGACTAATATTTTAATAATTATGATACTTTAGCACCACGATTGTATCAGCTCAGTGTGATTATCTGCCTAGTCGGTCAAAACAACTGGCTAAGTGCCCTCATAGAGCACTACAACTTTCTAAGAAATCTGCAGTTCCTTCCTGATTCCTGGCTTAATTGCAGACAAAGCATTGCCACCAATGATACTGCCATCACCACCCACTCCACATTTCCAGGGTAGTGTTATAAAGCAACACAAGAATCCCAAAGCAAAAATGATGACAGTACTAGGAGTTGATCAAAACTCTGCCTTCCCTGTGGTCATTATTTTGCTCGCTCTTCATGGCATTCACTCTCCTGTTGCTTATAAAAGAGGCTCAGGCACTTACAGATTCATACGATGGGGGAGTTGCTGGTATCTGAGGTGGATGAATATTGGGAAAGGCCTGATAAGTCCCCATTGGCAGTCCATTGAAATCTGACTGTAAGAGGAGAAAGGCAACATCAGAGACACTGCCTCCAGTTTGCAATCTCGAAGGTTTGGGTATGGGAAGGGAGAAAGAAATACATTTATATTCTCATACTAAATATATATAAATATTCAAGATCCTTAAAAATGCCCAAAAGGACCACATGTGGTCAGGATTCCAGATTTTTAAAGATCTAGAGCCAAAGGCTATTCTTTATTGAATCAAGTGCTTCAGTGTTTACAAGGGAAAACTCTAACGAGACTTTCTTACTACCAATGACCATCTTATCTACAAAGGTTGTTCTGCCTGGTAATAATTGGTGGTTTATTCATTTGTGGAAAAAACTACTAGTATGACTATAACAGATCCCAAAGATATTCAGTAAACCTATATGAAAAGTGTTTTTCTAGCACCAACTCTATAGATTTTCCTACAGCTGAACTAGAAGACCTTCTCTGAATCCAATGTGTTTTTTCCCCACAAGATGACTGCCAGCTAATACCAAATGTTCTTACTGCTAATGGCTCCTGACAACCTATGATTCCTGAGTGTGTTCACAGAGCCAACTTGTTATCTATAACATTTTCTAAAGCTTACATCCACACTTATATATACTTACTGGTCCCTTTGGCAGTGGATATGAGAAAGGCGTATTTGCAGATGGCATAGGCATGGGCATGGGCATGGGCATTGGCACCGTTCCATCAGGTCCACCAACTGGTGCTGTGAAGCCACCACTCCCTCCTCTTCCAGGGCCTCCTTTCTTCACATCATCTGTGAATCCAACATCAATAAGATCTGTCTCTACCCCAGGAGGAGCTTCTGCCTGAGAAAAAAAGAGAAACCCAGGTCATTAACCCATGTCCAAGGCCAGGTTCCCCAGAAAGCGGAGTCTGAGATGGAGATTAGCATAAAGCAAGTTTACTGGAGTGCTTCTGGGATCAACACCTGTGGGGGAAGAAAAGGCAGAGTTAGGTGGAAGGAGAAGTTGGGCTGCAACACAGTCACAACAAAGGCCTCAGCCAATTCCCCAATGACTTCTGCAGCTGGAATGGACCTGATGGTGTTTCCAACTGTGGGTAATAGGGATGTCTGAGCAGTACACACCAAAGCATCCACCACACCCCACTGACCTTAACTGGCGGATGGTTTTTTTTTTTGAGACGGAGTCTCACTCTGTCACCCAGACTGGAGTGCAGTGGCACAATCTTGGCTCACCACAAGCTCTTCCACCTCCTGGGTTCAAGCCATTCTCCTGCCTCAGCCTCCCGAGTAGCTGAGATTACAGGTGCCCACCACCACACCCAGCTAATTTTTTGTATTTTTAGTAGAGACAGGGTTTCACCGTGTTAGCCAGGATGGTCTCGATCTCCTGACCTTGTGATCCGCCTGCCTCGGCCTCCCAAAGTGCTGGGATTACAGGCGTGAGCCAGCCACCGCACCTGGCCAACTGGTGGATGATTTTTTATCCCTGTATCCTCAGCTTTCTGTGCACTATCAGACACATGGTGGGTACCCAATAAATGTTTCGGGAACTGTTTGGGTCTTGGGGCATTTCTTGCTATGAACAGGAGGTTTCTCAATTCCTGAAGTTCACCAAAAAGTAGCAATAATAGTGCCATTTTACATTTGTATCAAGGTTTTGACCTTCTCAAAGTGTTGTCATTCATCTAATTCCTTAAGTACCCTGTGAGATATGCAGGCACATTTATTGTCATAAAGGTACTAACTGGACAAAGGCTTAAACTCACACAAATTTAAGTTAGTGCAAAGAATGTTTTTTTTGTTTTCCAAAGAAGGTCATACCTACAAACTCATTTTTCTTTGTATTCTGGGATAAACTTACCATGACCACAGAGTCAGGTTCATAGGGTACGTTGTAATTCTTTGCAATTTCAATCAGGTATCTCTCCACCAGGATTTTGGGTGGGGCTTCCACACTCAGCTTGTGCATTAGCTGTAAGTAAAAAGACCCAGGGCTAAGATGCATGTATACCAACCAGCCTAATCCTCACCTCACTATGCGAAGTTAGCTCCTCTCATTTTACAGGTAATATTGAGGGAAAAAAAGGTTCAGAGCAGTTAAATGATTTTTTTCAGAGTCACAAGACACATCAGAGGACCCAAGTCTCTCTTTCACATTCTCATTACACATGACCCAGATGCTGGCAAAAGATGATACTGCTGCCTTCCACAGTTCAATTCATCCACCCTTCTCCCCACCTCACTTCCAACCTTCACAAATGACACGAGGCATACAAAGTGGGGAAGTGGAGTCAGGAATGACAGTAACCAGAGGAATTGGGCAGGTGTAAGGATTGGACCACACTGCCAGCCACACAGCTGTCCTCCTCACCCCACTATGAAAGGTGAAACCCCATACTGAGCAATACAGTGGTACCCACTAGAATTGCCACAAGCAGTACAATAAACTGCTCCCACACACTGCCTTCATGTTTACCAAGTATGTTCATTACCCTGTCATTCACAGTTCCAATCTGGTTGGTCCTACATAGCTTGCCATATTCCTTGCTATACTTGGCACAGAGCTGATCAGCAACCTAAAAAGAAAAAGGACAGCAAATAAAAATAGAGACCACTCCAACGGACTGCTTTAAGCTTCTTCCTGGCAACAGTAAACACGCGTCTATTACAAGATTTCCAAAACACTGGAGTCTGCAAAACCTTAAGGGGTATGCATTAATCCACTATTTGTTCATCCATCCATCCATCCATCCAATGAGCAGCACTCGAGTGCCAAACACTATCATGAGTATTATACAATATAAATAAAATGAACAAAACAGATACTGTTCTTACTCTTATAGAGTCTTACATTAATCAAATTGTACAAAGTAAAGTTTCCTCTTCAAAATTTCCCTTGTTAAAGAATAAATCATAAGTGTTAGAAATAAGCTTCTTTTAAAAGACTAACTTCCTTCAAGCCTCCTTGCTTTGTGCTAATAACTCTTTGTTAAGCCGTATCCTATGTAGCTGTTAAATATAAGAAATACATTCTATGTCCTTGTACTTTAACCAAGATATCTGTGCTAGATGTGCTCACAGGCAAGTCCCAGCTCGCAGCCTATGCCCCTTCCTTATTTGGGAATGTTAGTACTTTTCTAAGTCTTCTCATAAGCAAGTTCCTCTTTTCCTTTGTTCTCCCTTGCATATATCTATTTTAAAAACTTTTAAAACCTTTAGCCAAACGGGTGTAGCCCAGACTGTGAGGTCCAGTTCCAGCCAATGGAATCAGGACACAGCAGTAGGGTCCAGATGTGTAGGATATAAATATTTTTACCCCCTTTGTTCAGTGTGCGCTCGCCATTGTTCCATCTGCAAGGAGCACCCTTTCTGCAGAAGGTAAAAATTGCCTTGCTGAAATAAATTTATATTTGAGTGCTATTTCTCTGTGGCACTGGGGAACAAGCATTTCTAACAAAATAATCACACAGATAAAGGTACAACTGCAACTACAGTAAGTGATACCAAGGGAAGGTGCACCATGCTATCACCAGCTTCTAACAGCAGAATCAAATCTGATCAGAAAAGTCAGGTAAGGCTTCCTGAGGGAAGTGATGCTTTGCTGAGATTTAAAGGATGACTAAGGCCAGGCATCGTGGCTCATGCCTGTAATCCCAACACTTTGTGAGGCTGAGGCAGGCTGATCACTTGAGTTCAGGTGTTCAAGACCAGCCTGGGCAACGCAGCAAAACCCTAGTCTCTATTTTTAAAAGATACAAAAATTAGCTGGGCATGGTGGCACGCACCTCTTGTCTCAGCTACTCAGGGGGCTGAGGTGGGAGGATGATCAGTTGAGCCCAGGAAGCCGAGGCTGCAGTGAGGCAAGATCGTGCCACTGCACTCCAGCCTGGGTGACAGATCAAGACCGTCTCAAATAATAAATTAAAGGATGACTAGGAGTTAACTAAATAGGGAAGGAAGCACATTCCAGGAAAAGAAAACAGCAGTGCAAAGGCCTCTGGCAGAAACAAACATGGTCAGTTCTCAAGCCTGCAATCAGCCAGTGAGCCTCTAGTGCAGAGGCCAAGGAGTGTGGTAAGAAATGAAAAAGGGAAGTGGGAGCCAGACAATGCAGGACCATGTAGGCTGTATCAGGGAGTTTTGTTTCTATCACAAGAGCAACAGAAAGCTACTAATGGGCTTTAAAGCAAGAGGTCGTGACAGGATCGGAGCTGTGTTTTGGACAAAACCCTCAGGTGGTTCTGATGGAATGGTGTGAATAGATTAAAAGAAGCCAAAGTAGGAATAGGAAGAATATTCAAGAAGCTACTCTCATTTCCAGACAGGAAACGACAGTAGCATTGGACCAGAGTGGTCCCAACATTCCAGAAGCCCAGTAGGAGAGTTCTCACTGTTCATTATGAAGACTTTCAGGGGTACCTGACACCTATGATATAAATGGCATTTGTCTTTTATGGTTTTTGTTTTGGCTGGTTTATACTACACAGAGATTTTTTTATTCACATTAATTTATCACTCTGTTTATGGCTTTTGAGTTTTGTAACATATTTAAGCCTTTTCCAAAATTAATTTTAAAGGAGTACAGAAGAGACCAAAAACGGCTCAACATGGTGGCTCACGCCTGTAATCCCAACACTTTGGGAGGCCGAGGCAGGCGGATCACGAGGTCAGGAGTTCGAGACCAGCCTGGTCAACATGATGAAATCCCGTCTCTACCAAAAATACAAAAAATTAGCTGGGCATGGTGGCGGGCACCTGTAATCCCAGCTACTAAGGACGATGAGGCAAAAGAATCGCTTCAACCCAGGAGGCAGAGGTTGCAGTGAGCCAAAATTGTACCACTGCACTCCAGCCCAGGCAACACTGCAAGACTCCATCTCAAAAAAAAAAAAAAAAAGCCTACATAAGAATCAGTTGCCTCTACTGTCCCTCTTCTCTGCCCACAAAACTCAATTACTATCCCTGGTACCCTATTGGACTATTGGAAGTTTATTCTCTGGGGGGAGTTAACTAAAGCGACTCGAGTCTACACACAGGAGACAACAGTGATACTTACAACAGAAGAATTAAGTGTAAGTCTTCTATGTATCAAATAGATTTTTGGCTTCCTTCTCCACTGGGCTCTCAGAAATGCTGGCAGCCAGCTTATACACTCGACAGAAGATAGGAGGATTCTGGAGAAAACGACCAACCCAAGGAAAGATGACTAGTTCCTCACAGTCTGGAATTCCTCCAAATAAGAGCTTAACCAGATCACTCAGCAATGAAGGCATCTGGCAGTAAAAACCCACCCATGCACACGAGAGGTTCCAATCTCCTTTTTAGTGCCTCACTCTTAAATGTAAACCGACAGCCAAGGACCACTAAATCTTTGGAAAGCCTCTACTATAAAACTAAGAAATAGGAAAAATGAACTTGAGAGAAACAAACATGACAGACGTTTAAAAATAAACCATAATTAATATCCTCAGAGACTTAGAAAAAATTGTAGCCATGAAACAAACCATAAAAAATATTCAGAGAATTAAAAAGAGCTCTTGAAAAAAACCTAGAAAAGAAGGAAATCTCAGTAGATGGGTTGAGAGATAAGAATGACACAGTCTCCTAGGAAATAAAACAGAAAGGCAAAGATGTAGAAAATAGAAAACAACACAACTGAATTTGTATCCTAGGAGTCAGTACCATATCCATGTTGTGATGTGCAATTTTCTGGTTAATGTCTGTCTCTTCTGCTAGACTCTAAGCTACAGGAGTATGGCTGGTGCCATATTTTGTTCACCACTGTTACCCCCAGCACTTACATAGCTCATACAATTTATTTAATAAATATTTGTGGAATTAATAAATAAAGCAAAAACATCTGTCACCTTAATGTTATTTTAACTTTACTGGTTTACAGTTGTATAAGAACTTTTCTATTTGCATAGAGTTAAATAACATTAAGACAAAACTGGAGATACACAAAACTTTGCTCCTTAAAAAAACTGCTCAAGTTTGCAAAACACTGTTCTATTCTACGATATAAGGCTGAAAGGGAGAAACAAATTTACAAAACCTATTTCAAAAGCAACATAAGAATGGTACAAAATATCTGGTCAAATCAGCAGAAGTAACTTATATTAACCAACCTTTCTAACAATATGAAAAGCTACAGACATCACTGAAACTACTTGTACTCACTATTTTCAACTCAGCCACTTCTGACTGGAGTCGAGGAGCAGCCCAGATCAATGTAGACACAGATTCAGCCAGACCAGAATCTAGTTCCCTAATCAAGGAAAAAAATTAATATAACATTCTTTAAAACAAACCAACAAAATCCTAGCTTTTGTTTCATATACTTTATAGCCTCCAAAGCCATTCTGTGAATCTCACTAGATTCTCACAATAACTCTAGGCTTCTAGCCATTTTCGTGATCTTATTTTACTTTTGGAGGAACTCAAAACTAGGCAACAAGCTCAAGGCCATGAACTCGGAAAATGGTCGAGCCAAGATTCAAATTTAGGCTTCTCAGTTTCAGATTCTGTATTTTCTTTTTAACAGGCCTTTCAGCAACTGTTAGGCAGCAGATCCTTGGGCATGTGAAATAGTCCCTTAATGCAGAAAGAGATCATATTACTCCTTTCTCAAATTCCAGAAATGATTTAGGTCTCTGAATCAAAATATCTTACTTCATAGACTGGATAAGGCCAAACCGAGCCAGCAGCAGGTCACAGTACAGCTCCAGGATCTCCATGGCCTCCACGAGGTAGTCTTCCCGGATAATGTGCTCCACACGGATCCGAGCTCGTTCATCTTTCCCAGCAGCCAGATAGTCAGCAATCTCCTTCCTTGCTTTCTGGGCCAGTTCCGCTAAGACACAAATCCCACTCCGATCTCACAGCAGTAGAGCACTTGCATCTGGCCTACAGGCCAATCTCCCCCCAACAGGAAGAACTGGGTGTTTCTACTATATCCTAGCTCCTCTCCTTTAGCAAATCTAATCCCATCCCCTCTACTGTAGAATTTGCTACTCTGTCTAGGTGAGAAAATATAGCTCATGTGGCTTGACATTTCCAACTCAAGAGTCAGGTGACCTAATGCCACAACAACAGAGTATGTCCCTTTCTCTGCAAAAAAGGTACTCAGTCTAAAAGTCACAAAGGGCAGAAATGGATCCAAAGCTTAAAAGATATGATCCCAGGGCGGGCATGGTAGCTCACGCCTGTAATCCCAGCACTTTGGGAGGCTGAGGCAGGCAGATGACTTTGAGGTCATGAGTGCAAGACCAGCCTGGCCAACGTGGTGAAATCCCGTCTCTACTAAAAACATGAAAATTAGCCAGGTGTGGTGGCACACACCTGTAATCCCAGCTACTTGGGAGGCTGAGGCACAAGAATCACTTGAACCCACGAGATGGAGGTTGCAGTGAGCCGAGATCACACCACTGCACTCCATCCTGGGCGACAGAGTGAGACCCTGTCTCAACAAAAACAACAAAAAAAAATATGATCCCTAAGACTTCATAGTACTGGCCTGAAAGACCCATTACTGGGGTGCTAGTATCCAGTGATTTATTTTTGGGGAAAAAAAGTACACTACTCACTTTTCTTTTTCTCCAATAGTTTAAGGCGATTTATGACTAATCTCAAATTCACTCTTAAGCGCTCAGCTTTAAATCCAGAGCCCAGCATGCTGTGCTGTTCCTCCTAGAAACAGAAGAAGCACAATGACTATTTTCAAGTCAACATTAGTTCAGGAACTAACACCTCTTAGGGGTGAATTATGTGAAACAAAAACAGAGTGTTTTTCTAATACAGGAAAATGACATGATCTAATTCACATTTTTTACAGATTGTTTTGGCTGTTGTAAAAAAAACTGATTGGGGAAGGATAATACTGGAAGCAGGAAGACCAATGGGAAGGCTATTATTATCATCCAGACAAGAGATGGTAATAGCTCAGACTAGGGTGGTTAGCAGTGTCAGCAACTGGATTTGAAATCTACTTTAAAGGCACAGCTGAAAGAATTTGGTGACAGATGAAATTAATACCTAGATATTGGCATGGGGGTGGTGTGATAAAAAGATAAAGAAGCAGAAGGGCTCCCTGCTTCTCCCAAAAAAATCTCAACAGGGATGGCAATGGGGGAAGATGATTAAATTTAGACCCATAATTGAAAATATTTTCATCTTAACTCCCCAAATCCTGCCAACAAGTCTCAGTTTTTGGGGAAAAGCTAGTACCCAAGAGTACAGAAATATCATTGACATCTACTCACATACAGGGTTACACAAAGGGGTGAAAAGTCCAAGGAAAACACTGCTCTACAAAATTCTACAACAGAAGGCTCTTTACCAGGAATTTCACTGAATAGCAGAGTTACAGTAAACAAAACCACCCGTCCTCTACCCGCAAGACTTTAGGGTATACCATTGTGCACTGACCACTGTGCATTCTATTTCAAAACAGCACAATTTCTATTTCTCTAAATTTAAATTCTGGACTCAAACTTAAAAACATGTAATATCCAAACAAAAGATAGGTCAAACAAAGTAACTGAAGAACAGACAAATCAAAAGAGCACCAAAGAAAGAAAGAGCAGTAGGAATAGTACTTGTCTACTAGTGAATTAACCACTAATAAAAAACATCAGATGTGTTTTCCTTTTGTAAAATTGCCCCCAAAAGCCTTTCTTTACCCTACATTTAAGAATTAACCTAAGTCCCAGGTTAAAATGGGGCATTTATGTCATCAAGTATCTGGAATCCAGTAATTAAATTATGTTCAATCCATGCAATAAGTATTTACTGATTACCTGTATGTGAGACATTGGCTTGATGGAGATAAAAAGCATAAATTAAGGTACACTCCTTGCTGGGTGCGGCGGCTCACATCTGTAATCCTAGCACTTTGGGAGGCCGAGGTGGGCAGATCATGAGGTCAGGAGATGGAGACCATCCTGGCCAACATGGTGAAACCCCATCTCTACTAAAAATACAAAAAAAATTAGCTGGGCGTGGTGACGCACACCTGTAGTCCCAGCTACTCGGGAGACTGAGACAGGAGAATCGCTTGAACCCGGGAGGTGGAGGTTGCAGTGAGCCAAGATCGTGCACTCCCGCCTGGAGGAACAAGACTCTGTCTCAAAAAAAAAAAAAAAAGGTACAACCCCTGTCCTCAAATGAACCTGTATTCTACTGGAAAAACAACAAACAACAAAAACCAGCCGGGCGCAGTGGCTCACGCCTGTAATCCCAGCACTTTGGGAGGCCTAGGTGGGTGGATCACCTGAGGTCGGGAGTTCGAGATCAGCCTGACCAACACGGAGAAACCCCATCTCTACTAAAAATACAAAATTAGCCAGGCGTGGTGGCGCATGCCTGTAATCCCAGCTACTCCGGAGGCTGAGGCAGGAGAATTGCTTTAACCCAGGAGGCGGAGTTTGCAGTGAGCTGAGATCACACCATTGCACTCCAGCCTGGGCAACAAGAGTGAAACTCCGTATCCAAAAATAAAAAGCTAAATAGTAGGGTGTGAGTGTGGTGGCTTATGTCTGTAATCCCAGTCCTTTGGGAGGCCAAGGTGGGAGGACTGCTTGAGCCCATGAGTTCAAGACGAGCCTAGGCAACATGGAGAAACCCCATCTTTACAAAAAATACAAAAATTAGCCGGGCGTGGTGGCATGCACCTGTGGTCCCAGCTACTCGGGAGGCTGAGCCGGGAGGATTGCTGGAGTCCCAGAAGCAGAGGCTGTGGTGAGCCAAGATCACACCACAGTATTCCAGGCTAGGTGAGAGAGCAAGACTCTGTCTCAAAAACAAACAAACAAAAACCAAGAGCTAATTGCATGTAAATGACTCCTGTAACTCAATAACAACAACCTGATTAAAAACTGGGCAAAATACTTGAAGATATTTCTCCAAAAATGATATACAAGTGGTCAATAAGCATATCAAAAGTGCCAATATCATTAATATCTAGAGAAAGGCAAAATGAAATCACAATGAGATACCACCTCACACCCATTAGGATGGCTACTATCAAAAAAAAAAAGAAAATTTCAAGTACTGATGAGGCTGTGGAGAAAATGGAACCCTTGTGCACTGTTGGTGGGATTGCAAAACGGTACAACCATTATGGAAAGACAGTATGGCGGTTCCTCAAAAATTAAAATTAAAAATGGAACTACCACATAATCTAGAAATCCCACTTCTGGTATATATCCAAAAGAACGGAAAGCAGAACTTTAAAGAGCTATTTGCATACCTATGTTCCCAGCAGCATTATTCACAATGGCCAAGAGGTGGAGGCAACCCAAATGGCCACTGAGGGATTCATGGATAAACAAAATGTGGTCTACACATACAACAGAGTACTAATCAGCCTTAGAAAGGAAAGGAAATCCTACCCATCACATGCTACAACATGGATGAAATTTGAGGACATCATGGTAAGTGAAATAAGCCAGTCACGAAAAACAAATACTGTAAGATTCTGCTTTTGTGAGGTATCTAAAATTCAGAGAAACAGAAAGTAGAATGGTGGTTACCAGGGTCCGGGAGTAGGGGGAAACAGGGAATTGTTTAATGAGTACAGAGTTTCAGTTTTGAAAGATGAAAGTTTATGGAGATCTGTTGCACAACGATGTGAGTACACACTACTGAACTCTACACTTAGAAACAGGCAAGTTGGTAAATTGTCATGTTGCCATGTGTTCTTCACCACAGTTAAATTTTTAATTCTCAAGAGCTAAAATAAAACTATTAACATAGGATAAACATAAAAGAATATTTTAGGCCGGGCGCGGTGGCTCACACCTGTAATCCCAGTACTTTGGGAGGCCGAGGTGGGCAGATCACGAAGTCAGGAGATCGAGACCATCCTGGCTAACACGGTGAAACCCCGTCTCCACTAAAAATACAAAAAATTAGCCAGGCATGGTGGCGGGCGCCTGTAGTCCCAGCTTCTCAGGAGGCTGAGGCAAGAGAATGGCGTGAACCCAGGAGGCGGAGCTTGCAGTAAGCTGAGACCGCGCCACCGCACTCCAGCCTGAGTGACAGAGCGAGATTCCGTCTCAAAAAAAAAATTTTTATAATGGAGACAGAACAGGCCTTTTTAAGAAGAGACATAAAATTATTTTGTATGGAAAAATTACCTAAACTATAAAAAAATTAAAAGGTAAGCAATATTTGGGGGGAAATCTGCAATGGAGATTATTCTAAACTTGATCATGATGATGAGTGAGAAAACTGGTGCATTCTCAAACTCCTGCTGGAAACGTAAATTGGCACCACCTCTCAAGGTCACTCTTTCAAACTTCCAAGTTTGGCCGGGAGTAGTGGCTCACACCTGTAATCCCAACACTTTGGGAGGCAGAGACTTGAGCTCAGGAGTGAGACCAGCCCGGGCAACATGGTGAAACTCCAACTGTACCAAAACTACAAAAATTCGCCATGGCATGGTGGTGCGAGCCTGTAGTTCCAGCTACTCCGGAGGCAGGAGTGGGAGGATCACTGGAGCCTGGGAAGTCAAGGCTAACGTGAGCCATTACTGTGCCACTGCACTCCAGCCTGGGCAACAGAGCAAAACCCTGTCTCAAAAAAAAAAAAAAAAAAAAAAAATCGAAGTTTAAATGTCTATCCTGAAGAACAGTTCACATTCACATGTATACAGAGGGGAACATACAATGATAAAATCATCTAAATTCCACCAATTAGAAACTGATTAAATTAAGACACATCTATTTTATGGGATACATGGCAGTAGTTTTGTTTTGTTTTTTGGTGTTTTGTTTGTTTTTGAGACAATCTTCACTTTGTCGCCCAGGCTGGAGTGCAGTGCTGTGATCTTAGCTCACTGCAACCCCTGCCTCCCAAGTTCAAGCAATTCTCTTGCCTCAGCCTCCGGAGTGTCTGGGATTACAGGCGTGAACCACCACACCTGGCTGAACTTTGTATAGCAATAGTTTTTTTTAAAAAAAGGTAACGTAGCATTCTAAAACATTTTAGCACAAAGCAAGCACTCAGATAATAACTGCCGAACAAATGAAAGGGAGGAGCTCCAAGATGTGTTACTTTTATTGTTTTGTTTTTGACGTAAGAGTCTCACTCTCACCCAGGCTGGAGTGCAGTGGTGCAATCACCGCTCACTGCAACCTCTGCCTCCTGGGTTTAAGCTATTCTCCTGCCTCAGCCTCCCAAGTAACTGAGATTATAGGCACACACCACCACGCCTAGCTAATTTTTTGTATTTTTAGTAGAGACGGGGTTTCACCATGTTGGACACGCTGGTCTTGAACTCCTGACCTCAAGTGATCCACCCACCTCAGCCTCCCAATGTTTTTTTTGTTTGTTTTTAAATCAAGCTGAAAAGTAGCATACACATTATAATACTACTTTATACACATATATAAATGCATGGAGAAGGGGCCTATAAAAACAGGTATTAACATTTTAATGGTGTTAACTCTGGAAAGTAGAGCTGAAGGGAAGCCTCAGTATTTTCTCTTTTATACTCCAAATTGATGAATATTTACAAAAATGTATTCACATATACTTGAGTAAGAATATTTCTATTAATACATAACCACCCTTGCCCTTATGAAGTACAGTAGTACCCCCTTATCCAAGGGTTACGTTTCAAGACCCTAGTGGATGCCTGAAATCGCAGATCATACCGAATCCTATACATAGTACCTTTTTTTCTTTTTTTTCTTTTTTTTTTTTTGAGACAGAGTCTTGCTCTGTCACCCAGGCTGGAGTGCAGCGGCACAATCTCGGCCCACTGCAAGCTCCGCCTCCCAGGTTCACGCCATTCTCCTGCCTCAGCCTCCCGAGTAGCTGGGACTACGGGCGCCCGCCACCACACCCAGCTAATTTTTTATATTTTTAGTAGAGACGGGGTTTCACCGTGTTAGCCAGGATGGTCTCGATCTCCTGACTTTGTAATCCGCCTGCCTCGGCCTCCCAAAGTACTGGGATTACAGACTTGAGCCTCCACACCTGGCCAGTACCATGTTTTTCAATCTGATATCCAAGAGGGCTAAGTGACTAATGGGCAGGTAGCATACACAGCGTGGATATGCTGGACAAAGGGGTAATTCACATCCCAGGTGGGATGAGCAGGATGGCACGAGATTTCATCAAACTACTCAGAATGACACACAATTTAAAATGTATGAACTGTTTATTCCTGCAATTTTAGACCACACTTGACCAAAGTAGCTGAAACCCCAGACAATGAAAACATGGATAAGGGAGGACTGCTGTACATCAAGGCCTTTTAATATATAACCAAGATAACAAATCAACTCCCACACAATTTATTTTTATCAGTAGTGACTGAAATTAGAAGACATTAACCTAAGGAACATTATCCAACTTGCCGTTAAATTACTCAATATACCCATGATTAATAAGGTAATTAGGTTTAAAAAGGTACAAAAAATATTCCTGAGTATGGCTCTATCATGGGTCCTACAAAGATCTTGCCCTTAGTAGACAACTACTCCAGCTTAAACACGGATACACCAAACTTGTCAAGTAAACAGTGACATTTCTAAGAGAAGGATAACCTAAGGCGTTATTCTCGAGTTTTCATTTACTATTTTGTATAATCCTAGAAGTGAACATGTTAACAAAGATAAGATTATACCTGCCAGACTGGCAAAAATTAGAAGTAGACTTTCAAATACTGGCCAATATAAATGTATAAACTGATATGATCATTTTAGACACTAATTTGGCAGTATTTAATGAAAAGTATGCTTTAATGAAAGGTACCCATATACCTTAAGACACAGCAATTCCATTCCTGGACACGCACCACCACAGAAATTTGTACACAGCACCATGAAGACGCATGTATGCATTTTGTGGTAGTAAGGAAGTAGAAGAATGCTAAGTGTTCATTTCAAGAGGACAAATGAGGCCAAGTACGGTGGTCCATGCCTATAATCCCAGCAGTTTGGGAGGTCCGGGCAGGAGGATCGCTTGAGGCCGGTGTTCAAGAACAGCCTGGGCAACATGGCAAGACCCTCTCTACAGAATATTTAGAAATTAGCTGGCTGTGGGGGTGCACGCCTGTAGTCCTAGCTACTTGCAAGGGTGAGGTGGGAGGCTCACTTGCACCCAGGAGGTCAAGTCAAGGAGGCAACAGAGAGCTATGTTCATGACACTGCACTCCAGGCCTGGGTGACAGAGTGAGACCCTGTATCCAAAAAAAAAAAAAAAAAAAAGACAAACAAAATTTGACAAAAACATGACAGAATACTATGCAGCAGACAAAATTAAACAGCTGTACTTAAAGCAACATGGATGGTCCTTAAAAATAGAAACAAAAGATGTAAGGAACAGGGTTCTAGGTTCAGTGTCTCTTTCACTGAATGAAGCTGTAAAACCTGAACAGAATGCATGTAGCAGCTATCTGAGAACTATGAAAAATAATAGCAGATGGATGAAGAAGACCACAATTTGAAGTACCAATAAACTGGCGGCGAGTTTATCATTTTTCCCTCTGATGTTCCCCAGCCTGGATGCACAGCAGGCTGAAACCCGGAAATGAGCATCAGCAGAGAGAAAGAGCATCAAGAGCTCTCTAGTCCTGGCTTGAGGAACTAGAAAGGGGACCGCTGGTATAGACAGAAAGTGGGTGATACTCACTGGGAAAATCTCAACTCACACATCAACCTGAGACAACACCAATGTTGGAATTAACTGACAAAGACTTTAAAGCAGCTACTATAAAAATGCTGGCTGGGTGCAGTGGCTCACACCTGTAATCCCAACACTGTGGGAGGCCAAGGCGGGTGGTATTCGAGACCAGCCTGGCCAACATGGTGAAACTCTTCTATGAAAAATACAAAAATTATCCGGGCGTGGTGGCACACGCCTGTAGTCCCAGCTACTCAAGGGGCTGAGGCAGGAGAATCGCTTGAACTGGGGAGGCGGAGGTTGCAGTGAGCCGAGATCGTGCCATTGCACTCCAGCCTGGGCGACAGAGCAAGACTGTCTCCAAAAAAAAAAAAAAAAAAAAAAGCTACAACGAGTAAGGGAAATTTCTCTTGAATGGAAAGATTAAAAAGTAAAGACAGGCCAGGCGCAGTGGCTCACGCCTCTAATCCCAGCACTTTGGGAGGCAGAGGCGGGTGGATCGTGAGGTCAGGAGTTCAAGACCAGCCTGGCTAACATGATGAAACCCCATCTCTACTCAAAATACAAAAATTAGCTTGGTGTGGTGGCACGTGCCTGTAGTCCCAGCTTCTCAGGAGGCTGAGGCAGAGAACTGCTTGAACCCGGGAGGCGGACGGTGAAGTGGACTGAGATCACACCACTGCACTCCAGCTGGGCAACAGAGCGAGACTCCGTCTCAAAAAAAAAGTAAAGACATAAAGAGGAGACAAATCTCAGAACTAATCCTTGCTTCTCAGGGGGCTGAGGCAGGAGGACTGCTTGAGTCTAGTTTAGTTGACTAGCCTGAGCAATATGGTAAGATCCTGTCTCAAAATAAAAATAAAAACAAAATCTTAGAATAAAAAATTACAAACCAAAGAAAGAAACTGTATGGACTAAACACCAGAATGGGAAATGACAGAGAAAAGAGCCAGGACACTTGTAGGTAAGTCAATAGAAAGTATCTAATCTGAAAAAAAGAGAGAAAAAAATTGAAAACAGTGAACAAAGCCTTACAGATCTGTAGGACAACAGCAAGGGGTCTTAATGTCTTAATGACAGTTGGGTCATTAAATCCTATAAGGGGGCCAGGCGCAGTGGCTCACGCCTGTAATCCCAGCACTTTGGGAAGCCGAGGCGGGCGGATCACGAGGTCAAAAGATCGAAACCACCCTGGCCAACACAGTGAAACCCCGTCTCTACTAAAAATGCAAAAAATTAGCCGGGCGTGGTGGCGGGTGCCTATAGTCCCAGCTACTCGGGAGGCTGAGGCAGGAGAATGGCATGAACCCAGGAGGCGAAGCTTGCAGTGAGCGGAGATCGCACCACTGCACTCCAGCATGGGCGACAGAGAGAGAGACTGTCTCAAAAAAAAAAAAAAATCCCATAAGGATAGGAGAAAGAGTATTTTTATTCTTTAAAAACATTATTTAAAATATGGCCTTTCTCAGATCTCGATTTAAAAAAAAAAAAAAGAAAGAAAAAATACTGCCTGAAAACTTCCCAAATTTAGCAAAACATATTAACTCTACAGACTCCAAAAGCTTAGCAAACTTGAATCAGACAAAATACAAAGAAATTCATGTCCAGACTCATAATCAAACTGCTAAAACCCAAAGACAATTTTTTTTTTGAGACGGAGTCTCACTCTGTTACCCAGGCTGGAGTGTAGTGGCACGATCTCTGCTCACTCCAACTTCTGCCTTCCAGGTTCAAGTGATTCCCCTGCCTCAGCCTCCCAAGTAGCTGGGACTACAGGCATGAGACAACCGTACCCAGCTGACAATTTTTTAAAATATTGAAAGCAGTCTGGGAAAAACGATGCATTACCTACAAGGGACCTATTAAATGACTGTAGATTTCACTTCAGAAACCAGGGAGACCAAAAGGAAGCGAAACAACGTTTTTAAAGTGCTGAAAAAAAAGAACTGTCAACTTAAAATTATATATCCAGGGAAAATATCCCTCAAAAATAAAGTCATTCTCAGATGAGGGAAAACTAGTAAGAGAATTTGTCACCAGTAGACCTGATCTAAAAGAATTGCGGGCCAGGTCTGGTGGCTCACACCTGGTAATCTCAGCACTTTGGGAGGCCAAGTCAGGTGGGATCACCTGGGGTCAGGAGTTTGAGACCAGCCTGGCCAACATGGTGAAACCCCGTCTCTACGAAAAAAAAAAATACAAAAAATTAGCTGGGCGTGGTGGCGGGCACCTGTAATCCTAGCTACTCAGGAAGCTGAGGCAGGAGAACCGCTTGAACACAGTAGGTAGAGGCTGCAGTGAGCTGAGATCGGACCACTGCATTCCAGCCTGGGCAACAAGCGCAAAACTGTGTCTCAAAAAACAAAACAAAACAAAAAGGCCGGGCGCAGTGGCTCGCACCTCTAATCCCAGCACTTTGGGAGGCTGAGGTGGGTGGATCACGAGGTCAGGAGATTGAGACCATCCTGGCTAACACAGCGAAACCCCGTCTCTACTAAAAACACAAAAAATCAGCTGGGCGCAGTGGCACTCGCCTGTAGTCTCAGCTACTCGGGAGGCTGAGGCAGGAGAATTGGTTGAACCTGGGAGGCAGAGGCTGCAGTGAGCCGAGATGGCACCACTGCACTCCAGCCTCAGTGACAGAGTGAGATTCTGTCTCCAAAAAAAAAAAAAAAAAAGAATTGCTTAAGAAGTTTTTAATGCAGAAAGGAAGTGTTAACCAGAAGGAAACCCAGAACATTATAAAGCAAGAGTTACAGAAACGGCGAATATCTGTTACAGATGGCTCTGCAAGTCTCTTAAAATATGTTTGACAATTAAAAACAAAACCAGTACTGTCTGATAGAGCTTTCAATGTATGTAAATGTAATACATAAGATAACCAAAACATTATGGGATAAAGGGAAGAAGGGTAAAGAGATCATCTATAGAATAGTAAGGTTTTCATACTCCATGAGAAGTGGAAAAACATTGACTGGAAGTAGCCTATGAAAACAAGTTCGACTGGGTGCGGTGGCTCACGCCTGTAATCCCAGCACTTTGGAAGGCCAAGGCAGGTGGATCGCCTGAGGTCAGGAGTTCAAGACCAGCCTGGCCAACATGGTGAAACCCCGTCTCTACTAAAAATACAAAAAAGTAGCTGGGCATGGTGGTGGGCGCCTGTAATCCCAGCTACTAGGGAGGCTGAGGCAAAAGAATCACTTGAACCCAGCAGACGAAGGTTGCAGTGAGCTGACATGGTGCCATCGCACTCCAGCCTGGGCAACGAGAGTGAAACTGTCTCAAAAAAAAAAAAAGAAAAGTTCATCCATTGTAACCCCTAGAGCAACCACTAAAAAATTGTATACGGCCAGGCATGGTGGCTCATGCCCATAATCGCAGCACTTTGGGAGGGCAAGGTGGGTGGATCACGAGGTCAGGAGTTCGAGACCAGCCTGGCCAACATAGTAAAACCCCATCTCTACTAAAAATACAAAAATTAGCCCGGTGTGATGGCACGCACCTGCAGTCCCAGCTACTTGGGAGGCTGAGGCGGGAGAATTGCTTGAACACGGGAGGCAGAGGCTGCAGTGAGCTGAGACCACGCCACTACACTCCAGCCTGGGTGACACAGTGAGACTCCATCTCAAAAAACAAAAAAACAAAAATACTACACAAAAAAAGCAAAAAAAAAATTTTTTAATGGAATTTAAAAATATGTTCAAATAGCTCAAAAAGCAGGAAACAGAAACAAAAATGAGAGAACAGAAAACAAATAATAAAATGTAGACCTAAACTCAAACATTCAAAAATTACATAATTAAATGAAAATGGTATAAACACAATTAAAAGACAGATATTGTGAGAATGAACCAAAAAATGATCCACTATATACTGTCAACAACAAACTCACTTCAAATATAATAATGTAGGTAGTTTAAAAGTAAAGTATGGGAAAGGTATATATGCAAACACTAATCAAAAGAAAGTTGGAGGCCAGGTATGGTGGCTCATGCCGTAAGCCCAGCACTTTGGGAGGCTGATGTGGGAGGATCGCTGGAGCTCAGGAGTTCAAGACCAGACTAAGAGCAAGATCCCATCTCTACAATTAAAAATAAAAATTAGCTGGACACGGTAGCATGTGCCTGTAGTCCCAGCTACTCGGGGGGACTGAAGTGGGAGAACTGCTTAAGCCCAGGAGGTCAAGGCTGCAGACAGCCATGTTTGTGCAAGTGCACTCCAGACTGGGCAACAGAGCAAGATCCTGTCTCAAAACAACAGGCCGGGCGCAATGGCTCACGCCTGTAATCCCAAAACTTTGGCAGGCCGAGGCAGGTGGATCACTTAGGTCAGGAGTTCGAGATCAGCCTGGTCAACATGACGAAACCCCATCTCTACTAAAAATAAAAAATTAGCCAGGCGTGGTGGCATAAGCCTGTAATCCCAGCTACTTGGGAGGCTGAGGCAGGAAAATTGCTTGAACCTGGCAGGCAGAGATTGCAGCGAGCGGAGATCACACCACTGCACTCAGCCTGGGCAACAACAGCGAAACTCCGTCTCAAAACAACCACCACCACCACCAAACAAATAGAACGTTGGAGGGGTTACATTAAAATCAGACAAAGTAGACTTCAGAGAAAGGAAAACCAGGGATACAGAAGGACATTACATAAGCATAAAAGGGTGAAGTCACCAGGAAGATACAACAATCCTAACTGTGAATGCACCCAACAACAGAGCTTCAAAAACAAAAAGCAAAAACTAACAGAGAGGAAAGGAGAAATAAATCTAATTATAGTTAGAGGCTTCAACATACCTCCCACCATAACTGATCAACCTAGCAGACAGAACACAAACAAGGACAGTGAACTGAACACCACCACCAACTGACGGCATCTCACTGACACTTACAGAACATTACACCCAACACAGCAGTGTACTAGAACATTCATGAATGTAGGACATAGCTGGGGTTCTAAAATCAAACTTAACAAATTAAATAGGACCAGGCATGGTAGCTCTCACCTATAACCTCAGCTACTTGAGAGGCTGAGGTAGAAGGATCGTTTGAGGCCAAGGGACCAGCCTGAGTAACACAGTAAGACCTCGTCTCTATTAAATTTTTAAAGAAGAGGAAAACAAAACCCAAATTAAATAGAATTGAAGTCATACCAAGAATGTTCTTTAACTGTAATGGAATTAAACTAGAAATCAACAGAAAATCTCTTAACATTTGGGAATTCAACAATATACTTCTAGATGAACTGCTTGGAGGTCAAAGAGAAAGCTTCAAGTGAAAAAAATTTTTTAAAGGTTTGTACTGAAAAAAAAAATATATATATGTAACGAATTTGTGGGATGTAGCTAAGGCAGTGCTTAGAGAAAAAATTATATCATTAAGGTTTTAATTAGAAAAGAAGAGGCCAGGCTCAGTGGTTCACACCTGTAATTCCAGCACTTTGGGAGGCCAAGGGGAGAGGATCACTTGAGGCCAGGAGTTTGAGACCAGCTTGGACAATGTAGCAAGACCCCATTCTCTACAAAAAAATTAAAACATTAGCAGGGCATGGTGGCACACACCTGGAGTCCCAGCTACTTGCAAGGCTGAGGCAGTGAGCACGAGAGTTTGAGGAGGCAGTGAGCTATGATCATGCCCACTGCACTCTAGGCTGGACAACAGAGCAAGACTCTGTCTCTCCAGAAAAAAGGTCTCAAATTACTAATCTAAGCTTCCACATTAAGGAACCAGAAAAAGAGCAAAATCAAACCAAAGTAAGCAAAAACAACAAAAAGAAAGCAAAAATCAATGAAATAGAAGAAAAAATAGAAAAAAAATCAAGGAAACTAAATGCTGATTCTTCAAAACGATTTTTTAAAAACTGACATACCTATATAACAAACTCACAAAGAAAAGGAACATATAAACATATAAATTATCAGTATCAGCGATGAAAGGGTGAATATCACTACAGATTCTAAAGACTTTTAAAGGCGATATTATAACCAACATATATCTATAAATTCAACAATTAAATGAAATAAACAAATCCCTCAGAAACTCAAATTTACTAAATTTGACACAAAGAAATAGAAAATATAGCTGCACTAGATCTATTACAAAAATTGAATCTAGGCTGGGCGCGGTGGCTTACGCCTATAATCCCAGCACTTTGGGAAGCCGAGGCGGGCAGATTACTTGTGGTCAAGAGTTCGAAACCAGGTTGGCCAACATGGTGAAACCCCATCTCTACTAAAAATACAAAAATTAGCCAGGCGTGGTGGCAGGCATCTGTAATCCCAGCTACTCGGGAGGCTGAGGCAGAAGAATTGCTTGAACCCAGGAGGTGGAGGTTGCAGTGAGCCGAGATCACACCACTGCATTCCAGCCTGGATGACAGAGCCAGACTTTGTCTCAAAAAAAAAACAATTAAATCTAAAATTAAGAACCATTCCCAAAGAAAATCCAGGCCCAGGTGGCTTCTCTGGCAAATTCTATCAAACATCTGAGGAAAATCAGTACTAATATTACATGAACCTTCACACCTCTTGGGCTGGTATGAGAATTAAGTGAAAATTTGTAAAGAAATTAGCACATTGTGTTATATGTACACAGTAAGCACCATGTAAACATTTGTTAAATAAATTCCAGTCAATGGACCCATATTTTAAAAAGTCTTAGCTCTTCATCTAAAGATTAGCTAGCCTCTTTTGTGTGTTTTATGTTAAAATAAGATGTTTAAGGCATGCTTTATATCTTTTTCCCTCGGTTTAACAATTCTGATTAATCTGTTTCAATCTCACTGCAAGACAACTGTTTCTTACATACTGCCTAGAACGGTATGTCACCCACACACTGCCTAGCACAGTGTTTTGTACAAAGCTGTCGCTCATGTATTATGTTAATTAGTAGAAAATTTAATTAAAAACCACATGCTTTTAAAAAAATTCTACAAATTTACATAATCTAGTTTTGTTTTAGAATTAAGGAAAGAAAAGCAATTTGCTAAACTATTTTGTTAAGTACTGAGGATTTTTCAACTCCTATTCAACAGATCCCCATTTTACGAAGAAACTAATCATTAAAGACAATGACAGTAAACCACAAAAGTAGTAACTAAAGGATATATCCTAAATGATTACCAGTACATTAAATAAATCAGACTAAAAACGAATTTAAAGCAAAAGACTACGCAGGGCGCGGTGGCTCACACCTGTAATCCCAGCACTTTGGGAGGCCGAGGTGGGTGGATCACGAGGTCAGGAGATCGAGACCATTCTGGCTAACGCAGTGAAACCCCATCTCTACTAAAAACACAAAAAATTAGCTGGGTGTGGTGATGGGTGCCTGTAGTCCCAGCTATTTGGGAGGGTGAGGCAGGAGAATGGCGTGAACCCGGGAGGTGGAGCTTGCAGTGAGCCGAGATCGTGCTACTGCACTCCAGCCTGGGCGACAGAGCAAGATTCCGTCTCAAAAAAAAAGAAAAAAAACCAAAAGACTGACTTAATTACTATCTCAGAATTTGAACCTGTTTCCAAAGCTAAACATAACATAAACTTTGTTATCCTGTATGATTAGGAACATTAATTTTGGAAATAATAACCTAAAAGTTAATAAAATATTCTAGTCAACATTTACTATTCATATATACATTAACAAACATAAACAAATTTTTATACATATGTGATTATATACACATCACATACTAACATTGTCCAGTAAGTAATCTAAAATTCTTTTTGTGATTCAGACGTTACTCTAAAATCACTGTGCTTCAACATCTTTACTGTCATTCACTCACTCACCAAATATTTATTGAGTGCTATTCTATTAAGCACTGTGCTAAGCCACTGTCTACAACAGACATTCAAATGAGAGCTTCCCTAGCCTTCAAGGGGCTCACAATCAAATGGGTATAGCTGACATAAAAACAACTATAAGACAAGTAAGCAATTATAACATAAACTCTAAAAAATGGTTATGAACTAGTGACCACAATCCTAGTTCTCGGTATTCTGTTTATATACATATATACTTATCTTTATTAGTGTAACACCATTATTTTTATTAGTGTCACACATGGATCAGCAGCCCAATCCTTCACTTTACTCCAATTCTTAACACTGGCATAGCAAACCCATCTAGTTCCTCTTTTATCACTCAGCTCGCTGAGACTTCGCGAGCTAGTTAGCCTCCCCATCCTGAATAAGCAAAGTAAAACCATGGACTGAGTCCTTCCTCTTAGGATATCTGGAGGAGGAAAAGAATCAGAACTGCTGCCCAAAATAGTGAAGCTGCCCAGAAGTAGTGATCCTGAAAGCTCTATTCAAAGTAGTAGCAGCTAAAAGTAGCCAAAAAAAAAAAAAAAAAAAAAAAGACTTCCTAAGGGAGTAAACTCAGTGTTTGTAGCTCTAAAAGTACGAAGTGAGGAGGGGAGAGAGCAAGGTCAAGACTGGCTACAGACACTCCAATACGTACAAAAGCTTTTGGTTTTGACGTGTGTTATTTTATTTATTCTGATCTTTTTTTTTTTTTTTGAGACCGAGTTTCACTCTTGTTGCCCAGGCTGGAATGCAATGGTGCGATTTCAGCCTACTGCAACCTCCACCTCCCAGGTCCAAGCGATTCTCCTGCCTCAACCTCCCAGGTAGCTAGGATTACAGGTGTCTGCCATCACGCCCAGCTAATTTTTTTTTTTTTTTTTTTTGAGACAGAGTCTTGTTCTGTCGCCGAGGCTAGAGTGCAGTGGCGCAATCTTGGCTCACTACTACCTCTGCCTCAGCCTCCCGAGTAGCTGGGACTACAGGCACCCACCACCATACCCAGCTAATTTTTTATATTTTTAGTAGAGACAGGGTTTCACCGTGTTAGCCAGGATGGTCTCGATCTCCTGACCTTGTGATCCACCCGCCTCGGCCTCCCGAAGTGCTGGGATTACAGGCGTTAGCCACCATGCCCGGCTGTTCGCCCAGCTAATTTTTTCTATTTTTAGTAGAGACAGGGTTTCACCATGTTGGCTAGGCTGGTCTCAAACTCCTGACCTCAGGTGATCCACCCGCCTCGGCCTCCCAGAGTGCTGGGATTACAGGTATGAGCCACCACTCCCAGCCTGAGGTTTCTTTTGTTGTTGTTCTTATAAAAGAAGTAATTTGAACAAATTTTGGTATGACCACTGTATCGCAGTTATGAAGATGTGATGTTAGAGTAGAAACAGACACAATGAGGTGCTAGGACACATTTCCAAGATAATACAGCCCAATTCCTTTATCTTTTTAAAAATTTTTATTAGCAGAGATGGGGCCTTGCTATGTTGCCCAGGCTGGTCTCCCAACTCTTGGGCTCAGCAATCCTCCCGCCTCAACCTCCCGAAGTGCTGGGATTACAGGCATGAGCCGCCACACCTGGTGGTCCAATTCCTTTAGAAGCATTACATGTACAAGTGGCACAAAGTTCACTGTGTATTTTCACACTATAATAAAATCTTCACTGGTCAAACTAAGACTGAAAATTAATTTAAAAAAAAAACTGTAAGATCAACAGCATCATGTGTTATTCACAAGAAAATAAGGCTTCAGAATTCAGAGACCATCAAAATTTTCTTGAAGGAGCTATAAATACTGAAATGCACAGGCATAAAGAAAGTATCTTCATCTTGTTCTCAATAAAATTGAGATAAAAACATTATGGGAAATTCATTGGGTCTTTTACCAAGAGTGTTTCTTTTTTTTTTTTTTTTTTTGAGATAGAGGCTTGCTCTGCTGCCCAGGCTGGAGTGCAGCGGTGCCATCTCGGCTCACTGCAATCTCCGCCTCCTAGGTTCAAGTGATTCTCCTGCCTCAGCCTCCCGAGTAGCTGGGAGAACAGGCACCCCGCTAATTTTTTTATTTTTAGTAGCGACGAGGTTTCGCCATGTTGACCAGGCTGGTCTCCAACGCCTGATGTCCTGATCTGCCCGCCTTGGCCTCCCAAAGTGCTGGGATTACAGGCGTGAGCCACCACTCCTGGCCTCAGTGTTTCCTTTTTTGTTTTTTTTTTTTTTTTAAGACAGAGTCTCACTCTGTGGCCCAAGCTGGATCTTGGCTCACTGCAACCTCCACCTCCTGGGTTCAAGCAATTCTCCTGCCTCAGCCTCCCAAGTATTACAGGCGCCCGCCACCATGCCCAACTAATTTTTGTATTTACAGTAGAGAGGGGGTTTCACCATGTTGGCCAGGCTGGTCTTGAACTCCTAACCTCACATGATCCGTTCACCTCAGCCTCTCAAAGTGCTGGGATTACAGGCATGAGCCACAGTGCCCCGCACCAAGAGAGTTTCTTTTTTTTTTTTTTTTTTCTGAGAGAGAGAGTGTCTCTGTCACCAGGCAGGTGGTGCAATCTTGGCACATTGCAACCTCCACCTCCCAGGTTCAAATGATTCCCCTGCCTTGGCCTCCCAAGTAGCTGGGATTACAGGTGCCCACCACCACACCTGGCTAATTTTTTTGTATTTTTAGTAGAGAAGGGGTTTTACCATGTTGGCCAGGCTGGTCTCAAACTCTTTACCTCAAGTGATCTGCCTGCCTCAGCCTCCCAAAGTGCTGGGATTACAGGCGTGAGCCACGGTGCCTGGCCAAGGGTTTTTCTTAAGGTATAGTTTTACAAAGCTATACTCATGGACTGAGCAATATAGAATCCTTCTCATCGTATCTTGTTACAGTCTAAAACCTTGTAGTAAACGCTGTCTAATATTCCACTCAGTAATAATTTTTTCTTTTTGAGACGGATTCTCACTCTGTCGCCCAGGCTGGAGTGCAGTGGCACGATCTCAGCTCACTGCAACCTCCGCCTCTCGGGTTCGAGCAAGCAATTCTCCTACCTCAGCCTTTGGAGTAGCTGGGACTACAGGCCACACCAACACTCCTGGCTAATTTTTGTATTTTTAGTAGAGACAGGGTTTCACCATGTTGTCCAGGCTGGTCTCAAACTCCTGACCTCAGGTGATCCACCCGCCTCGGCCTCCCAAAGTGCTGGGATTACAGGCGTGAGCCACCGTGCCCGGCCTCCACTCAATAAGAATTTTCTTACCAATTCTCCAAACTTTTGACCATCTGTACCATATAAGTAATGCTGAAATAAGTGTTCATAGGCATGTTACTTTTCCTGTATTTGGAATGACTAACTATACTACCCTTTCATTTTTCTAGTTTTATTGTAAAACCCTGGGACTTGATTCTGATTATCTTACAAGAACCAGAGCTTAAATCAAACAAACTAGAGATGGAGATTCTGGAGCTCCTGATAATTTAGAAGCCAGAGACATAAGAACAAAGAGGGAGAATGAAAAAGTATTTGGACAAAATAATAATACTATTTTAAAATAAGATATACGAAACTGGATGACTTTAAAACGTAACACTAACACTGGGGATTCAAAATACTTCTAATCCCAGCATTTTGGGAGGATCACTTGAGCCCACGAGTTCAAGACCAGTCTGGGCAACATTAAGAAACTCTCCCCTCCCGACCCCGACCAAAAAAAAAAAAAAAAAAAAGCCAGGCGTGGGCCTGTAGTGTCAGCTACTACTCCCAAGGCTGGGGCGGGAGGATCACTTGAGTCCTGAAAGGTCGAAGCTGCAGGGAGTGCACTACAGCACTCCAGCCTGGGAAACAGAGTGAGACCCCCGTCTGCAGAACAAAAACAAAAATAAATACAAAAAAAGAGGAAGTGTTTTAATTTCTTTTTTTTTTTCTTTTTTTACACAGGGTCTCACTCTGTCCTCCAGACTGAAATGCAGTGGCACGATTACCGACTCACTATAATCTCCACCTCCCAGGCTCAAGCAATCCTCCTACCTCAGCCTCCTGGACTATAGATGCGGGCCTCCACGCCTGGCTGTTTTTATTTTTGTAGAGAACGGGATTTTGCTATGTTGCCCACGCTGTTCTCCAACTCCCAAGCTCAAGTGATCATCCCACCTAGCCCTCCCCAAGTACTGGGATTACAGGGGTGAGCCACCACATCTGGCCAGTTTTATCTTCTAATGACTATTACCAAGTCCCCCTATCCCAGAAGTTCTGAGGAAGCAAATTTCCCACAAACTATTGGCTTGTAGGTACAAAAGCCAAAAGGCTTCTACTGGGAAAGGAGAGGGAAATATATACATATATATTTCAACTATTATTAAATTAGAAAAATACAGACATAGGAAGGGTATAGATAAAACAAGATTAGGCATGAGTTGATCGTGTTTGAAGCTGGATGAGAGAATTCATTATACTCCTGTCTGCTTGAAATTTTCCATAATAAAAAGTTAAAATATTACACATAATTTTAAAATTCAAGTTTCCCCTAAAGATCTAAGACCAGACTTTAAGTTTACTACGACAGACAGTGTCTTTTGTAATTAACCTACAGCTCCTGGGTCCCGACCCTCCTCAAAGTTTATGCTGTTGAGTTCCAAGAGGTCACCTCCAGCACCCCGGAAGAAGAGCACCGAGAAAAACAAAGAGGAGAGGCGCAAGGATCCTTCCAAGACCTCTCACTACACACGCAGGGATCCGAGAAAGCGGGCAGAGGCCGCTCCTTACTTCAGCGAAAGAAATTGTAATTTTCTCAGGCCAAAGTGGACCCAAGTCCGTTCCCCCAACCCAGGAACAAGCCCAGGAGGCCACCCCGCCCGGTGGAAGCGGCCCGGACTGGAGGGCATCCGCCTCTCGCGGCACTGGAAGCTCTGACCTTCCCGAAGTCTCTCCGGGCCAGAAAAGACGGGGTAGGGGTGTCGCCGAGGAGCCCTCGCCGAGGCCGCGGCGTTTCCGCCCCAAGGAAGACACACCTCGGGGCAGGAAGACTAGGGGAAAGTTAAGGGGCTTCGAGGATCCAGGACCAGAGGCCTCCGACCCGCTCGCGGCCCTGCCACGCCCCCCACCCAGGCCTGGGCAGCCTCCTGCGCCGCGGGCCCTCGAGGGCCTGACCTCCGGTCTGACCCCCACTTCCACTATCCTTCCCTTTCTCCTCAGCTGCCCCCTCCGAAGTCGTTTGAATCCCGGGCCCTAGCGCTAACTAGAGACCGCTAAATCAGGAGCGCAGAGAGAAGAGGAAGACAGAGACCTCTGACGCCGAGGATGCCACACTCACCTAACCGAATCCTGCCGTGAACGCAGCAGACACCGACTTCAGGGTTCACCATCCAAAATGGCGACTCCCTCGGCCTCAGCACAACAAGCGCGGGCGGAGGGATCCACGGGGCCGATATAGCCACGCCCTCCTTTCCAGGGATTGGCTGCGCGATCGCCGCTGCCGGGACCCACGCGCTGACTCGGGGCACCCTCCCTCGGTTTCCTTTGGAGTCGGCGCGGCCGGGGACTACTTCCCGCGGCGGGGGCACGGCAGACGTTGGGGGAAGCGCCACGCCGACTGAGTCAGCTGCTGGGGGCATGCCCTTAATTTCGCTCTGGGCGCGGGGAGGCCAGCCACAGCTGTTGATTCTCGGACTCTGCGCCCACGGCCTCACCGCGCCCAGTGCCTTGGTTCCGGATTCTTCCATAACCGGCTGCCAGTACCGCCTCTCTGACGCCGGGAGTTGCTCCCTAAGATCTGCTGCCGCCTTTCGCTGGACTTTCCCCCTGGGTGGAGCGGCCGAGGGGGTTTCGAAGCCTGCGTATCCCTGACTCTTCACCCAGCGCCTCCGTGTCCCTCTACGGGCTCTAAGCGTTCCCCCGCCCCGCTTTTAAGCCGTCCGGTTGCCCTTTGGACCAGCATCGCTCCGGTCTGTGTGGTATAATTCAGTAGTGTTTCCTCAGCACCACAGTCTCTGGCGATTTCCCTAATTTATCTCGGTATTCAGAGAAAACTTTTTCCTTGGTTACCTTTGTTTTTAACTTGAAAACCATTATCGCTGCTTAAGCCTGGAAGGGACCTTCCCAGCACTTTGAGAGGCGGGGCGGGAGGATCGCTTGAGCCCGGGAGTTGCAGACCAGCCTGGACACCATAGTGAAACCGCATCGCTACAAAAAAAAAAAAAAAAAAGTTAAAAATTAGGGGAGCAGCAGTGAGCACTTGTGGTCTCAGCTACTCGGGAGGCTGAGGCAGGAAGATCGCTTGAGCCCAGAAGGTCGCTGCTGCAGTAAACCGTGATCACGTCACAGCACTCCAGCCTAGGCTACAGAAAAAAAGAAAAAGGGCCGGGTGCGGTGGCTCACGCCTGTAATCTCAACATTTTGGGAGGCCGAGGCAGGTGTATCACCTGAAGTCGGTAATTCGAGACCAGCCTGGCCAACACAGAGGAACCCCGTCTCTACTAAAGAGGAAATTACGCATGGTGGCGCAAGCCTGTAATCCCAGCTACTCCGGAGGCTGAGGCAGGAGAATCGCTTGATTCTCGAGTTACAGTGAGCCGAGATCCGGCGATTGCCCTCCAGCCTGGGCAACAAGAGCGAAACGTCTCAAAAAAAAAAAGGGAAAAAAGAAAAAGGGGCCTCCAGAAGGAAGTCATCTGCTCCCTGCTGTGGAGGCTGCATCTAATGCTTGTACCGGGGCAGTCATATGACAAGTAGGAGCTAGCCCTTATCATAAGATGTTGATGTGAATTTAGAAATACTGTATCTTTATAAACGTTTGCAACATTTCAAGATAAAACCAGGTTCCATGCCAGGCGCGGTGGCACATGCCTGTAATCCCAGCACTTGGGGAGACTGAGGCAGGTGGATCACCTGAGGTCAGGAGTTCAAGACCAGCCTGACCAACATTGTGAAATCTCGTCTCTACTAAAAAAAATACAAAAAAAAGAAAAAATTAGCCAGGCGTGTAGGCACATACCTGTAATCCCAGCTACTCCGGAGGCTGAGGCAGGAGAATCGCTTGAACCCAGAAGGCGGAGGTTGCAGTGAGCCGAGATCTCCCCATTGCAATCTAGCCTAGGCAATAGAGCAAGACTCCAACCAAAAAAAAAAAAAGTGCAGATTTTTTTGGCTGGGCATGGTGGCTTATGCCTGTAATCTCAGCACTTTGGGTGGCCGAGGCGGGTGGATCACCTGAGGTAAGAAGTTCAAGACCAGCCTGGCCAACATGGTGAAACCGTCTCTACTAAAAATACAAAAATTAGCCGGATGTGGTGGCAACACACCTGTAATCCCAGCTACTTGGGAGGCTGAGGCAGGAGAATCGCTTGAACCTGGGAGGCGGAGGTTGCAGTGATGTGAGATTGTGCCACTGCACTCCAGCCTGGGCAGCAGAGTGAGACCCTGTCCCAAAAAAAAAAAAAGTGGGCCAGGCGTGGTGGCTCACGCCTGTAATCCTAGCACTTTGGGAGGCTGAGGCGAGTGGATCACCTGAGGTCAGGAGTTGGAGAGCAGCCTGGCCACATGGTGAAACCCCATCTCTACTAAAAATACAAAAAATTGGCCGGGCGCGGTGGCTCACGCCTGTAATCCCAGCACTTTGGGAGGCCGAGGCGGGAGGATCACGAGGTCAGGAGATGAAGACCACCCTGGCTAACACGGTGAAACCCCGTCTCTACCAACAATACAAAAAAAAATTAGCTGGGGGTTGTGGCGGGCGCCTGTAGTCCCAGCTACTCGGGAGGCTGAGGCAGGAGAATGGCGCCAGGAGATAGAGATTGCAGTGAGCCGAGATGGCGCCGCTGCACTCCAGCCTGGGTGACAGAGCCAGACTATATCTCAAAAAAAAAAAAAAAAAAGCCAGGCAGGGTGGCTCATGCCTGTAATCCCAGCACTTTGAGAGGCCGAGGTGGGTGGATCACTTGAGGTTAGGAGTTCGAAACCGACCAGGCCAACATGGTGAAACCCTGTGTCTACTAAAAATATAAAAAATTAGCAGGGCATGGTGGCGGGCGCCTGTAATCCCAGCTACTTGGAGGCTGAGGCAGAAGAATCGCTTGAACCGGGAGGCGGAGGTTGCAGTGACCCGAGATCATGCCATTGCACTCCAGCCTGGGTGACAGAGCAAGACTCTGTCTCAAAAAAAAAAAAAAAGCCTGGTTTGTGGCTCGTGCCTATAATTTCAGCTAATTCGGAGGCAGAGGCAAGAGAATCGCTTGAACCGGGGAGGCGGAGGTTGCAATGAGCCGAGATAACGCCCCTGCATTCCAGCTTGAGCGACAGAGGAAGACTCCCTCTCAAAAAAAAAAAAAAAAAATTTTGGCCGGGCACGGTGGTTCACACCTGTAATCGCAGCACTTTGGGAGGCCGAGGCGGGTGGATCACGAGGTCAGGAGATAGAGACCATCCTGGCTAACACGGTGAAACCCCGTCTCTACTAAAAATACAAAAAAAATTAGCCGGGCTTGGTGGCGGGCGCCTGTAGTCCCAGCTACTGGGGAGGCTGAGGCAGGAGAATGGTGTGAACCCGGGAGGCGGAGCTTGCAGTGAGCCGAGATCGCGCCCCTGCCCTCCAGCCTGGGTGACAGAGGGAGACTCTGTCTCACAGACTGAAAAAAGATAAGCTAAAAGTATCATTGAGCCCCACCTAACTAAAAGCGCTAAAGGTGACATGATTCTTTTTTTTTTTTTTTTTTTTTTTTTTTTTTTTGAGACGGAGTTTCTCTCTTGTTGCCCAGGCTGGAGTGCAATGGCGCGATCTCAGCTCACTGCAACCTCCACCTCCCGGGTTAAAGCGATTCTCCTGTCGCAGCCTTACAAGTACCAAGTAGCTGGGATTACAGGCATCCACCACCAAGTCCAGCTAATTTTTTTTTTTTTTTTTTTTTTTTTTGAGACGGAGTCTCTCTCTGTCGCCCAGGGTGGAGTGCAGTGGCTCAATCTCAGCTCACTCCAACCTCCGCCTCCCGGGTTCAAGCGATTCTGCTGCCTCAGCCTCCTGAGTAGCTGCTACAGGCCTGCACCACCACGCCTGGCTATTTTTAGTAAAGATGAGGTTTCACCGTGTTGGTCAGGCTAGTCTCAAACCCCTGACCTCATGATCCGCCCGCCTCAGCCTCCTAAAGTGCTGGGATTAAAGGCGTGGGACACCACGCTTGGCCGATTTTTTGTATTTTTAGTAGTGATGAGGTTTCACCATGTTGGCCAGGCTGGTTTCGAACTCCTGACCTCAAGTGATCTGCCGGCTTCGGCCTCCCAGGGTGCTAGGATTACAGGCGTGCGCCACCATGCCCAGCCGACATGATTCATTTATTCGTTTAGAAAAATTGCTTTCTACTCGGGAGTTGTAAAGATTTAGCAATCATCACCTGTGTCCTGGGCTTTAACAAAACCTACCTGTCTATTTAGATCCTGTAATATATCAACTGTGAATTGTACCCCAACAAGCCAATTATTCGAAACAGTATCTCTGAGGGAATTAAAAAACACAATATTATCTCTGTCCCTGGCTGAACAGACAAGTTTCATTCAGAAGCTAAACATACTGAAAAATAAACACTGTTTCCCTTGAAAATCCAGTTTTGCTGTTGGGACAAATGTTAACACATTACATTTCTTTGGTAACTAACCAGGTACTTTTTTTGTGTAAATGACTATAACTAGTAGCTGTAACTAAAACCAGACACAGTGTTTGAGCCCAATAAAATAAGAATCTATAACAGGCCTGCAAGCCTTAATCAGCCAACCTGTTTTGTGTACAGCCTCTCCAGCTAAGAATGATTTTTATATTGTTAAAAGGTTAAAAAGCAGGAAGGGGCTGGGCGCGGTGGCTCACGCCTGTAATCCCAGCACTTTGGGAGGGTGAGGCGGGCGGATCACGAGGTTAGGAGATGGAGACCATCCTGGCTAACACAGTGAAACCCCGTCTCCGCTAAAAAATACAAAAAAAAATTAGCTGGGCGTGGTGCGGGCGCCTGTAGTCCCAGCTGCTTGGGAGGCTGAGGCAGGAGAATGGCGTGAACCTGGGAGGCGGAGCTTGCAGTGAGCCGAGAATGCGCCACTGCACTCCAGCCTGGGTGACAGAGTGAGACTCCCTCTCAAAAAAAAAAAAAAAAAAAAAAAAAGCAGGAAGGGGAGGAGCATGAATGTGTGACAGTGACTTTATGTTGCCCACAAATCCCAAAATATTTACTATGTGGTCCTTTATAGAAAAAGTTTGCTCACCTGTAATCCCAGCATTTTGGGAGGGTAAGGCAGGGGGATCACTTGAGGTCAGGAGTTCGAGACCAGCCTGGTCAACATTGCGAAAATCTGTCTCTATTAAAAATACAAAAATTAGCCAGGTGTGGTGGTGCACTGTAATCCCAGCTACTCAGGAGGCTGAGGCAGGAGAATCACTTGAACCTGGGAGGCAGAGGAGGCTGCAGTGAGCCGAGATTGTGCCACTGTACTCCAGGCTGGGAGACAGAGTGAGATCCTGTCTGAAAAAAAAAAAAAAGTTTGCTGACTTCTGCATAAAAGTACTACACATTGTGTAAGAGAAAGAAGGGAAAGATGATGGGCATAGAGTTATTTCCTTTGTTTTAACTATTAACATTTAGACTAAAGAATATACAATGAAACAAAAAAAGAAAAAGAAGAAAAACAATAAAAAAAAGAATATACAAGGATATAGGAACTGCTCTGGACATCTTCCTAAAGCCTAGGAAAAAAAAATCAAGATCACTTGTTAAAGAACCCATGAAACAAGTCTTCAGAAAACTAATTAATGTCACTAATTAGGGCTATATACAAATATTAACTTATCTTTGTGGCATTTTACAGTTTACAAAGCACCTATAAACACATTATCTCAATTTCAGGCTGACATTTCTGTGAAGCAGCTGCAGGTCAAAAATCATTTTTTTGTTTTTGTTTTTGTTTTGTTTTGCCTGAGACAGGGTCTCGCTCTGTTGTGCAGGCTGAAGTGCAGTGGTGCAATCATGGCTCACTGCAGCCATGATCTTGGGCCCAGATGATCCTCCCACATCAGCCTCCTGAGTAGCTGGGACTATAGGCACATGCCATGCCACCATACCTGGGTAATTTCTTATATTTATTTGGTAGAGATGGGGTTTTGCCATGCTGCCCGGTCTGGCATTATCAGGTCAGGTTTTTTCGGGTTTTCTTTTGTTTTTGTTTTTTTGTTGTTGTTTTGTTTTTTGTTTTGTTTTTTGAGACAGAGTCTCACTCTGTCTCCTAGGCTGGAGTGCAATGGCATAATCTTGGATCACTGCAACCTCCACCTCCCAGGTTCAAGTGACTTTCCTGCCTTAGCCTTCCAGGTAGCTGGGATTTACAGGCATGCACCACCACACCCGGCTAATTTTTGTATTTTTATTAGAGAAAGAGTTTCACCATGTTGGCCAGGCTGGTCTTGAACTCCTGATCTCAAGTGATCCATGCACCTCAGCCTCCCAAAGTGCTGGGATTACAACAGGTGTGAGCCACCGCACCCGGCTATTGTCAGTTTTTATAGGAGGAAAGTGAAGCTTAAAGCTATGAAGTGACCAATCTAAGGTCAACAGCTATAAATGCCAGGATCAGATCTTGAACCCAGACTTTGACACTGAACATCATATATTTTCTTTTCATTTATTTATTTTTTATTTTAAGACATGGTTTCACTCTGTCATCAGGCTGAAGTGCAAGGGTACTATCACAGCTCCCTGCAGCCTCAAACTGCTGGGTTCCCATCTCATCCTCCTAAGTAGCTTGGACTACAGGTACATGCCACCATGCCTGGCTAATTTTTAAAAAACATTTTTGTAGAGACAGGATCTCACTATGTTGCCCAGACTGGTCTCAAACTCCTGGCCTCAAGTGATTCTCTCACCTCAGCCTCCCAAAGGCATGAGCCACCTCGCTTGGCCCGATTATATACTTCCTGTATATCCATGTTTCCATAATAATTTCCAGCCCTGTTTTACTTTCAATTTGTGTATATGGAGTTTATCAATACATGAAAATAAAATGCATTAAATCACAGTTATTACTGTGATTTGGGTTCATATATAAGATCAAAAAATTTTCAAATCAGGTTTTTACATTTATCATCATTGTAATCATCTAGAAAACTTAATTTTTCCTTAAATGAACTCAAAGCCATGAAAACTTGTAACTCTAGATTCTAAATATAAACACAAAAGTTTAAACATTGTCCTTTAAAATATCAGATTTTTATCAAGACTGTATGATAGTGGCATAAGGATAGGCATATAGGTCAATGGAATAGAACTGAGAGTCCAGAAATAAACCCATGCATTTATAACCAATTGATTCTCAACAAGGATACCAAGACAATTCAAAGGGGGAAAGAACAGTCTTTACAACAAATGGTGCTAAGAAAACTGGATAACTGCATGCAAAAGAATAAAATTGCCCCCCACCCCGGCCTCACACCATATGCAAAAACTAACTCAAAATGGAGTGAAGACCTAAATGTAGGAGCTAAAAAACTCCTAAGAGAAAACATAGGTGTAAATTTTCATGACTAGGCGGTGATAGTTTCGTAGACATGGCATCCAAACCACAAGCAATGAAGGAAAAAATAAATTAGACTTCATATAAATCAAAAACTTTGTGCTTCAAAGGACACTATGTGCCGTGACCAAATAAATAAAAATAAATATTATTTTTATTTGGGATACCAAATAAATAAAAATAAATTTTAGGCCAGGCGCAGTGGTTCATGCCTGTAATCCCAGCACTTTGGGAGGCTGAGGCGGGGAGATTGCTTGAGCCTAGGTGTTCCAGACCAGCCTGAGCAACATGGTGAGACCCCGTCTCTACAAAAAATACAAAAATTATTCAGGTGTGGTGGCGTGTGCCTGTAAGGGCATGCCAGTAGTCCCAGCTACTCGGGAGGCTGAGGTGGGATGATCACCTGAGCTCAGGGAGGTCAATGCTGCAGTGAGCTGTGATCATACCACTGTGCTGCACTCCAGCCTGGGCAACAGAGTGAGACCCTGATTCCAAAAAAAAAAAAAAAAAGACAACTCAATTTAAAAATAGGCAAAGGATTTGAATAGACATTCTCCAAATGGTCAATAATAAGCACATGAAAAAATATTCAACATCCTTAGTCATTAGAGAAATGCAAATTAAAATCACAATGAGATATGACTTTATATCCACTAGGGTGGCCATTAATGTCAAAGACAAACAATAACAAATGTTGACCAGGTTGTGCAGAAATTGGAAACACCATATGTTGCTGATAGGAATATAAAATGGTGCAGCCACTTAGGAAAACAGTTTAGCACTTCCTCAAAAAGTTGAACACAGAGGGCTGCGCGCGATGGCTCACGCCTGTAATCCCAGCACTTTGGGAGGCCGAGGCGGGCGGATCACGAGGTCAGGAGATCAAGACCATCCTGGCTAACACGGTGAAACCTCGTCTCTACTAAAAATACAAAAAAAATTAGCCGGGCGTGGTGGCGGGCACCTGTAGTCCCAGCTGCTTGGGAGGCTGAGGCAGGAGAATGGCGTGAACTCAGGAGGTGGAGCTTGCAATGAGCCGAGATCGCGCCACTGCACTCCAGCCTGGGCGACAGAGCAAGACTCGGTCTCAAAAAAAAAAAAAAAAAAGGTTGAATATAGAGTTACCATTTGACCAAGCAATTCCACTCTTAGATATATGTATGCACCCATGTCCATACATAATGTAAAGACATATGTTTACACAAAAACTGTACACAAATGTTCATAGTAGCATTATGCATAGTAGCCAAAAAGTAGGCCCAAGCCAAATATCGTTCCACTAATGAATGGATAAATAAAATGTGGCATATCCATACAACAGAATATAATTCAGCCATAAAAAGGAATTAAGTACTGATATATGCTACAACATGAATGAACCTTGAAAACCTATTAAGTGACAAAAGCCAGATTAAGTGACAAAAGCCAGACACGAGAGGTCCCATACTGTATAATCAATCACATTTATATGAAATGTCCAGAATAGGCAAATCCACACAGACAGAAAGTAGATTTGTGGGTGCCAGGAGCTGGAGGAAGGGAGAATGGTGAGTTACTGCTACTGGGTATGGGATTTCTTTTTGGGGTGATGAAAATATTCCGGAATTAGATACTAGTGATGTTGTCAACCCTGTGAATGTACCAAAACCCACTGAATTGTACACTTTAAAAGCATGAGTTTCATGGTATGTGAATTATACCTTAATTTAAAAAAATGTAACATGAGGTTCTTAAAATCCTCCTACCTTTATTGTTGGAATATAGAGCCCTAACAAGGTCATTGTAGAAGCCAACAAATATAAAATGGATTAGGAAGATATTTCAAGTGGAAAGTTAAATAGTTGAAGTGGCAAAATGATGACATAACTGTGAGTAGATTGGGAAAGTAGAAAAAAGTGAAGCTAAAAAAATATATATGGTTAATTAAAAGGTCTTCTAGATGTAGAACAAGTTTAGGTGAAAGCAGAGGAAAAATAAATTAATTCTTCTTTTTTAAAGAGACAAGGGTTTCACTATGTGGCCCAAGCTGGCCTCAAACACTTGGGCTCAAGTCATCATACCATCTCAGCCTCCTGAGTAGCTGGGACTATAGGTGCCAGCCACCATGCCTAACTTAAACTAATTACGTATTTAATAATTTTTTCATTATTTGGTTGTAACCTTGAATCACAACACCTCTGAGAAATTTTTAGAGCACAGGGAAGTCATAAGAATAGCATTATTATCATCTCATTTTATTTGGAAGTCAAGGAGATGGAATAAGCTGCCCAACATTACATAATAATAATGCATCCAAGAAATTTCACTGGAGGCAAACTTTACCTGTTTGCTACTTTTCTGTTGAAAATGTCAACTAAGTCAGCTTTAAAGTGACATAATAAAGCCATACTTGTATCCCTCAGTCCAAACTGATCAAGAATTACTGTTAAATATAAAAGCCAGTGTGTATTCTAGGTTGTATTCTTACACAAAATAGTACAAACACTTGCGGGTTGGATGATAATATTCCATTTTCTGTCTACTT
This sequence comes from Homo sapiens, assembly GCF_000001405.40. Classification (NCBI taxonomy): domain Eukaryota; kingdom Metazoa; phylum Chordata; class Mammalia; order Primates; family Hominidae; genus Homo; species Homo sapiens. Next base: position 71,885,842 of record NC_000016.10, on the reverse strand, counting down.
GGAAACTAAGTTTTTAAATGAAATTAAAATGTTTCCTTGACTGAAGTTAAACAACAATAATTGCTATCTAAGTATCCTAATCACAATAAATAAATGAGTGAATGATGAATGAGCTATTTATCACAGAATTGTGAAGGACCAAGATCCCTCAATGTAATCATTCTATTACATTGAACACAAGATGCAGACAATGAGATCATCTCATAAAAGATTTAGGGGAAAGACAATTTGCAAGAATGTTCTATGCAAATACCAGGACTTGTCACTTTATCAGCAAATGACAGCATCCTCGTTAGCCCTGCCTTTGTGCAGCCAGTAATCACGAAAAACATTTGCATGATGCTTTTAGCCATTTGTTTTACTTAACTGGCACAACAACCCTCGGAGAGTAAAGGCCAGGAATTATTGCATCATTATCCATTTGACATCTTAGGAAGCAGAGGCTCAGAACAGGGAAGTGACTTGCCCAAAGTCAACAGGCTGGTGGGTGGCAGAGCTGGGGCTCAAAGCCAGATCTTCTAATACCAGATCTCATCTTCTTTCCTCTGCATTCCCTGCTTCTCCAGGTAAGCGATGCCAGGGCAGGCTCAGGCATTCTAGAAGAGAGGAAGAAAAGAAGGCAACAGGAACTAGGAGAGAGAAGGACGTGGACAGGAGGAGGTGTTTGACTAGAAGTGCGTCCAACCAGGCCGGGCACAGTGGCTTACGCCTGTAATCCCAGCACTTTGAGAGGCCGAGGCGGGAGGATCACCTGAGGTCAGGAGTTCGGGACCAGCCTGGCCAACATGGTGAAACCCCGTCTACTAAAAATACAAAAATTAGCTGGGCGTGGTGGTGCACGCCTGTAGTCCCAGCTACTCGGGAGGCTGAAGCACGAGAATCGCTTGAACCTGGGAGGCGCAGGTTGCAGTGAGCGAAGATCGCGCCATTGCATTGCAGCCTGGGTGACAGAGCGAGACTCTGTCTCAAAAAAAAAAAAAAAAAAAAGGTCCAACGGCTCTCCATTGCCCCCAAACATCCCTCAAGTGACAACAGTGCCACAAGTTCCCCTGCCCCTGGGTCTGCAGCCAATGTTATTTTATCAGTTGAGAATCATGTCAGAAAATTAAATACTCAAAAGAAATCTCAAGATTTCCCAGCTCTGAGGTTCTGACAGCTGAACTTGGCCCCTCCCACCAAGGCCCGTGGTCACATTCAAAGCCTCGGGAGCCGAAGCCACCGCGAAGCGTGGGGGAATGAGGCGAAGAGGGTTTGTGACGGTGGTGGGGATCCGGGCTAAGGAGAGGGGGTGCCTGCGGCGGAGCTGTGGTTGGGGGTTGTGGGTTTTGTGGCTGAACTCGATGGTGGGGTAAGAAACCAGGATCGGGGCTGGGTAGGGTGGCGTTTACACGTCCAGGAAGGTCTGGGGGAGCTGAGCGGCTGAGACAGCCAGAGAAAGACCCGGGAATGGGCGAGGCGGGGGGTTCCGGAGCCCTGGAACGCGGGCGAGCCCCTCTCGGGCGCCCGGGATTGGGCGCTCCCCGGAGCCCCTCCTCTCCAGAGCCCCTCTCCTCAGGCCCCGCCCACAACGCCAGGCGCGCGCCGGGCCGCGGGGAAGGGGACCTGGCCGGCGCGGGGGAGGGGGAGAGGGAGGCTCGTGCACGCGCCTCACTAGCTGCGGGTGCGCGAGCCGCGCGCTCCCGCCGCCCGCGTCGCCATCTTTTTCCCCCTCCGTCTGTCTGTCTGCTGTTGGCTTTGTCCGTCTGCAGCGCCGCCCCTCGGCTCCCCGCCACCGGCTCGGCTCGGCCCGGAGCCCCTTCCGCTCGCCGGGGCCCAGTCCCGGAGCGCCCCGGCCCGGCTGGCTTGGGCTGCGGTCCCGGGTCCATTGTCCGGCGGTCCGTCTGTCCGGAGGCGGGGCCCAGGGACCCAGAGCGCAGCGCAGCGCCGAGGCGCCGGGTAAAAAGACCCCCTGCCCTCCCTCCGGGTCCGGGCTGGGGATGCGGGCTCCTCGCCCCCTCGCGGCCGCCGGCTGTTGGTCCTTTTGTCTGCACTGGGGAGAGGGCCGGGGGCCAGCTCCGGCCTAGGGGGGCAGCCCGGGCTCACCCTCCCCGCTTCCAACCCCAATTCCTCCCCGGCCGCTCCTCCTGCTGCCCCTTGGCGCTCTCGGGCGCGGGGCGCGGGGTGCGGGGCCGGGGGGCTTTTGCGCGGGCCGCGGGCACCCCGCCTCCTCGGGCCCCGGCGGGGACGGCCCCGGCGTCTGACAGCCTTGGGTGGAGCTGGGGGAGGGGAGGATGGGCGTGGGCGTGCAGACCGGGGGGTATCAGTCCCCGCGTCTGGGTCTCGCAGAAAAGCTTCTAAATTTAGATTTCGGAGATTGTGTTGTCTAAGGGTTTGTCTGAGCCGCCTCGGAAGACCTCCGGCTCTTGTCAGGCTCTTGTCTGGTAATTCCTGGGAATTTACCTGGGCTCATGCTTGAAGAAGCAGAGGGACCATCTCGGCTGATTAGACACGCCCCAGACCCAACCCCAGGGGTCAGGTGAACAGCCAGGCGGCTAAGTGACCAGCTTTCTTGTCCTCTCCTTTTTGGCAGATACAGATCACTTGGATTCAGTCGAGTTTGCTTTGCTCCGTGGGAACTGCACCAGAGCTGGAGGTGGGAACGCACTCTCTTTTCATCAAGCTGAGATTTCACTCGTTTTTTTTCTTGCCAAAGTCTGTGGTGTGCCCTAGACGCTGCAACCTAATACCTGTGGGAGAGCAGAGACAGTGTTCAGGGGAGACGTTGCACCTTCCCGAGGACTCTTAACCTTGCTCTGAAGACAGACAGAACTGCTTTCCTTTTAAAATGGAATCCCTTTAGACCTGAATCTCACCGTTTACCTGTCTTCCCAGCCCATGTTCAGGCAGCTATCTATTTACATTTTTGGTTTGGTTTGGTTTCAGGTTTTGGCTTGGAAATTGAGGCAGTGTTAAAAGTAAAACAAAATGAGTGACCTTTAGGGCTGTATGTCTCTGGGTTTTATTAGCTTTAACTGCCTATAAAACAAGTCATCTGGCCTCTGAGATCTTGCTTTGTGGTCAAGAGTGTCCTTTCAGCGCCATTTATTTATTTACTTATTGATTTTCAACAGCCCATGACCCCACAGGCCTGTTTTTGTGGGTGTTTTTGTTATTATTTTCGTTTCGTTGTGTGGGAGGGGACTGTAATTGCTTATTTTTCTCTTGATCACTCAGGTGTGAAGTCCCATTGGGTACCATCTGGTCAGTTCCCCATTTGGCCACTAGGAGGATTATAAGATGCAGCGGGCATTGCTGATTTAAATACGCAGACACTCATCTCTGTCTTTTGACTTGGAGCTTTAATATTGAAATGTTGTCTGGTTCAAATTATTTGGCCTTCCTTCAGAAGGGACTTTATTACCTTTATCTTACAGTTTCAGTTTCTGATCTTGAAGGGAGAAAATATAAAAATTAGTCAAGATTCTGTTTTTTCTTCTATAATAGAGTATATATATATTTAGCCTCAATAGATTATCACATTAGAGGAGTATATTTTATTTTTTTAAATTTTTATTTATCTTTTTTTTTTTTTTTTGAGACGGAGTCTCGTTCTGTCGCCCAGGCTGGAGTGCAGTGGTGCGTTCTTGGCTCACTGCAACCTCCGCCTCCCGGGTTCAAGCAATTCCCTGCCTCAACCTCCTGAGTAGCTGAGATTACAGACATGCATCACCACGCCCAGCTAGTTTTTGTATTTTTAGTACAGACGGGGTTTCACCATGTTGGCCAGGCTGTTCTCAAACTCCCGACCTCAGGTGATCCACCCGCCTCAGCCTCCCAAAGTGCTGGGATTACAGGCGAGAGCCACCGCCCATGGCAGTTTTTTATCTTTTTTTGAGATGGAGTCTCACTCTGTTGCCCAAGCTGCAGTGTAGTGCCTCCATCCCAGCTCACTGCAACCTCCCCTCCCCAGGTTCAAGCGATTCTCATGCCTCAGCTTCCCGAGTAGCTGGAATTTACAGGTGTGCACCACCATGCCCAGCTAATTTTTGTATTTTTATTAGAGGTTTCCCCATATTGGCCAGGCTGGTCTCAAACTCCTGGCCTCAAGTGATCTGCCTGCCTTGGCCTCCCAAAGTGTTGGGATTACAGGCGTGAGCCACGGTGCCTGGCCATATTTTTAAAAATATTAATAGAGCCTGCATTTCATTACCTTTCCACTTGGTGATTCCACACACATATAGGAAATCCAAAGTGTGATATTCATTCACTGCTTCCGTGAATAAAACAACTACTTGATTAGAAAAAAATGACATACACAAAACTTAGAGAACATACACTATCAGCACTCAGTATATTGCCCTCTAAATAGTTTAAATTGATTTTTATTGTATACATTTAGAGTTTTGTTTTGTTTTGTTTTTAATTAAAGGTCTGAAAAAGAACTGTGTTTGATATGCAGATATGCTAGAAGACTGCCTGAAAGCTGCTTCCTTTGCCACTTCCTGTGGAGGCCTGTCTTTGCCATTTGCGGTTTCTTTATTCTTTTGGTAAGGGGAGGCAGGATCTGATTATAGGTTTGAGGTCCTTCTAGCTACATAGAGGAGTTAGTTGGCATAACAGGAGGTGAGTCTTCATTAACTGGAGTACAAAATATAGCTAGCAGTAGTCTCCCATAACTCCTCTTAAGGCAATAAACTATGATTTTATGTTTGCTTATTCAATGTGAGTATAACTCAAGAAGGCAGGAACTGAAAGAAAACTTAAGAGTGTGACCAGATCCATATTCCTGTCTTTGGTAGGAAAGACAATCCCTTTTTATTCTATGTCTTTATTCACTCTTTCTAAGAAAATGACACAGCTATCAATACTAATCCATCTCAGATTCTCTAACAATGCTTAAGGCTGGGGCACTCTTTCTGTAGTTAATCAGGAACCTTCAGGCTTACGTATATATCCCCTCCTATATGGGGTGGGGAGCAGATGCATGTCTTGGCAGCATTTTTCGTTTGGGGAACTTTTCTCTTTATTCCTCCCACTGTTCTCTTTGCTACCCAGAGGCTAGATTGAGAAGAGCCTCTAAAGTTATTAACTTTGACCACCTCTCTGGAATGTGTGAGGAGGGCCAGGTGGTATTCCACACTGGGGTGTTGAATTAGTACTCATCAATGTGGATGGCATCTGTCTCTTCTGGTGAGAGCCCATCTTCAACATTAGAAGTTTGATTTGCTTAGTGCCATGTCATTCACAGTGCAGCATAGCATTGCGCCTGTATCACCAGATAGAGGCTTTATTTCCCATGCTGTTCTCATTTACAGATGCCTATTTGAGACATTTTCTGTCTCGCAGGGATGTGATGCCTTTGCTACCTCTAGGCAAGATAACATCATGAAAAATCCGCTGGTGTAGACTGCAGGGCTTGACTTCCAGTGGGCATGTGACATGTGAGCTGCCACCCTCTTTGGCTTCCTTTTGCTTCCTTTTGCAATTCATCGGAGTTATCCCCTTGAGCCCACAGTACTTCTAACCCTGGATGCCTGAGTTTTACTTCCTCTTTTATCCTGTGACCTTGATCATGATCACTTAACAGTATTCTGGATTCCAAAGATGGATTTAGAGTATAATTCTCTAAGTCCTCTGAGGGAGTCCCCTCTTAAACTTTCTGGGACCTTGACGTTAGGCTAGAGATTTATTCATTTCTTTCTTTCTTTCATTAGTTCAATTATTTATAACTGGTGAGTTTTATATGCTCAGGAGCTGTTTTTTAAGGACATTTTATCTTTAAATTTTGTGTAACTGCTGGGGAAAATGACATGTGCTAACAATAACCTTTTTTATTGCAGGTTAGCATCTTGCAAGGAGGTAGTAACATATCCAGTCGTGAAACTGGGAAAGACCAGAGCTCTTGCATCAGGGAAACATGTCCCGTCGGAAACAGACAAATCCAAATAAAGTTCACTGTGAGTATCGGGCTTTGTCTTCTGGAACCTGGGAATGCTAAGGGGTGGAATGGAAGAGTAACCTGAATTTAGGGGAGAAGCTCACGCTAATTTGTGAAGAAGAAAAGTTTAAATGTAAAACACAGTTTGCTGAGCAGAAGAGAAAAAAAGAAAGAAAGAAAAAGGGTTAAAAATGTTGGAAATGGTGGATTTAAAGTGTGTCTGGTTGCTGGGGGAGGTGTTGGAAACCTATCTTAGGGGTATGTACACTTGATATATCTTTAATATCACATTAACAAACAGTTATAGGATACCTACTCTCTGCAGATCCTTGTGCTAGATGTCAGGGCTCTAAACCAATATAAGATCTATAAGACCGTATTGTAACCTCAGATATATAAATATGAATGATAGTATATGCTAATTGCCAAACAGATGCTGCAGACTGTATGTACTAGAGAAGTTCGGAGGAAGGAAGTTAAAAGAGCTCAGTGGACTGAAGTAGCAAGGGGAATGCTTAATGGAAAAGCCTCTAGACCATGCGCCTGAACTGGGCCTTAGAGGGTAGAAAATGGATTTGAAAAAAAAAATTAAAAAACAAGAGGCAGGGAGAGGGAACATCAGGTAGGGAAAGTGAAGTGAGCAAAGACAGAAGCGGGAATCCACATGTTCAGAGGACAAGGAGACTTTATATGAAGCAGAGGTCTCATTTGTTCAAAAGTCAGAAGATGTGAGGTTAGAGATGCTTAACTCTACACGTGGAAGGCTGAATGCCAGGCCAAGTTCAAAGTTCATTCTATAGTCCGTAGGGAACTACTGAAGGTTTTTAAGCAGGGAGAGGGGAGTGACATTTAGAATACAGCGTTTTGGTACTATGAAGCAATTTGTGGGATGGATCACAAGAGGGAGAGGCTAGAAACCAGAAGGCCAAGTATACACTATTACCTTGTGTTGTTTTCAACAGTGTCACATGCATGTTTTTCTTTGCTTTTTTTTTTTTTTTTGAGACAGAGTCTCGCTCTGTCACCCAGGCTGGAGTGTAGCAGTGTGATCTCTGCAACATCGGCCTCCTGGCTTCAAGCAATTCTCCTGCTGCAACCTGCCGAGTAGCTGGGATTAAGGTGCTCGCCACCATGCCCAGCTAATTTTTTTGTATTTTTAGTAGAGACAGGGTTTCACCATGTTGGCGAGGCTGGCCTTGAACTCCTGACCTCAGGTGATCTGGCCACCTCGGGCTCCCAAAGTGCTGGGATTACAGGCATGAGCCACCGCACCTGTTGCATATTTTATTTCAGTAATTGCATAGTAAACTTCTAGAAGGCAGAGACTATGTGCCATATGTATTTCCTTATGTATCCTCTTTACTTCTAGCACTACTCATAGAAGGTGTTCAAAAAGTGCCTTCTTAAATTGACATTAATATCTACACAGATTTGAGATAATTAGCCATTTTCCTATTATCTGGGAAGATAATCGTTCCCACCCAAATGTTCGTTAAAAAGACAAATAGTGGCCGGGCGCGGTGGCTTGCACCTGTAATCCCAGCACTTTGGGAGGCCGAGGTGGGCCATATCACCTGGGGTAAGGAGTTGGAGACCAGTCTGGCCAACGTGGCAAAAAACTCATCTCCACTAAAAATACAAAAAAAATTAACCAGGCATGGTGGCAGGCACCTATAATCCCAGCTACTCTACTTGGGAGGCTGAGGCAGGAGAATCACTTGAACCTGGGAGGTGGAGGTTGCAGTGAGCCAAGATCGTGTCACTGACTCCAGCCTGGGCAAACATAGACTCCATCAAAAAAAAAAAAAAAAAGACAAATAGTTCCCTATTATTATGAACTGTTTGAGTAAAGTGCAGCAACATTTGAAGAGAATTCAGAGGTATAACAGATGAAAAGTTTGTAAAAAACAAAAAACCTATATATGTGTGTATATATATATAAAATATATATACATATATATTTATATATATTTTATTTTTTTATATAATATATATAATTTTTTTTTGAGATGAGGTGTTGCTCTGTTGCCCAGGCTGGAGTGCAGTGGCGTGATCTCAGCTCACTGCAACCTCGACCTCCTGGGCTCAAGCGATCCTCCCACCTCAGCCTCCCGAGTAGCTGGGACTACAGGTGCATGCCACCACGCCCGGCTAAATATTTGTATTTTTTGTAGAGACGGGGTTTCACCATGTTGCCCAGGCTGGTCTTGAACTCCTGAGCTCAAGTGACCTACCCACCTCAGCCTCCCAAAGTGCTGGGATTATAGGCATGAGCCACTGCAGCTGGCTAAAACCCTACATTGGAGAGGACAGATTAGTCAAGTAATTGACAAGATAACTAAAATTTCTTAAAAACATGCTATATAGGCTGGGCGCAGTGGCTCACCACTGTAATCCCAACACTTTGGGAGGCCAAGGCAGGAGGATTGCATGAGCCCAAGAGTTCGAGACCAGCCTGAGCAACATGGCAAAACCCCGTTTTTTCAAAAAAATACAAAAAAACTAGGCCTGGGGGCATACATCTATAGTCCCAGCTACTCAGAAGGCTGAGGTGGGAGGATGGCTGGAGCCTGGGAAGTTGAGGCTGCAGTGAGCCAAGATTATGCCACTGCACTCCAGTCTGGGTGCCAGAGTGAGACCCCGTCTCAAACAAACAAACAAAAACCAAAAAACTATATCCCAGGCACTATGCACTTTATCTGAATCTTACTGGGTTACTTCAAGAGTAGAAGACAAAATAGTATAAACAGAGGAATTAAGAGGGTTTTGACATTTTATACATTAATGAGATTACAATAGCAAACCTCCATATAAAATTCTTTCTTCTATTTAAGTCCCGGAAAAGTGTAAAACGGAACGAGTTGGATGCTTCTAGGAGTATATTCTGGAATGGGGGTGTGCAAAGGCTACTTAATACACAGATGAGTGGTTTAGGGAAGATTTAGAAATTGCTGCTAAAACAGCAAAATGCAGTGGGCTTGCACGTGAGGATTGTCAAGGAAGATAAAATGAAGTATCTTTAGCCGAGCTCGGTGGCTCATGCCTGTAATCCCAACACTTTGGGAGGCCAGTGCAGGATAACTTGAGGCCAGGAGTTTGAGTGCAGCATGGGCAACAAGGCAAAACTCCATCTGTACCAAAAATACAAAAATTAGCTGGGCGAGGTGGCACACACCTGTAGCGCCAGCTACTTGGGAGACAGAGGTGGGAGGATCGCTTGAACCCAAAAGGTCGAGGCTGCAGTGAGCTGAGAGAGCTGAGATCATGCCACTGCACTCCAGCCTGAGCGTCGGAGTGAGATCCTGTCTCCAAAAACAAAAAAAGAAAAAGAGAAAGAAAAAAATGAAGTATTTTAGCATAGGCCATCCATCACAGGGGTTTAGGATTGTTTCTCCTCTCTGGTTGATAAAAGACACAAGTGGCCGGGCACAGGTGGTGCACGCCTGTAATCCCAGCACTTTGGGAGGCCGAGGCAGGAGGTGGATCATGAGGTCAGGAGTTTGAGACCAGCCTGGCCAAGATGTTGAAACCCCATCTCTACTAAAAATACAAAAATTAGCCGGGTGCAGTGGCGGGTGCCTGTAATCCCAGCTACTCGGGAGGCTGAGGCAGGAGAATCACTTGAACTCGGGAGGCAGAGGTTGCAGTGAGCCGAGATAGTGCCACTGCACTCTAGCCTGGGCAACAGAGCAAGACCCCGTCTCAAAAAAATAAATAAATAAAAAGACACAAGTGTGACCCCAAGAAGGCATCTGGAAAGGTACTCTTAGTAGAAATGATAGGTTCACAAACAAGGCAAGTATAGGAGTTGGGTGTTCACCTACAAAAGCCATCTGTCCAAGAGCCTGCTTAGATTTGAGGAAAGTAGCTGGTGGGGTGATGGTGTGATTGTAGTAAGGCCAGGGGAGCCACTTCAGGCTTGTGTGGCCAATGTCTATGCCCACGTAGCATATATCCATAAGCTGCATCTCCCTGCACCATAGTCAAAGCCAAGATGAGCTATTAATGGAGTTGAAAAATAGATGGAGGCTAGGCGTGATAGCTCACGCTTGTAATCCCAGCACTTTGGGAGGCCAAGGTGGGCGGATCACCTGAGGTCAGGAGTTTGAGACCACCCTGGACAACATGGTGAAACCCTGTCTCTACTAAAAATATAAAAATTAGCGCCAGGCGTGGTGGCTCACGCCTGTAATCCCAGCACTTCGGGAGGGCGAGGCCGGCGGATCACGAGGTCAGGAGATCGAGACCATCCTGGCTAACACGGTGTAACCCCGTCTCTACTAAAAATACAAAACAAACAAAAAATTAGCCGGGCGTGGTGGTGGGTGCCTGTAATCCCAGCTACTCGGGAGACTGAGGCAGGAGAATGGTGTGAACCTGGGAGGTGGAGCTTGCAGTGAGCCGAGATCGCACCACTGCGCTCCAGCCTGGGTGACAGAGCAAGACTCCGTCTCAAAAAAAAAAAAAAAGAAAAAAATTAGCTGGGCATGGTGGCGCACGCCTATAATCCCAGCTACTCAGGAGACTAACACGGGAGAATCACTTGAGCCTGGGAAGCAGAGGTTGCAGTGAGCCAAGATCACACCACTGCACTCCAGCCTGGGCGACGGAGTGAGACTCCATCTCAAAAAAAAGGAAAAAAAGAAAAACAGATGGAAAAACAGGCCATGGAGGTGAGGAGAATATCACACATCCACAGTTGCATAAATGAAGTTACAGAGTCAAGCGAAAGAACATTGTTTTGAGGTGGAGTAGGTGGGACTTTGCAGGCTCTGTGGAGGTGGCCATTACAAGGGCCTTTACTGCGGGGCTGTGAGCACAGATGTTCAGCTACAACTAAAGAGCAGACCCCCAGGGAGGGGCTGTTTTCAGTCATGCATTTGGTCAGGGAGCCATGAAGGCTTCTCAGGTGATACACTAAGCTTGACTAAAAAAGAAAAACTGAGATTTGCTAGTTTCAGAGGACCTTCTATTTATTTGTTATTTGGGAACTGAAGCTGACCCTACCCTTTTCAAAAGATCATCTTTTCATTGCGTATGGCAATAGTGGCAAGTAGAAATAGGTAATTTCATTTTCTGACCATGTGAGTCTCCTATCACCTTGCAGTGAAATAGAACCAACTAAATATATTTAATTTAATGCTGCTTGTCTATTAAAAGTAAATGAAATGGGGCCTAGCGTGGTGGCTCATACCTGTCATCTCAGCACTTTTGGAGGCCGAGGCAGGCAGATCACTTGAGGTCAGGAATTCAAGACCAGCCTGGCCAACATGGCAAAACCCTGTCTCCACTAAAATCCAAAAAAATAGCTGGGCATGGTGACACACGCCTGTAATCCTAGCTACTTGGGGGGCTGAGGCAGGAGGATTGCTTGAACCCAGGAGGCAAAGGTTGCAGTGAGCCGAGATCACGCCACTGGACTCCAGCCTGGACGACAGAATGAGACTTGGTCTCAAAAAAATAAATACACAAAATAAAGTAAATGAAATGGACTCAAGGTCTGGGGGGCAGGAAAGTCTGCATTAAGCTTTGCTTAAATATAAAAGTTAATTGACACTTGAGCAGAGTAACGGCTGAGCTTCATTAGATCTGCCTTCTGGGAAGACGAAGATTGTGTGGCATGAAACTAATAGGCCACCTAAAGGGATATATTAAGAATTCCCAGGTCGGGCTCAGTGGCTCATGCCTGTAATCCCAGCACTTTGGGAGGCCGAGGCGGGTGGATCACCTGAGGTCAGGAGTTCAAGACCAGCCTGGCCAACATGGTGAAACCCTGCCTCTACTAAAAAAAATACAAAAATTAGCTGGGCATGGTGGCGGGTGCCTGTAATCCCAGCTACTCGGGAGGCTAAGGCAGGAAAATCGCTCTGACCTGGGAGATGGAGGTTGCAGTGAGCCAAGGTCGCGCCATTGCACTCCAGCCTGGGCAACAAGAGCAAAACTCCATCTCAAAAAAAAAAAAAAAAAAATTCCAGCCGGGCGTGGTCGCTCACACCTGTAATCTCAGCACTTTGGGAGTCTGAGACAGGAGAATTGCTTGAGGCCAGGAGTTCGAGACCAGCTTGGGCAACATAGTGGGACCTGATTTCTACAAAAAATTTAAAAATTAGCCAGGCACAGTGCTCATGCCTGTAATCCCAATACTTTAGGAGGTTGAGGTGAGAGGATTGTTTGAGCCTGGGAGTCCAAGGCTGCAATGAGCTATGATTGCACCACTGCACTCCAGCCTGGGTGACAGACCAAAACCCTATCTCAAAAAATATATATATATTTTTAAAAAAGAATCCCACTGCTGTAACCCAGCAACATTTGATGGATCCACATTAGAAGCCAGTGGGCAGCTGCTTTGGCACTTGCTGGGTTTTTATCAGGACTGTTTTTATGTCTAAATCACTGGCATGATCCTTTCCTCAGAAATATCTAGTTAGACTCTTGTATTTTGCCCACTTCACTTCATTAACAGACTCGTTACAGAGCTTTTGGAATAAAAGCCCAAAATTGTTATTAGTTATGGAAAAACTGCTGACGGGCTGAAATCTGTGTTAGACCTTCTCCCTACCTCCTTCCCCATTTTACCCCTTCTGAGTACAGTTTTTTTTTTTTTGAGACAGCATCCTGCTCAGTCGCCCAGGCTAGAGTGCAGTGGCATGATCTTGGCTCACTGCAACCTCCGCCTCCCAGGTTCAGGCAATTCTCCTGCCTCAGCCTCCCAAGTAGCAGGGATTACTTGCGTTCATCACCATGCCCAGCTAATTTTTGTATTTTTAGTAGAGACAGGGTTATGCCATGTTGGCCAGGGTGGTCTCAAACTCCTGATCTCAAGTGATCTGCCCACCTCAGCCTCCCAAAGTACTGGGATTACAGGCATGAGCCACCTCGCCCAGCCCTGAGTACACATTTCTGTCAACTACTTGTAGAAAGGTTGAAAATACAGTGTGTTGTACACTTTCATTTAGTGTGTTTGAACTAACCAAACCACTAAGCAAATGAAAACCTCTTTTACTTGAGAGACTTTTGCTTTCAGATTGTAAAACACATGAGTGACTTAAAACTTTCAACTTCAACTAAAAGCTTTACAAAGAGAAGGAGGAATAAAAGCCTTTGAAGTCCTTTCTCTTATAAAAAGCACAACTTGCTTAGTTTTTATTTATTCTGTTAGCATCCTCGTGAAGTAAATGGCTATGTTCCCCACTTTGGATAGCACCGTGGATTACAAAGACTGTCAGCTAGAGATGGAATCCTAAGCTCCTCACTCCCAATACTAGCTCATTTTTCCTGAACTGGATATCTGCTCTCTTTTTTTTCTTTTTTTTGAGACGGAGTCTCGCTCTGTCGCCCAGGCTGGAGTGCAGTGGCGTGATCTCGGCTCACTGCAAGCTCCACCTCCTGAGTTCACTCCATTCTCCTGCCTCAGCCTCCCGAGTAGCTGGGACTACAGGCGCCTGCCACCACGCCGGCTAATGTTTTTGTATTTTTAGTAGAGACGGGGTTTCACTGTGTTAGCCAGGATGGTCTCGATCTCCTGACCTCATGATCTACCCACCTTGGCCTTCCAAAGTACTGGGATTACAGGCGTGAGCCACCGCGCCCGGCCTATCTGCTCTCTTAAAGAATGTTCCAGCTGCTTTACTTAATTGTAGTCAGCTTGAAATTACATTTGTTTAACTGCACCAAGGACCCAAGAGAGAACTGTAAAATCTTTACCTTTCTAATAACTTTCATCTCATTCCTCTCATCTGTTCTCCAAACTTGCTTACATGGCCTTGTTCTCATCTGGTCTGAAAAACCTTAACCAGGCCGGGCGCAGTGGCTCACTCCTGTAATCCCACCACTTTGGGAGGCCAAGGTGGGTGGATCACCTGAGGTTGGGAGTTCGAGACCAGCCTGACCAACATGGAGAAACCCCGTCTCTACTAAAAATACAAAATTAGCCAGGCGTGGTGGTGCTTGCCTGTAATCCCAACTACTTGGGAAGTTGAGGCAGGAGAATCGCTTGAACTCAGGAGGCGGAGGTGGCAGTGAGCCGAGATTGCGCCATTGCACTCCAGCCTGGGTGACAGAGCGAAAAACTCTGTTTCAAAAAAAAAAAAAAACCTTAGCCAAATTGCAGACAAACAGTATTTTCTTGATTTTGTATCCAAAAATAAAAGGAGAGAGAACACCTTGGTTTTTATTGTGAGAGTGTAGTTGACTCTTAGCTATTAATAGACAAATAAATACACATATTAAATAAGATGGCTGCCCTACATTAATATCTAGGGACCAGAGGATTTTTTTAAACCTACTCCAGAGGTCTCAAGACAGAAGGGAATAATAATTCTAATATTATAAAAATAGGCAGTTCTGTAACACTTCTTAATCACTAGTATCTCCATAGATCACATTAGACATTATACGGCAGTTAACATGACATGCTTTTAGCAAGTCTCACTGCCTTCTTATGAAGGGATAATTCTGGACAATTTTATTTGGAGATTAGGTAAATAGTAACTACTGGAAGATAATTCACATATCTTTTCTTATGAGGTCTGCTAAAATTGCTTCTTTTTTATGGTTTTGATATATTTTGCTTTATGGTGATATTTAAAATAGGAATAGTTCTGAGGAATAAAGTTCACCTTTATTCTTTTTCCCAAGTCAGGAATAGACTAAAATATAAGAACACAAGCTTTTCTTTCCAAATTGCCAAAAAGGAATGACAGAATTAACTTCTCCCGGTTACACCAGGTGAGATTGCCTAAGAGTCCTAGATAGGCAAGTTGTGTTGAACAGACTCTCTCTCTTTCCATGAAAGCCTCAATATTTAGACAACATCAATAGAAAAAAATAACTTTTGAGCTCAAGTTGGAGACGAAACTGAATTACTGACTCATCTTGAAAGGTACATATCCTTTTAGGTGTCTTTTTACTAATCCAATGGTGAATCCAAGAAAGAGGATAGAATGTTTATTCTTAGTATGTTCTAAATCTAGCTGGTTTCTAAGTTTCTTTGGAGACCAGAAGTATCACTGATGAGAAAGGTCTTCCCCTTGATAATTATATGCTAGTACATAACTTGTTCCTTAGTGCTATGTCTGCCCATAGCTCCTAGGTCTGAAAACATGCACCTACCCGAAAGAATTCAATAACTATTACAGTTGGCCCTTGGCCAGGCACAGTGGCTCATGCTTGTAATCCCAGCACTTTGGGAGGCCGAGGCGGGAGGATCACTTGAGGTCAGGAGTTCAAGACCAGCCTGGCCAACATGGTGAAACCCCATCTCTACTAAAAATACAAAAATTAGCCAGGCGTGGTACTGGGCACTTGTAATCCCTGCTACTCAGGAGGCTAAGGCAGGAGAATCTCTTGAACACAGGAAGCAGAGGCTGCAGTGAGCCAAGATCACGCCACTGCACTCCAGCCTGAGACTCTTGTCTCATATTAAAAAAAAAAAAAAAAAGGAAAGTACCAATTGGCCCTGGTCCTGGTGCAGTGTAACCAGCATGGAGAAATTAAGTATTTCACTTCTGCAAAGGGACAAGGAAGTATTCCCCCATCAAATTCATTTTTTTTTTTTGTTTTCTCTACCCAGTAATTTATATCCAATGTGTCATCTTGGATATTGTGAAGATGGACTTAAAACAGCTTATTTTTCCTTTCCTTGAGGGATATGTAGCTAAGAGTAGACTTTAACATGAACCACCTCCATTCCCAATCACAGTATGAGTCATAATAGCCATAATGTTAGTTACTGTAATCCAAGCATGATAACTCATGATGTGGTATCAGAACCATCATTTGTCTTTTGATCATATACTGGCCCTGATAACATAATTTTGCTATTTGAGTTGTATGTATCCATTTCTCATGGTATGAAGGAAACACTAACACTAGGATCAGAGCCGTTCTCACACAGAGATAAGAGTTTGTTTTCAGCAAAACCATCTGAGGAAGCTTCTAACCTTCTAATTACATCTCTATTAGAAGGCAGTTAAGGAATATAGACATTAGGCTGGGCGCAGTGACTCACACCTGTAATTCCAACACTTTAGGAGGTCGAGGTAGGGGGATCCCTTGAGAGCAGGAGTTGCAGATCAGCCTGGACAACACAGTGAGACCCTGTCTATACAAAAAATAAAAATATTGCCAGGCATGATGGTGCACACCTGTAGTCCCAGCTACTCTGGAAGCTGAGGTGGGAGGATTGCTTGAGACTGCGAGGTTGAGACTGGAGTAAGCCATGATCACACCACTGCACTCTAGCCTGGAGGAGAGAATGAGACCCTGTCTCAAAAAGAAAAAAAAAGAAAAAGGACATTAGAGTTAGATGTGGGTTTGAATACTTGGTTCCACCGTTAACCTTAGTTTTCTCCTAAGTAAATATAGATAGTAATCCCTACCACACGGAGTTTTGCAGAGAATTAAGGTGAGGTGATAACTACAAAACACCATAGAGCCTGGAGCTTGCAAGTGTCAAACTATTATTAGTGTTTGGTAGCTGGCATATAATAGATGCCCAATGAATGTTTGCTGAATGAATGACTAAGGGGATCACATGAAGCCTACTCCACATCAAGTCTTTCACTGCCCAAGGTCTAGGAGTGCAGGTCAGCTCACCATTTAGTTCCTCCCACATCACTGTATCCTATCTCAGAACCTGAGCCTGTATGCCTGCGTACTTTCCTTTCTATCTTCAGCAGGAAAGGGCCTGGCTATTGTCAGACATTTCACTAGGGCTTTTTATTATTCCCTCTTGCTGTCTGGTGAATGAGGACTGTAGTTTCTACTCTGACTGAGATAATAGAAACCTCAAGAAACCCAACTCTCTTTTCTCCTTATGCCTGGTCTCCTGGAAATAAAAGGGCACTTAGTATACTAACTCTTCAGTAGCCTCATGGATCCCAAGCAGAGTTCATGAGAAGTAAATGCAAAATCAAGGATAGGCCTGGGGCCTTGGGGTACTACATTTAAAAAAAAACTGGACTGGCCAGGCATGGTGGCTCACGCCTGTAATCCCAGCACTTTGGGAGGCCGAGGCGGGCGGATCATGAGGTCAGGAGATAGAGACCATCCTGGCTAACACGGTGAAACCCCGTCTCTACTAAAAAATACAAAAAAATTAGCTGGGCATGGAGGCGGGTGCCAGCACTGTACTCCAGCCTGGGTGACAGAGTGAGACTCTCTCTCAAAAAAAAAAAAACTGGACCAAGAAGACTACATGAATATTATTTGTTGTAAATTAGCAGTGTGTTTCAGGAAGTTTGTTCTTCTGCAGAAGTGAGTTCATATCCATTCTTCTTCTAGTCCACTATTCAACCAGTTGTTAATTTTCTCATGGCTAATTATGATAAACATTATAAAGAAAGTCAAGGAAGAACTTCCAGGGTACGTTTTGGAAGAAGAGTGGATGAAAGATGGGGTTAGAGAGATTGTTATTTAGAAGGATGATTTGAAGCACTTGTTTATAGTCAGAGATAAGACACTGAGTCAAGACCATAATGCTAATACATTAAGGTACAGAGACTTGGCCCAGATTTGTTGCCCTGTCTTCATCCCATCACTTTGCCCCTTCTTGCCTCTATCTTCCCAATCCTGATGGAAGGTTGTAAATGGATTTGAGAGTCTGCAGTTACATTTGTGAAGTAGCAGTTGATCACCTTTTGAAAGGAGTCAAGACTAGGAGGATTTAAGAGGAGCAAGTGATGCTGTCTAGAGCATCTGGCTTACTGCCCAGGAAGAGCAGCTGCACCCAGAAGCTGTTGGAGGCAGCAAGCTGACTTGGAGATGAATGACTCCACCACAGGGTACCTGCCTGTCTCCTACCTTTGAATGGTCTGACCTTCCAACCAGCTTGCCTGGGGATATGCTGCCCAGCTGGTGGCCTGACTATTTTTCCTTGTGACCACCAGGGGATCAAGTATTTGCTGGGCTAGAAGAGCAAGCCCGCCAGGCGATGATGAAAACTGATTTTCCTGGAGACCTTGGCAGTCAGCGACAAGCTATCCAACAACTAAGAGATCAGGACTCCAGTAGCAGTGAGTTCTGCACCTTCTGGTAATGACTCAGGGCAATGGGAGAAGAATTATCAGAGTGTGTGTGCTCTGGGGATTGTGCATGGGGGTTGGGAGAAAGACATGAAAAAGGAGATATGTGGATCCTCAGTGTCCCCAAAGGTGGTCTAAGGTGTGTGGGCATGTGTTTATCCAGAAAAAGAGGACAGGTTTGGCATTTTATTTATATATATATACTTTTTTTTTTTTGTGACAGAGTTTCGCTCTTGTTGCCCAGGCTGGAGTGCATTGGCATGATCTCAGCTCACTGCAACCTCCACCTCCCAGGTTCAAGCGATTCTCCTGCCTCAGCCTCCTGAGTAGCTGGGATTACAGGCATACACCACCATGCCCAGCTAATTTTGTATTTTTAGTAGAGACGGGGTTTCTCCATGTTGGTCAGGCTGGTATCGAACTCCTGACCTCAGGCGATCCACTCACCTCGGCCTCCCAAAGTGCTGGGATTATAGGCGTGAGCCACTGCACCTGGCCGATATATATATTTTTAACTTATGGACTACAGTACTTGGCACAGTGCCACATACAGATAGGTTTGTTGGTTGTGATAGGCAAGGATATAGGAATAAATAGTGCTCAAGCAGTCCCTGGGTTAGGTCAAATGAAAAGAAAAAAAATCCCTGTCTCCTAGGATCTATGTATTTGTAATCAATAAAATATAAGGGTGGCATTAATGAAACCTTGCTTGAAGGCCCAGTTTTAATGTTAAACAAGAAGATTTGCTTAGTAATGAGGTTATGCAGTGTATAAAATGCTAACGTCAAGGTCTTCCCATACCAATTCCCTAAGAAGATCCCTGTGGTTACGACAGTAGCTGTTACAAGTTGAGCCTCATGGATTGTCTGTCTGTCCTGTGACCTGTCTGAACAAACACGTCTTGAGATGTGTTTTCCTAGGAAGATTTCAGCACTTTCCCCACCTCATCCATTTGATATTGGTTATTATTAGTATGAATTCAGAATGACTTTTCCAATTTTTCACCACATTTGAGGCTGGGTTGGGTGAAAATGGAGAGAGGACTCTGCAACCTTCTAGGAACTTGTTTCCACCCAAGCTAATAATTAAGCAACATCAACAACATAAAATAACTTAGCAATTAATTGCTCGGGCACAAAAAAATGAACCCAAACATGTCTGGAAAACCTATGGAAGCCACCACTTTCTTGAGTAGCAGGTGGGAATTACAATATCTGCAAACATCTAATAGTTTTCCATTCTGAAGGATGTACTATCCCTCTAGACAGTACACATTTTTAAAAAATTTTTCTAGTAGCGAGATATATTTGGATTATTGCAAAATTACAAAAATATGTTTGATATATCACTTTATATTATATAAAGTTTACAAGTATTTCAGATAAGCTGGGGAGAAAACATGGTATGATGTAATCTGTGCCAATCCTTCATTATTGAGTTGGATTCAAATGAAAGGAGCTTTGGGCTGGGAAATAAGACACACAAACCATAGCTCTTTCCAGGCCCCAAATCCAGTCCACCAGTTGCCTGGAGTATTTATCTAATAAGGACACATGTAACTACTAGCAGATGATTTGGTTAGACCTTCTCATGAAGAAAGGGAATATAACTAGTTTTGCCCAGGAAGAAGGGAAATATGTTGCTCTCATACTGGTGGATTTAGATATTATGCAAGGGTAGTAGAGAAGACAGGCACACTGTTAGCTAGGAAATCTGAGTTTCCTGCGGACAGCCTGGTGAGACTCTGCCCTATATTTCTCTCTTGCTCACATCAGGCCCAGAAGTCCAGGATCCAGGTGGGGTTAAGATAGGGCTGGAGTGTGACAGCTTCCCTAGGCTTGGCTACTTCTTGTGATCTTCAAGGTACTAGCACTTTATTTTTTCCCTTTCAGAAAGAACTACGTTCGTTATTTGTTTTTCTGATCTGTTTTCATTTTCTATTTTATAAGTAATAGAGAAGAAAAATCAGCTCACATAAACCTTGCAGACTCCCCAGCCACAGGCAGACCTCCTCATAGCCACATCCTACCCCTAAAACTAAAACAAACTCAATTCCTATGTTAGTCACAAGAAATTACATTTCATCCTAAAGAATGGCCCGTTCCTTCCACTTAATGCATTCGGTTACCCATTGAGATAATCCAAATAATCAACAGAAACAATGGACTTACTTAGTTTAGAATGCCATGTTACAATAGTAGAGTAAGAACCGAGTGAGTCGGATACCACTGCAAAGTGCCTGAGGTTGGTTGCTGTGCTAATTTTTCCACTGTAATGAGCAGCCCTTTCCCTATAAAGTGACATCATTTCAAACTCATTTACTACTGCTTCCATTGCTGGTAAGAGGGAAGAAAAACTTGATGTTTCTGTAAGTGTGCCTTGAGGTTTGCTGGGAAAGAAGAGATTAGTGGGGTTCAGAGTAGAATAGTATAGTGACACCGTGGAGAAGTTGTGCAGGGGGCTCATGGCAAAATCAGTGGAAAGTGTTGGTAAGTCAGAGGTGGTGTACAGTGGGAATGAGCTCAGTGTAAGGTGCTTGGGGAGGTGTGATTTGAAGTGTGAGATATTTGAAAACCATGAGTCAGAAAGATTATTTTTATAATCATGTAGAGGGCACGATAACCATTTCCAATGCAGTTTTGCTTCACATCTTCCCTTTACGTGTATATGGCATAACAAATGACAGCTATAGTTGGTTTCCACTTGACATAATATGTACCCAACAAAACTATATAAACTATATTATGGAAGATCTGAAAATGTTTTCTATTGTAACTGCCAACTCTAGGGTGGAGAGCAGCTCAGGATGTATTCATGCAAAAATCAGAACAAGTGACCAGTTTGTGTGTTCCAGGTGACAGTGAGGGTGATGAAGAGGAGACGACACAAGATGAAGTCTCTTCCCACACATCAGAGGAAGATGGAGGGGTGGTCAAAGTGGAGAAAGAGTTAGAAAATACAGAACAGCCTGTTGGTGGGAACGAAGTGGTAGAGCACGAGGCAAGTGACGATGGCCCCTGGGTCCAGGTCCAGCAATGCCCTACCCTTCTGCCTGCCCTGATGCTGCTCACCCCTGTGGCACAGTCTTGCCTCTGATGGTCTCCTGGGCCTGCATGGGAGGCCTCTTCCTTCATGGCACCAGAACCCACACCTCAGACTCTCAGTTCTCGCCACACTCAGTTTTCCTTTTCCATCCACGAATCGCTGCGCCTGTGCACAGCTCTCTTTCCTGCAGCTCCCCACGTCTTTCCAGACATGAGAGAAACTTTGTTGAAGTAGAAAGCTGACTTCCCAAGGTGGACTCTTGAATGTGCTTGCAAATCTAAGTCAAGGTGTCACCTGGAGTGCCACCTTCTCACTAACTTGTTTCCTGAGGATTCCTGAAAGGAACATGACAGGAAAAACGCTACCCCTGTCTGCAGAGTTTATCTTCAGGGAAAAAAATTGATTGGCTCTCTCTGAGGCAATCCTGTGTCCTCATGGCTGAAAGCCATAATTCCCTCTCAACTATTACTTTTTCCTTCAGCCCACAAAGGGAAGCTAAGAATAACATGCGCCATCAGTCTGGGTTCCTTTTAACAGGATACCCTGTTTAAAAAGCTGGGGCAGGGAAGAGATGAGTAAAGAGTCCTAATGAGTTGCCTATTTGTTGAATCACAGGTCACAGGGAATTTGAATTCTGACCCCTTGCTTGAACTCTGCCAGTGTCCCCTCTGCCAGCTAGACTGCGGGAGCCGGGAGCAGTTGATTGCTCACGTGTACCAGGTATGGATGGGGGAGCTGTGTGCTCTGGAACACAAGTGTGGGCAGCTTGTCTGTAGCCCAGATCCTGGTTTGGCCTTTGTCTCTCTCTGGCTCCTGAAGGAGTCTTGGGTTGTCACTTCTATTAAGATTCGTCTTAGGGAGGCTGGGCGCAGTGGCTCACGCCTGTAATCCCAGCACTGTGGGAAGCCGAGGCGGGTAGATCACTTGAAGTCAGGAGTTCGAGACCATCCTGGCCAACATGGCGAAACCCTGTCTCTACCAAAAATACAAATATTAGCCAGGTGTGGTGGCATGCGCCTGTAGTCCCAGCTACTCGGGATGCTGTGACAGGAGAATTGCTTGAACCCAGTAGGCGGAGGTCGCAGTGAGCCAAGATCACGCAATTACACTCCAGCCTGGGTGACAGAGTTAGACTCTGTCTCAAAAAGAAAAAAAAAATTCAGCCCAAAGCCAGGTGTGGTGGCTCACACCCAGAATTCCAGCACTTTGAGAGGCTGAAGTGGGGAGGATTGCTTAACCTCAGGAGTTCAAGACCAGCCTAGGCAACATAGCAAGACCCCAGCCCTACAAAATTTTTTTTTAAATTAGTTGGGCATGGTGGCTTGCACCTGTAGTACCAGTTACTTGGAAGACTGAGGTGGAAGGATAGCTTGAGCCTAGGAGGTTGAGGCTGCAGTGATCATGCTTCAGCTAGGGTGACAGAGTGAGACTGTATTAAAAAAAAAAAAAAAAAAAAGAGATTCTGCTCCAAGCTTCCAACATTTTAGAAAATAAATGAGATATATTAGATAAACACATTCTGGGTTTCCGGGCAGACACACTGTGAAAATTAAGTGATTTTTTTTCTAAATTATTTAATGTATATTTTAAATAGTGAAATAGAAACTAATGTATACTAATAATGAGGGCTTTGTGTTAAAGAAAAGAAAATTAGTTAACATGGGCCAGGCGCAGTGGCTCACGCCTGTAATCCCAGCACCTTGGGAGGCCAAGGTGGGCGGATCACTTGAGGTCAGGAGTTTGAGACCAGCCTGGCCAACATGGTGAAACCCTGTCTCTAATAAAATACAAAAAAAATTATCCAGGTGTGGTGGCGCACGCCTATAATCCCAGCTACTCGGGAAGCTGAGGCAGGAGAATGGCTTGAACCTGGGAGGCGGAGGCTGCAGTGAGCTGAGATTATGCCACTGCACTCCAGCCTGGGTGACAAAACGAGACGTGTCTTAAAAAAAAAAAATTAGTTAACACAAATGGTATGTTAAAAATTAGTGTGAACCAGGGGATCCGAATACCAGACTTTTGTGTTCTTTTTACCATGATCCAATCACAGGGCACCTGTACCTCCTGGTCGGTGTTGACAAGGTATCAGCACACATGGCAGCCTGGGCTGTACCATAAAGATAGTTGGTTCATGAGGACAAGTATTTCTTCAGAAGACTATCTTGAAAAGATTGAGAAAGCAAGATATAAATACCTGTTGCATACCAGTATTCCAGGCCAGCTTCTAGATTTGGCCTTTATTGTTCCCTTAACACGTAATTTGTACCTGCACAGTGTGAGCCAGGGAGACAGAGAGAAATTATCCGAGACATGAATTCCTCTTAGGCTCTGAAGAGGGCTCTGGCGCCCCACTGTTGTTGTTGTTTTGTTTTGTTTTGTTTTTGAGACAGAATTTCGCTGTATTACCTAGGCTGGAGTGCAGTGGTGTGATCTTGGCTCACTGTGAACTCCACCTCTCAGGTTCAAGTGATTCTCTTGCCTCAGCTTCCCAAGTAGCTGGGACTACAGGCACCTGCCCCCACACCAGGCTAATTTTTGTATTTTTAGTAGAGATGGGGTTTCACCATATTGGCCAGGCTGGTCTTGAACTCCTGACCTCGTGATCCACCTGCCTCGGCCTCCCAAAGTGTTGGGATTACAGGCATGAGCCACTGTGCCTGGCTCCCACTGTTCCTTAAGTCAGCCACATGTCCCAGAACGTAGGCAGAGCTCAAGCTAATGAAATCTAAGCAGTGGTCTAAATGGCCAGGGCCTCTAATGTAAGAGACTGACTTTTCTAGGGGCTAAACAGAATACTTGGAAGTTCCTTATTCTGAGACTAAAGAAAGGGGACATTTCCCAAAAGTCATTTCTAAGTGGGTGCAGATTGTCCTGGAGGTAGCGCAAGACTGACAGATCAAGGCTCTGTTTTACAGCACACTGCAGCAGTGGTGAGCGCCAAGAGCTACATGTGTCCTGTCTGTGGCCGGGCCCTTAGCTCCCCGGGGTCATTGGGTCGCCACCTCTTAATCCACTCGGAGGACCAGCGATCTAACTGTGCTGTGTGTGGAGCCCGGTTCACCAGCCATGCCACTTTTAACAGGTCAGCTGGGCACTTATCCCTGTTGTGCTGGGAGCAAATTACTGGGTGTGAGTTCTGCTTTCTGAAGTCAAAGCGAAGGCTAGAAATAGGTAATGCAAAGGCAGCTGATGCATGCTCCTTGGAAGTACAAGTAAGAAGGCTAGGAAATATGCCTATTCCCTCACATAGCCCCAAAGGAAAATGAATTCCCATTTATTTTCCCATCAGAATATCTTCAACTAGAAAGAGATGTAGGCAATTCCAAGAACACTCATGATAAAGCATGGAGAAAGAAGTTATAGGGTAGAGAGGACCCTGGCATGAGGATGCAGTCTCCATCGTGTCCTAGGAAGACTGGAACGTTGTGTCCTTGTCCCGTTTGTCTAGTGTACAGTGCAGAGTCTGCCTTTGCATGCAGGTAGTGTGAGGGAAGGAGGTGAGTTGGTGGTCTGCACCTTGCCTGAAGGAGGTCTCCACCTCCAGGAGCCTCCATTCCCACAGCAGGACTGCCCCTGCAAAGCTCTTATCAAAATCATTATTCTGGCTTGAGTGAAAACACCAAGGGTTTGTCTGATTTCTGGTGCATTGCTGTGGCAGGTGGCTCAGTTAACTCCAGATGGGCTTTTAGAGTTGGTAGACACCCGGCCGGGCACAGTGGCTCACGCCTGTAATCCCAGCACTTTGGGAGGCCGAGGCGGGTGGATCACAAGGTCAGGAGTTTGAGACCAGCCTGACCAATGTGGTGAAACCCCGTCTCTACTAAAAATACAAAAATTAGCCGGGCGTGGTGGCGTGCGCCTGTAATCCCAGCTACTCAGGAGGCTGAGGCAGGAGAATGGCTTGAACCTAGGAGGCGGAGGTTGCAGTGAGCTGAGATTGCACCATTGTACTCCAGCCTGGGCGACAGAGCAAGACTCTGTCTCAAAAAAAAAAAAAAAAAGTTGGTAGACAACTCTCACGCGAAGAGAAGGGATGGAGCAGCAGAAGAGGTCCACCAAGCATTCAAACTGACCCCTTGTGGTGAGCGTGGAGCCACTGGCCTCATAGGAAAAGAATAAGGCAGGGCTGGAGTCCCGACTCTTGCTAGAAGGAAACACTAACCATCCAAAATGTTTCCTTTCCAGTGAGAAACTTCCTGAAGTACTAAATATGGAATCCCTACCCACAGTCCACAATGAGGGTCCCTCCAGTGCTGAGGGGAAGGATATTGCCTTTAGTCCTCCAGTGTACCCTGCTGGAATTCTGCTTGTGTGCAACAACTGTGCTGCCTACCGTAAACTGCTGGAAGCCCAGACTCCCAGTGTACGCAAGTGGGCTCTACGTCGACAGAATGAGCCTTTGGAAGTACGGCTGCAGCGGCTGGAACGAGAGCGCACGGCCAAGAAGAGCCGGCGGGACAATGAGACCCCCGAGGAGCGGGAGGTGAGGCGCATGAGGGACCGTGAAGCCAAGCGCTTGCAGCGCATGCAGGAGACAGACGAGCAGCGGGCACGCCGGCTGCAGCGGGATCGGGAGGCCATGAGGCTGAAGCGGGCCAATGAAACCCCGGAAAAGCGGCAGGCCCGGCTCATCCGAGAGCGAGAGGCCAAGCGGCTCAAGAGGAGGCTGGAGAAAATGGACATGATGTTGCGAGCTCAGTTTGGCCAGGACCCTTCTGCCATGGCAGCCTTAGCAGCTGAAATGAACTTCTTCCAGCTGCCTGTAAGTGGGGTGGAGTTGGACAGCCAGCTTCTGGGCAAGATGGCCTTTGAAGAGCAGAACAGCAGCTCTCTGCACTGAACCACACCCTCCTGCCTGCCCTCCTTCCCACCTACCTACCCACCCACCCACACCCACAGCCACGAGGACCAGTGCTGCTGCCACCCACGAGGCCCTGTCCTTGCTGCCAGAGGCAGGCCTGGGTTTATTGCAGGTGGACCTGAGCAGCCCTTGCATATGGGAACAGGATGATGGGGTCAGGAGGGACCTGGCTCAAGGCAGCTCTGGACAAGGGAGCAGGCAGTCCAGAGAACTGGCCTCCCCAGCCCACTGCCACAGGCTGTGCTTCTAGGACTGTGGGGCCCCTGTGTGGCCCATGAAGTTGTGAAGTCAAATAAATTAATTTTATCTTTACTGCCCCTTTCTTGCTTTTCTCTCAATGTCATTCTAGCAAATGAAGTGATCTAGGAGAAACCTGGGTGGAAATTTTCAGACAGTGGCTTCTGGTGGCTTGCCGTTTTCTTAGGGAGGATGCTCCTCAGCTTAGGCTGTCCAAGCAGAGGTCCTTATTTGGGCCTTTACAAGTTGCCGAGGAATTAGCATGACACCGAAGAAAGAACCGATGTTGACTGTGATGATTATTCCCACAACCATAATGAAGATACCTGTGGTCCCAAGGGCTGTTTAAACCTAGCTTACCTTTTCCAAACTCAGAAGAAGTCTCTTCTCATAACTGCTGTTTTCTAAAGACTATGCAATACCTTCAACTAGGTGTGCAACTTTTCCCAGCAATATTGTCGAACATTTACAATTCTAGACAGTAGTCAGCTGCATCTAGGAATAGGCTCATAGAAATAGCTGCAATATTAAGGTGCACAGCACCAAGAAACTCATGTTTGCATTTTATTTGTGTTTTATTTGTTCACCAGAGGCAAGGAAGGAAAATAAGCTCACTGAAGAAAATCCAGAATTAAGGTGGTAAGAGAGCTCAGGTTAAGGCTAGGGCAAAATGATTACTCTGGCAGGTTGTATGACTGCCAAACCATGGAGGAGACAAGAGCTGAGGTCATTTCTAAAAAGTTTCTGTGATGGTACAGAACAGGCACAGAACCTTCCTAGCCTGCACCAAAGGTTGTGTTCAGTTTAGATAATTATAGATCTTGAGGTCCAGAAGGAAGTGCCCTAGTTAAATTGTAGCCAGAAAAATAACTATGCCAGGAATGCGGACTTCTTCCAATATCTTAACAGGGAAACTTGGATTCCTCTCTGACCTCCATAGGTCCAAGGCTGTTTAACAGTGTCAACTGACCCCCGCCAAACTAGGGGTTTTGTTTTTTGTTTTTTGTTTGTTTTTTGAGACGGAGTCTCGCTCTGTTGCCCAGGCTGGAGTGTAATGACGTGATCTTGGCTCACTGCAACCCCTGCCTCCCGAGTTCAAGCAATTCTGCCTCAGCCTCCCGAGTAGCTGGTGTTACAGACACGTGCCACCACACCCGGCTACTTTTTGTATTTTTAGTAGAGACAGGGTTTCGCCATGTTGGCCAGGCTGGTCTTGAACTCCTGACCTCAGGTGATCCCCTGCCTTGGCCTCCCAAAGTGCTGGGATTACAGGCGCGAGCTACGTAGAACCCTGCCTGGAGTTTGCTTTTTTGAGAAAGGATATCACTCTGTCACCTAGGCTGGAGTACAGTGACAAGATCATAGCTCACCATAACCTCTAACTCCTGGACTCAAGTGATCCCCCTGCCTCAGCCTCCCAAGTAGCTGGGACTATAGGTGTGCACCACCACACCCAGCTAACAAACTAAGGTACTTTCACCAAGCAGGCTAAAATATTTGTTTTGAAAAATACATTTAAAAGAAAATACTTAGTTGGCGTGCTTGTAATCAATCCCAGCTACTCGGGAGGCCGAAGACGAGAATCACTTGAACCCGGGAGGTGGAAG
This sequence comes from Homo sapiens, assembly GCF_000001405.40. Classification (NCBI taxonomy): domain Eukaryota; kingdom Metazoa; phylum Chordata; class Mammalia; order Primates; family Hominidae; genus Homo; species Homo sapiens. The sequence goes on along the minus strand of NC_000016.10, from coordinate 71,858,152 downwards.
TTGCAGTGAGCTGAGATTGTGCCACTGCACTCCAGCCTGTCAACACAGTGAGACTCTATCTAAAAAAAAAAAAACAACAACAAAAAAAAACAAACAAAAACTGTTTAATTTACTTAATTGACCCAAATGCCTTTCTCCCAGAGCTCCATACTGGAGTCCTACTTGGGATGCTTTAAAATGACTGAGTCCTCACCATGTGCCACAGATGATTCTAAGCGCTTTACATAGATGATCTCAATCTTCACAAGAAACTCTGAATTCATACAAACTCAAGAGTTGCACCTCTGGGTTCAGAAGTGCCCTGCCACACTAGCTGTGTAACTTTGGGGAGGTTACTTAACCTCTATGTCTTGGCTTCCCCATCCACAAAATGGAAATAATACTAGCAAAAAAAGCTTGTCCGTACATACAAAGCACTTAGGATATTTTGTAGCCCATAATAAGTGTTCCATAAATGCCATTACTAGTGGCAAGCTTTCTAAATTTTAGGCAGTAGCTATGATTGGGGCTGACTTATTCCAGCAATTTCTGGCAGTATTCCTGAGTAAAGAATTGGGGAGAAGGCCAGCAGCGAAGGCACCTACAGATCCTTGTGATTCCACTAGAATCTAAGTGTTCAGGTAGACTTCCGGGTCTCTGAAATCCACACCAACAGAGGGGAAAGACCATGCTTGAGGACAAGCTCATGCCATCTCCCTTGAGCTCACCGCACAAATAAAGCCACCATTTGTGTTCCATTACAACTGCTCCCACAAAGGTTTCTATCCCCCACCCCATGGCCACCATCTAAGGCTGGGATAGGAAGAAGGCGCAAACACCAAAAGGAAAAGCTAGTAGTTTATATAGATAGATATATAGATATATAGATATTGATAGATATTGTGTTTACATAGTCCACAAGTTAAATGCAGGTATCCATAAGAAGAGCATTAACAATAAAAATACAATCTGTGTGTAGCCAAGTACAGAGACTTAAAATGGTAAAACAGCAAAAAGGATCTCACAAAAGTACAAATATACAGTACAAATTGATTTATTTAAAACAGTTACAAAAAAGCACAACAAAATAGAGATTATCCTTAGAATTATTAATGCTTTGTTAAAGATCAGGTAGGATTAGAGGGTAAGAAATGGTATTGGGTGGAGGGAGCACCTGACTAGTTCTAAGGCTTTAGATACAATGCAGTTGATTACATATTAATTCAGCCATTACATACTGGGGATAGTAGATGGGGGATCAGTAATTTATCTACAGGGAACTCCTACACAGATCCATCCAGACCTCCCCAGTGCCATCCTTCTCCACTCCTTAGGACCCTAAAGCCACCTGGATGACAACATTCCCATCCTTTCTCCACCCCATTCCCTATCCGTATATTCTTCCCTCGCCTAAGGTGCTGTGCAAGCTGAGAGCAGTCTGCTCTCTGCAGCTGGATCATATACTGTTTTGGCTACAGGGATCCTGTGTGACTAAGAAGGTTGTAGGGGACAGCCTTATTTTAATACTTTAAGTTAGCCATGAGTACAGTCAGTCCCTCCCCCAACACAATCTAGATTCTCTTGAATGCAAGTATCAGTCAAGTGAGGGATCAACCCTGCCTTCAGCAATACCAGCAATGCACTAACCACTCACAGCTCACAACTACGTGCAAACTCCCTGCCCAGGGGGTGGGTGTAAAACCACTGTGTCATCAGCTCACACTCTTTCTCTGAAGAACCTCAGTCCCCATGACAGTCATAAAGACAAATAAATGCTTGCAAGTTTGACAACAGGTAAAGGCACATGGGCTGCTGCCACACACACTGCAGGCAAGAACCCAATTTGAGGCCATCTTCACTGCTGGGCATTTGCAGTGGAATGGCTTTGGGATCACAAAACTTTGAGTTCGCAATCTACCAGGGAGGGATCTAGGTTTAACTGGAGAACTAATAAAGAAACCTTTAGTGTGAAAAGTGCATTTATGACTATTGTTCCTGCTGGGGAGGCAGCAGGGCAAACCGCAACACCTCTCCTCCTTCCGCCCCAGGCACTGTGCATGGTCTGCAGCTAAGGAGAGAGTGCAGTCGACTCTAGCATCTCTGGGGCCAGTGTCATCCTAGGCACAGACCAGGCTTCTGGTCCAAAGATGGATCCTAGAGTTGAAAGAGCAACTGACAGCTGCAAAGACCCAGATGCTTATTTTATTATTGCATAATGTGGGAGACCTTCCCTACCCCAGGAAAGCTGGAGAGTGAAGGCTTCCCAGCAAAGGGCAAACAGGTTCCTGATCGACATCCAACCTAATAAGGTTCAGCTCCTCAACTGTAGTGTACACTTTTGCCCATCTGGAAGGTACTATAGCTTCAGTGTGGTTTAGTAAACTTAGCCTAGGAGGCCAAGATGTCTCCCTAAAACTTAGTCTCTGTCCTATTTACTTTGTTTATAAGACTGTGACCTAACTTCCCATGGCCAATTCAATCGACTAGGTTATCTTTACTCCAATGGACCCAGGCCTTTTCCCAGTCAATCCATGTCCAACCCTTCATCTCCAGCGTGATCACTCAACTCTTCAACATGCCTGCTTGCTGCAGGTTTAAACCACACCACCATCCTGTGCTTCCCCCTAAATCGCCCATGATGCCCGCAGGTAAAAATAAAACTAAACCCCACTTGAGGTGCTATTTCAGCCAAACTTTAAACCCTCTCCGAACTCCAGAATCCACCTAACTGGAGCTGGACGAACTTCACTGGGATGCTGGCATGGGCCCTAATGTGGTTCCCTTCATTTAGTTTTTAAAACAGGATACAAGATACCACAAAGGAAAGAAGTTAATACAACAGAAGACACCACTAGTAGAAACCTGCTTGTTTCTCCCTCAAGATAGTCAGACATTTGGAGCCAGAGGGCTCCCAACAGCACTGAAGCCTTATCCCTTTGGATTTACCAGCCCACCAGCAGCATTTCATACCATCCCTATCGAACATGACTTCGCTATAAAATAACATGGCCTAACACAGGTAAGAATGAACCGGACGCCTACACTTAATCTACATGGCCAAAGACATGGAAGGATAGGGAGCTGTAGAGGACAGCAGGCAGGACAGTGAGCGGACAGCAGCAGTGGCAAAGCAGCGCAGGGCAAAGCCCTTGGTGTTATGACCAACTGGGACCAAGAATATAGAAGGACCAGCCCAGATTGGCTGGGGGCCCTCCCTCAGGTACAAGTACTCAGCTCTGAACTCCCAGAGCCCCTTCCCCCCATGCCACCTCTTCCTCATGTATACTAATCTTGATAGGAATGATTCAAGACTTGGCTTATTATCCATCCATGACTGGGTTCCCCTATTCCCAAATTGGTATACACATTTTTATACAGCGCCAGACAGTCAGCAGTCCTCCTTTCTATTCCTAAGAGCTGGAAATGTCCTACTGCTGACAAGGGACAGGCTCTGGCCCTTGTCAACTGCTCATTCTTAAAAAGTTGGCAACTTCCCACTAAAATACTCGCTAAAAACTGCTCTCATGTCTCCTGCAAACTCAGGAAATTCCTATAAGGAAGAATGGACACACCACAGGTTAGTCATATTTTTCATGCCTGGAGGAAAAGACTAAACTAGAGGTTAAAGGCAAGGGGGAGGCCACAGCTCTGACCGAGATTTAGAGCACAGAGATTCTTTTCCTGGGGACCATATTTTATGACAGATACCTTTGCAGCTCAGCAAAATCAAGTATTAATATGTTATATATGCATGGAACGATATTGTGGTATTACAGGAACTGCTGGTATTGCTTCACCAGCAAGAGACAGCAACAGAAAGGTCAGGGCCCAACTTGCCAGGGTCCTCAAGAATTTCTCTTTCCAGAATTCAGTGGAAGTTACCAGGTTGGAAAGTCACAAGTAGCCCAAGTGGAAGGTGATTTGATCTAAACTAATTGGTCTGTATCTGGTTAGACATAGGTTTGCCCCATAAGGAGAAAGCTCAGCTTGTGTCCTTGCAGACACTGCTTGAGCATCTACTGTGTACATGTCACTAAATTCAGTTGATGAGCCTTCCTATGAGGAAGGACGCTTGTGAGAAACCCATGCAAACAATGAACTCTAGGAATGAGTTGCTCATGAAACAGCCAGAGATGAGGCCTTCTCCCAAGGCCTTCTCATTTGAGGGGATTCCTCAAGACTCAACCCCACAGGCCCCCACTGTAGGAAACAAGCCAGAGAAAGCAGCATTCAGAGAATGGGGGACAGAGAAGGGGAAAGATATGATCCCAAATGCAGTACAAAGTTGGCGTCTGGTTCTGACACAAACCAGATACTGAAGCACTCACGGTCAGGTCAGCAACCTCCTTTGATGGACCCCCAAAAGCTGACTGACCAGGCAAACTGCTTTCAAGGAATGAAAGAGTGGAGGGTAGGGCTTGTAGCAAACAAGCCAGTTTCAGTCACTCTGTTCCCCCAGGAGAACAACCTTTAGCACCTGAACACTAAGAATGACTCCATTCTCAGAACTTCCCCTCCCCCCAGGAGGTAGGTAAGATTATTTATCCCCATTTGGCAGGTGGGGAGGAAGTGAAAGAGCCAGAGGTCACGAGACTTGCCGAAAGTCCTTGACAGAGCAGAGATCAGACCTCAGAGGTTTGGACTCCTGATGCCAGGCCAGGTCTCGGCCAATCCAAGTATACCTTATAAAGGACATGCCAGGATCATAGCCTGGGAGAAGTCTAACCAGAGAGCTGCGTGGACAATACCCTGAGTTGCCTTCAAGAGTCTAAAGACCCCCAAAAAACAAACAAAAAAACTTACCCACCTGAAAGCTAGTGGGGGAGCCTAATTCCCAATACCCAGTGGAACCCCACGGTCTGAGCTGATGCTAAAAGTTGTGAAGAAAATGTGGGATTAAGACATTGGTGGGGGGTAGGGGGGGTGCCAATGCAACCAAGATTGAAAATACTTTTTGCAGAGGAATATACCAACACAAAATGACATCTATTCAGGTACTGAAATGTTATCAAGACTATCCTAGAATCTTAGAGCTGGTGGTGGGAGGGGATGGCTTGGAGGCACCAGAATGCTGGGAGAAGCAGTGGAATAAGACAGGAGGGGCATATGGGACATGTGAAAATGCCATGATGGGCACTGCCCAGCCACGCATTCGCCCTGGCCCAGGGCATAGTTCCCTTCTTGTTTCTTCACCAAGCTGTTTGGCAGTGGAAGTGGAGGGGACATGATTTTGAGATTTTAAAAATAGAGATTATAGCTGAAGGGGAAACCAGAGAGACCCCCTACCCACCAAAAACTAGAGGTCTTGGTCAGAGTGGACAAAACCAACTTTGCAGACAAGGAAAGGCAGTGCAGCTACAAATGAGGCCCAGGTCACGACACCATGCAGCGGTCAGCGCAGCAGGAGGGTGGGGGTGGCGCAGGCACTTGGGCACAACACAGACAAAGGTGGGGGGTCAGTGCCTGGGAAAAAGGGTCTACTAGTTCTAAAGTCACCATTACCAGCAAGATTCTGTGAGATTTCAAAGTGGGTCTGGCATGCTGAGATGGAGGAGCTTTGTTAGGTGAGCTACCTTTCCAGAGGGCCTGCCTAGAACCCAGTCAGCCTGGCTATCAAGTCTTTCTCCCAAAGTCCCCTGACTGAGTCCCTGGCAAGGTAGTACTTCACTCTGAACCCTGAAGGGGCTCTCCCTCCGGGCCCCCGTGCTGCTAGAAGCCTTGTAGGCAGAATGGTGAGGAGAGATGGGGAAGGGCTATGAAGCAGAGGATCAAGCAGAGTCCTGCAGATGAGAGTGCTCCTCCCCCACACACCCAGCCATAGACATCTGGAACAAAATCACCCTTTAAAGTGCGCATCTCTCACAAGAAGGGTTCTGGGTGGGAACCCTCTTATTTCCAACCTTGGGGCCTCCTGCCCTTCTACCACAAAAAAGAAAAAAAACTTCTGACAGTTTAACTGCTACTATAAGCTGTGGATCATCATTTTTGGCTCTTTCTTTACTCCCTCCCTCTGCCATCTGCTCCCAAAGCCTGGACTTTCTCTTGCAGGAGCTAGGGATGGGGAGGAAAGAACAGGGAGGCCCTGATTTTGGAATGTTTCTTCTCCTGTGTGCACCCCCTTCCTTCCTTGCCCCAGGCCTGCTGCTCCCCATCACAACACCCTCTGGGGTTGTCCTGAAAGGATGCCATGGGGTAATGAACAACAGATCCTGCCTTGGGAGGCTGACTTCATGCCTCCCCTTTCCCCCAAATCTCACTGCCAAGAAAGCCATTCCCTGCTCGGCGTGTGCAAATCCTCTGCCTGCTCACGGCGGCGAGGCGAGGCTCTGGGGTAAAGCCCCAGTCCTGGTCTGGGGAAGAGGTTCATTTTCCCGCATTGGAACGCCCTTCAATGGACAGCTTTACCTCCTGTGGAATGAAAGAGGGACGGAGCAGCGCAGCCCGTGCCTCCTCCCCTTGCATGCTGTATCTTTGGAAGCTCGGGGCTGGCCAGCAGGCCTGAGCACCGGACTCAGGCTGGGAAGGCTCTACCACACGGGAGCCCTCTCCTGCCGGCTGGCTCTTCCCCTCACTGTCACATAGCTCTCTGGATCCCAAGACCGTCCTCTCAGGCCTTTCTCGGGGGGGACCCAGCTGGCTTGGGGGAGCACAGCTGGCCTGAGAAACTGAGTTACTGTTCAAGCTCTGTAAACTGATAGAGATGCAGACATCTCCCACCTGTAGCCGATGGCAGGGCAGAGAGAAGAGTTGTGTCGTCCGCCCAGGGCTGCAAGAGGACCAACCCTGGCCATATACAAAGAAGGGGTGCTCGGGGGGCACTTCGATGCTCACTTTGCTCTGCTGCTCACCAACCACAAAATGCAGCATGACAAATCCAGGCCATTGGCTCTCCTGAATGTCCACGACCGTGCTAGAGTCAATCTTCAGCCCCCCGCTCACTTCGGCACTGCGCACAAAATCCTGGGTCTGGAGGTCCTCCACCCGCTTCAGCTCTCCCGTAGCCAGCTGGATGATGGCGCCTTTCATGAAATGGGAAGGCAAGTGAGAGGAGGTAATGGGGGGCGGCGTTGGCTCCTTGTCTGGGAAGGTGGCTCTGGCCTGCACGTCCAGACTTGATGCTACCAGGATCTCCGAGCCCACAGGCAGCAGGCCTGAGTCAGTTCCAGTGGGCACCAGGTTGCCATTGGCTACAACCATTGCTTTGGGTAAAGGTCTATGTTTTACTGGTTCCTGATGGGACTGAGGGTAGAACCCACGGGCCTGACTTTTCTCTGCCAGCTCTGCAGGGTTCCTGGCTGACCCTCGCCCCTCACCCTGATGGTCGGGGGTATGATGGGATAGGTTGAGGGGGCTGGGTTCCTCCTTCCTCTGAGCTGCCACCACACGATAGTCCTGAGAAGCTAAAGCGCCAACCACCCGCTGGACCTCAAGGTCAGTGTCCGGGGTCCCCCGGTGTGCTGGTGCTGCTACCTCTACCCGTGGAGTCTGAGAACCTGAAAACAACTGTCCATCCACCACACATTCTACCACTGGCACCAGTCCCTGGCCTTCACCCTTGCTGTTGGGGGAGTCAAGGGCTTCACTTTCCCGTCTTACTAAATTTCGCTCTCGTGGTCTCTGTCCTCCATTTGCAGCAGCTGCTTCCAGAGCAGACTGGCTCTCCTGAGGGGTAAGAACTGGGCTGGCACCTGCTGGAGGGGTTTCATGCAAAGTATACCCAGCAGGTAGCCTGGACATCTGATAATAAATGGGCATCCGACCTGGAGCAAGGTCCAGCGGCTGAGTACTTGAATGATGTGGCAATTGCCCAGATGGGGAGGTGGCAGAGGGAGCTTTGTTAAATGAGTGGGCCGGGGAGGGAGCCTGTGGGGGAGGAGTGGCTCCTTCAGCCAGAAGTGAGGCATATGGCACAAAGTGTGGAAGGTGAGAGGTGGCAAGGTTGGCAGAAGGAGATAGGAGGGGACTCGGTAGGAAATTAGGTGGCACAGCATAGGGAAGGCTATAAGGAGACCCAATGAACTGCAGCGAGGTGGATGGGAGCTGAGCATAGTGGAGTGGAGGATAGTGGATGCCTGGATGTTGAATTAGTGAAGACGCTACATTAAACGTTGGGGGCAAGGGACTCATATTCACCACAGATGGGAGTCCAGTTGGTGAAAAGGTGGCAGGCGGCACAGCCACCTTATACAGCATGCCATACTGGTCCACTGTCAGACCGGTGATGGCCTCAGCTCCATCACCCCCCAGGCTGACTCTGGCTCCTGCCTGGCTCTGCCCAGCCACCACAACCCCTCGGGACCATTCAGAAGCATCACTGGAGGGTGTGTGGTTAGTGGAGCAGCTGGTAGTTCTCCCCATATCCTCGCTGGTCACGGGGAGGTCTCGTTTCTTTGGTGGAAGGCATTCCTGACTCCTTTCATGAACAGGTTTCATATTGCTTTGTGGTGTTCCTGGAGCCTGGAAGGAGTCGACTTGCTCCCTGGGGCATCAGAAGGGGCTTCTCTGTAGCTTCCCTGTACCCCTCTCTGCTTCTGGCTGGGGCGCCCACATCTATTAGGGAACAAATCAGAGGCAAAGAAAAGTAACCTAGGGATGAGCCAAGACAAAGGAAATAGAAAGAACTGTGCCATGGAGGAAGATGTAACAAAGGGGACTGTTAGAAAATAAGGAGGAAAGAGAAAGGGGCAGACAAGGAGGCTACCCCCAACTCATCCAGCCTGGGACATGAGAGAAACAGTCGGGGAAATCACAAGGCACAAAGAGCTACAGGGACACGCATTCACCAATGCACAAATAACCTGTGGGCTCCACAAGCCCAGGGAGACCAACAGCTTCACGGTTAGTCATGTGTCTCATAAGCACCTTGTCTCTTTTCTGCCTTCTTCCCAAAGGGGGCTTTGAACACATGGTCTTTCCTGCTGGCTCTTTTGCTTTTTTTTTTTTTTTTTTTTTTTTTTAAAACACATGGAGTTTTGCTCTTGTTGCCCTGGCCACAGTACATGGTGCAATCTCAGCTCACCGCAACCTCGCCTCCCGGGTTCAAGCAATTCTCCTGCCTCAGCCTCCCAAGCAGCTGGGACTACAGGCATGCACCACCACGCCTGGCTAACTTTGTATTTTTAGTAGAGATGGGGTTTCACCATGTTGGCCAGGCTAGTCTCGAACGCCTGCCCTTGGGTGATCCGCCCACCTCAGCCTCCCAAAGTGCTGGGATTACGGGTGTGAGCCACAGCGCCCAGCCTCCTGCTGGCTCTTTTTCTTAAGTTTCTCCTTTTGCTACCAAACATGAATGTGCCACCTTCTTTCCTGAACATATGACCTCATCCTTGCTTCCTTTCTGTAGCCTAATTTGGGTTATGATCTCACCTACTGCTATCCCAAGCCTGGCTAAAAACTCTCTTCCTCCTTTGCCTCATCTCATCAGTACCTCAAGGACCTAGGTGCCAAAACCCTCAGGTCTGCTCGTGTTTTGTTTTTTTTTTTAAGACTTTGCTCCCTAACCAGGTTATGAAAATTAACATCTTTGACCCATGAAATAATACATTTTAACTCAGCCTCTATATAGTGAAAGTGATTAAACTAGTTTGCTGTCAACTTGTTTCTCCTCTTCACCAAAGAACAACAAAATTCTAAATTCTTCTGACCTTACGTACACTTCCGGTTCCCTAGTCTCAAAAGGCTTCTTCTCAATGATCACCTTCAATTTGCCTTCTCTATTCATTCCCTTTCTTTTTTCTTTGTGCTTTCTTTTACCAATAGCTCCTTCTCCACTGTAGGTCTGCTCCAGGCACCACTCCATGAAATTCTGGTTCCATTCCTCTAAACATGCCTGTTTTTTTCCCCGTATCTGTATGATTCATAAGAAAGTTCTCTTTCCCTTTTCTCTTATTGTCACCTTTCACAAATGCTTTTGTCCATTGTTATAAAGCAACTTTTTGGTCTGAACACTTCAGTGCACATGAACTTTGCTGCCTATTTCTTCCAACCAGGTTCCAGTTCTTTGGATCTGAAAAGAGCTTTCTATATTACATTCTGTTCTGTTTTTCCACTGTGACATCCCAGATATTTTCCTGAAACAAGGAATTCAAAGTGCCGGTATTACCTGAGTTTCCAGTGGTGCTTCTGAGCAGCTGTAGTAAGTGTCCTCCCGGCTGGCTCGGGAGCCTAGAAGATAGAAACAGGAATGGAGTAAGCGGCTGCCTGACCTCTAATTCTCCCCAGGGTCACCATGAAAGGTAATTCCAAAGCATTAGAGTATACACGTCCTTGCCTCATCTTCTTCTCCACAGGTAAACAGTACATTTACCCAGAGTGCCCAGGCAGTTGAACAGAGAGAAAAACACCTCTAATGCTCCAACTTGTAAGAAGACATCCCTGAAAAAAAATTTCCATGTATCAAATTTCATTGGTTTTCCGTAACATCATTTCCCTAACATCTACCTGTGCCTGTTCCCCAAAGGTTAAATTTGCTCCAATCCAAATTTCAGATAAACGCACAAATAAAAATGGAAGCTTTAACACTGTTCCCATATGAACAATGGGAAGCAGGAAAAATCAACTCTATGGATTTCCCCTTTATTCTGGGCCTATGAAAACATAAATGTGGAGTTATTTAAATGAAAAAAAGCAGCAGTAGATGAAAAAGAACAATTATTTATGTTTCTGGGGCAGAAAAAGAGGTCAGGGGGGAGTCACTCAAGGAGAAGACTTATTAAGAGATTTTCAGGGTTAAAAAAAAATGAGCATATGTGTGTGTGTATGTAAAATTTTCTGAGTGACAGTATACCAAGTGCTGAATCAGGTATGAAAGAAACTGAAAATATTGCCTTGGTCCTCAGCTGGCTAACACTGGTGAAACAAAACTACCACTAAACCATCACTATGTGAATCTACACTTGCCAGAAACGCAAAGCGAGAAAGAATGGAGCCTTAACCTCTGAAAACAGAGAAGGCAGTACAGATGAGTGAGTGCTCTGAGAAACTGACTATCCTGTCCAAGTCCTATAGAACACTCTAAGCCTCAACCCAAACCGAATGCAACATTTCTCTCTTAAGATTGGCAAGGTGCAGGTGTACACAAAAGGTGGAAGGATAGGAAAACACAGTGGGAAAACAAATTCCTAATTCCACAAACACATATTATTACACAGTGGCATAAATAATGACTCTTTTCTCCACCAGCAGCTTTAATAACTGAAAAGCAGCTTGCTTTCTTCTTCATTCCCAACAGAAACTGGGGTCACACTTCAATCCCAAAATGATCCTTGCTTTCTGTAACGAAAACTTTAAAGAAAACCTGCCTCCAGGTCACCGAGAAGTTAGCAAACACAGGCTAGTAAAGGGACCGAAAGAGGCAAAAGGTCTGCAGAAAGGAAAACAAAGAGCCAAGCCTGTGCGCCAGGTTCCCACAACGCAAAACACACTTAAGAATCCGAAACCTCCGCCTCTCGAGAACCTCACTGAGCATCTCAAAGGGAAAACGCAGCTTGTGACCCCAACCGAGCTAACAGGCTGTTCAGGAGAGTTGCCAACGCTGCTAGCAGAGCCCGGAACCAAGCTCCTCATCACGCTTGGGTCGGAATCAAGGGGCTGAACCCAGCTGGAGACCCAAATTCTCTGCGGGCGAGAGGTGCGCCCGACAGAAAGGGAGAAGCTTGTCAGAGACTACGGTTATGGCTCCCAGTGGTCCCGCAATCCTTGATCCAACAAGGGTAGGGCTCGAAATTGGGAATTCTGCGTTTAGAGAGTAGGGGGTCCACCCTTCACCAAGGGGGCAGGGGCGAGGCCCTGCAGGCGACGCTTCCTTGTTTGGGGGCCCTTCCCGCCCCACAGACTCGGACACCTTGGCTCGCAGGCACACAGCCTCCGGGGCGCCGGGGCCTGAGGCCACCTTCCAGGACAGGCCAGAGAGAAGCGCGAGGGGGTCTAGGTGCGGCCTCTCCCCTCCGTCTGTCCACGGTTCATGGGCCCCGGCCCGCCGGAGCAACGGGCTCCTGAGGGCCACTTCCTCCGGAGCACCGACCCCAGGCCTGCCTGGCCCCGGCGGCCACCACTTCCAGGGACACTCACCAGCCCATTTCACAGCGCTTCCCAGGATCCACTCACTCGTCCCGGAGCCGCCGCAACCGCGGCCGCCGCCATCCCCGGCCCCGGAGCCGCCCCACACCCAGCGCCCCCCACAGCCGGGCGCCCGGAGATGGCGTCAAGCTCGTCCCGCCCCCGGCGCGGAGAGATTGCGTCACGGCCGGGGTGGGAGAGCAACGCCCAGGACTCCCCGGGAAGGGAGGGTGCCACACTGCCTTCGCGTCGGGCGTTCCCTCTGGTGGGTGAACAAACTCCTCTCCCTGGGACCGGGTCACGTGAATAGGGCTGGGCCCGGCCCCCTCAGCCTGACCCCACAATGACCCCGCAATCTTTCCACCTCAGTAAATTTTGGGGGTTCCCAAACAGAGCCCCGGGGCGTGGTCATCGGCGACCCCCCATTTCCTGGACTTCTTGTCCTGACTTGTGCAGCCCCTTCTGGGGAACTTCGGGGGACCCCGAGGTGACCTAGGCTCAGGAGAAAAGGAGATACCTCTTACCTCTTGGGGACCCAGGTGGAGATAGGAAGTCTTCTTTTTTTCTTTTCTTTCTTTTTTTTGGAGACAGTTTCGCTCTTGTTGCCCAGGCTAGAGTGCAATGGCACGATCTCGGCTCACCCAACCTCCGCCTGCCAGGTTCAAGCAATTCTCCTATCTCAGCCTCCCGAGTAGCTGGGATTACAGGCATGCGCCACCACACCTGGCTAATTTTTTGTATTTTTAGTAGAGACAGGGTTTCTCCTTGCTGGTCAGGCTGGTCTCGAACTCCCGACCTCAGGTGATCCCCACACCTCGGCCTGCCAAAGTGCTGGGATTACAGGCGTGAGCCACCGTGCCAGGTCAATAGGAGCTCTGTAAGTGTTGAGAAGTGGCCCCCGAGGGAGCTAAGAGTGAACCCCACTCAGGATCTAGGGGAAGGTGACAAGGAGTGGAACACCTGAAAGTTTAGAGAGAGCCCGGGGTTTAGTACAGTGAGAAGCAGCTTGGTTTAGTGGAAAGAGGGCTTGACTACTCAGTGAAATATTATTCATTACAAATTAACTAATTATTCATTACAAATTAACTGGTCAACTTCATAGTAACATGAACATCTGATTAACTTAAGTGAAGACAAAAGTGAGCGCCAGTTGAATTTATGTTTGAATAACAACTGTGTTTTTGTTGTTGTTTGTTTTAAAGTATTAGGTTGGTGCAAAAGTAATTGCGGTTTTGGCCACCGAAATGGAGACTTTCAGTTTCTTCAAACTCTGTTCAATAAATAACAATTGGGCCAGGCGCGGTGGCTCACGCCTGCAATCCCAGCACTTTGGGAGGCCAAGGCCGGCGGATCACGAGGTCAGGAGATCGCAGACCATCCTGGCTAACACGGCGAAACCCCGTCTCTACTAAAAATACAGAAAATTAGCCGGGCATGGTGGCGGGCACCTGTACTCCCAGCTACTCGGGAGGCTGAAGCAGGAGAATGGCATGAACCCGGGAGGCAGAGCTTGCAGTGAGCCGAGATCGTGCCACTGCACTCCAGCCTGGGCAATAGAGTGAGACTCCGTCTTAAAAAAAAAAAAAGAAAAAAAAAGATATGTCATTGCAGTTGCGTGTATGTGTGTGTGTGTGTGTACATATAATTTTTTTTTTTTTTTAGCCCTGTCGCCCAGGTTAGAGTGCAGTGGTGCCATCTTAGCTCACTGCAGCCTCAAATTCCTGTGCTCAAGCAGTCCTCCCACCTCAGCCTCTGGGGTAGGTGCGATGATAGGCATGCACTACCATGCCCAGCTAATTTTTTAAAATTTCTTGCAGAGACAAGGTCTTGCTATGTTGCCCAGGCTGGTCTTAGACTCCTGTGCTCAAGTGATCTTCCCTCCTCGGCCTCCCAAAGTGCTGACATTTCAGTCATGAGCCAACCACACCCAGCGTCGGTTGTATGTATTTCTGTGTATCTGTACAGAAAAGGAGTAGAACACATAACTAATTAACATTGGTTATTTTTGGGAAGGAAAGTGGAATTGGGTGGTGGTCAAAAGGCAAAGAAACAACTTATATTATTGTTTGAATATTTAGGAGAATATTATCTTAGAAATAAAAAAAGTAAGTTGAGATCCAGATACAATGCATGATCTCTAAGATTCTTTCTAGGGAAGCCTTAGATCTCAATTATATTTTCTCACCTGGATGGACACATAGGGCCATAAAAAATTATCAAGTACCACACAGACACACACACAGACACACACACACACGCACACATACACACAGCACAAATGGGAAAAAACATAGTGAAGTTACTGCTGTCATCTAAATCATCTGAGTGTTTTGCTTCATTAATATTAATATTGTTCATGACAGTCTCCTTCTCTCTCAGTTTGGCCAAGAAGGAAGTCCTGTGGTCACTCAGTGTGTCCGTTTTAGCACTAACTAGCATTCTGGTTTCTAGTTCATTTCTTAGCTCACTAAACTGGCATTAAAATAGTCAAGATAGGAACCCTTGGACTATCCAAGCATATTCAAGGATAGCTAGTTTCTCCCAGATCAAGATATACACTCAGAGCTGGGTTTTCTGTACAAATTTGAAAGAGTAGACACAGGTAGATGTAAGCAAAAAAAAAGTTTTATGGCTACCAACCATTAACATAATGATGTACATGATACAAAAGCATGTCCATTAAAAAGTAAAAACAGGATGTTCTGATTGGTGAAACACAGGTGATTTCCGGGTTTGGCACTGCAGTCCCAAAAGGGTGGGTCATATGTCCGCTGTATCCCATTCCCAAACTCTTTACTACTCTGAGTAATCTTTTTTTCTTTGGTTGTATATCCTGATGGTAGAAAGCTCCATAGCAACAGTTTGACAGGTATATTAGTGATAAGTAAACTAATAAAGTTTTTAGATTTATGGCACAAAAATAACCAAAAGTTACCTAATTTATCCAAATATCTGTATTATTTTTCTGGAATCTGGGTAACACCCCTATTTAAGCTATTTATATTCAGTAAACCAGGCCGGGTGTGGTGGCTCACGCCTGTAATCCCAGCACTTTGGGAGGCCAAAGCAGGTGAATCACCTGAGGTCAGGAGTTCAAGACTAGCCTGGCCAGCTTGGTGAAACCCCATCTGTACTAAAAATACAAAAATTAGTTGGGCATGGTGGCCTGTGCCTATAATTCCAGCTACATGAGAGGCTGAGGCAGGATAATCACTTGAACCCAGGCGGCAAAGGTTGCAGTGAGCCGAGATCGTGCCACTGCACTCCAGCCTGGGCAACAAAGTGAGACTCTGTCTCAAAAACACAAACAAACAAAAACTGATAAAGTAAATGTTTTTTTGTTTTTGATGTGTTTTAGGTATTTGGGGTATTTGGAAAATGATAAGTTAAACTTCAATCTGTTTTGTCCACTTCTTCCCTTTCCCTGGATTCCTACTGAATTCCATTGTTGTGTATAGATTGAATTTTTGTGATGGAAGAGCTTGAGCTGCTCTGTTGGAAGGAAAACAAAAATAAAACCCTGTTAATGCTGGTTATTTTTCTCCCTGAGCAGTCAGGAGTTGCAAACTAGCTCTCTGTGTTACCTAGTTCTCACTGGTGACATTTCTTGTCCTGTAATACAGGGAGAGGAAACTCAGGAAACTACCCCAACTCTTTTTTGACAATGCAGATCAAACCAGAGAGAAGCACTGGTAACTTGGGAAACCATGCGTGTCATAACAAGAGGAGTAGGTGGCGTCTTTCATACTGTCATGTCTTCCTGTTTGTATACTTGAGCATGTCAAGGTGTCATTTTAGGAAAGGAACTTTATCTTTGGATGCCAATGGCAGAAACAACAACAAACCAGCCAGGCGCGGTGGCTCATGCCTGTAATCCCAGCACTTCATGAGGCCAAGGCAGGCAGATCACTCGAGGTCAGGAGTTCGAGACCAGCCTGGGCAACAGGGTGAAACCCTCTCTCTACTGAAAATACAAAAATGAGCCAGGCATTGTGGCAGGTGCCTGAATCCCGGCTACTCGGGAGGCTGAGGCAGGAGAATGGCTTGAACCCAGGAGGCACAGGTTACAGTGAGCTGAGATTGCACCACTGCACTCCAGCCCCAGTGACAGAGTGAGACTCTGTTTAAAAAAAAAGAACAGCAAATCCCAAGAATACACTGAAATTGTACTAGGCCAGGTGCAGTGGCTCACACCTGTAATCCCAGCACTTTGGGAGGCCGAGGCGGGTGGATCACGAGGTCAGGAGATCGAGACCATCCTGACTAACACAGTGAAACCCCATCTCTACTAAAAATACAAAAAATTAGCCGGACGTGGTGGTACGTGCCTGTAGTCCCAGCTACTCGGGAGGCTGAGGCAGGAGAATTGCTTGAACTCAGGAGGTGGAGGTTGCAGTGAGCCGAGACCGCGCCACTGCACTCCAGCCTGGGCAACAGAGCGAGACGCTGTCTCAAAAAAAAAAAAAAAAAAGAAGGAAATTATACTGATACTCTAGAAATGTATCGGTGCCTAGTACTAGATTACATTTTTTTTCTTTTTTATTTGAGATGGAGTCTTAATCTGTCTCCCAGGCTAGAGTGCAGTGACCCAATCTTGGCTCACTGCAGCCTCTACCTCCCAGGTTCAATTGACTCTCCTGCCTCAGCCTCCCGAGTAGCTGGGATTACATGTGCCTGATACCATGCCCAGCTAAATTTTTTTTTTTTTTTTTTTTTTTTGAGACGGAGTCTCGCTCTGTCGCCCAGGCTGGAGTGCAGTGGCACGATCTCGGCTCACTGCGAGCTCCGCCTCCCGGGTTCACTCCATTCTCCTGCCTCAGCCTCCCGAGTAGCTGGGACTACAGGCACCCGACACCATGCCCGCCTAATTTTTTGTATTTTTAGTAGAGACGGGGTTTCACCGTGTTAGCCAGGATGGTCTCGATCTCCTGACCTCGTGATCCACCGGCCTCAGCCTCCCAAAGTGCTGGGATTACAGGCGTGAGCCACCGCGCCCGGCTAAATTTTGTATTTTTAATAGAGGAAGGGTTTCGCCACGTTAGTCAGGCTGGTCTAGAACTCCTGACCTCAGGTGATCCCCGCCTCAGCCTCCAAAAGAGCTGGGATTACAGGGGTGAGCCACTGTGCCTGGCCTTATGTTACTTTTCAAAAGCTTTTCTGGATATCCAAATGTAGAGATAGGCAATTCTCAAGCTTCTGTTTTAGCTACTTCTCTGAACAATTCTGTGTCCTCATTTCCACCTGCTTTTAATGTTATGTGACCTTGCCAGATTCCAAAAGGGATTTCCCTTGAAAATTCATTAATATTTTATTTAAAAGGAGGTCTTACAATTTCTCTGTAAGTGACTACTATTTCCTCTGGGGAGGGGGATCTCCATCTCTTGTATATTTCCTCAGACCCTTGCCAGTTTTTGTCAAAAACTTCCTGCAGAACTCTTACAGGTTACAGTAGAAAGAATGACCATTGGAATAAATTGAAGGAAAGCTAACCCTTATTTGCACTGTAAGAGTCATATCTGGGGAACTGGCCCACAGAGAAGCAAGTGCATTCAGGCCATTGCTGAGTGGCCAGAAGTTCCTTACAGGAGGCTTGTTGAATGAATAAATTGAGTGTGGAAAAACTGGAGCCATTCGTAATACTAATAACTTTCTCTGGGAAGCTTGCTCAGCAAGGTAACTTGTGAGCTCTTGTGTCCTGTGATGAAATGTTCAGCTCTACCTGCAAAGTTAACTTTGTAGTTAATTGGCAACTAGTTATAAATCGCCTGTAACTCCTGGGAAAAACGTGAGTAAATATTCTAGGCAGCATGGCAAGCTGCCTCTCAGATCACTGCACAGTCCTCAAGGCAATACATCGCCTAAGACCTCACTTAGCAATTTTGGAATTTAAAGGAATGTTTCTGACTTGTGAGAATGTGGTAATAATTATGATAGTGATCAACTCATTTTAAATGTTTCCAAAGACTGGAAGGGCACCGTGACTCATGCCTGTAATCCCAGCACTTTGGAAGGCTGAGGCGGGCGGATCACTCGAGGCCAGGAGTTCAAGACCAGCCTGGCCAACATGGTGAAACCCTGTCTCAACTAAAAATACAAAAATTGGCCAGGCGCGGGGGCTCATGCCTGAAATCCCAGCGCTTTGGGAGGCTGAGGTGGGTGGGATCGCCTGAGGTTAGGAGTTTGACACCAGCCTGGCCAACATGGTGAAACTCCATCTCTACTAAAAATACAAAAATTAGCTGGGTGCGGTGGTGGGAGCCTGTAATCTCAGCTACTTGGGTGGCTGAGGCAGGAGAATTGCTTGAACCCAGGAGGCGGAGGTTGCAGTGTGCTGACATCGTGCCATTGCACTCCAGCCTGGGCGACGAGCGAAACTCCATCTCAAAAAAATAAAAAATAAAAAAAATTAGACAGGCGTGGTGGCGAGAGCCTGTAATCCCAGCTACTCTGGAGGCTGAGGCAGGAGAATTGCTTGAACCTGGGAGGCGGAGGTTGCAGTGAGCCGAGATTGCACCAGTGCACTCCAGCCTGGGTGACAACGTGGGACTCCATCTCAAAAAAAAAAAAGTTTGCAAAATCTGTTCTGTATCTTGACTATCAATATCGAGATCCTGGTTGTGATATTCAACTACACCTTTGGGGAAAGCTAGAGGATATGGTACTCCAGATTTCTCTGTATTGTTTCTTACAACGTGTGAATTACATGTGAATCTACCATTGTCTCAAAATAAAAAGTTTAAATTTAAAAAAGTTTCTGAAGTTTTAAATGTAAAACAATGCCCAGGATGGGCACGGTGGCTCACGCCTGTAATCTCAGCACTTTCGGAGGCCAAGGCCGGCAGATCACAAGGTCAGGAATTCAATACCAGCCTGACCAATATGGCAAATTCCCGTGCCTACTAAAAATACAAAAATTGGCCGGGTGTGGTGGTGTGCACTGGTAATCCCAGCTACTCAGGAGGCTGAGGCAGGAGACTCTCTTGAACCCAGGAGGTGGAGGTTGCAGTGAGCCAAGATCTTGCCGCTGCACTCCAGCCTGGTCGACAGAGCGAGACTCCATCTCAAAAAAAAAACCAATGTCCAGATGTCCAGATTACTGGACTTCTCTCCACAAAGGCAGAGAACTTTTATCTGGTCAGTCTTTTAAATTATATAGCTATTAAGTTTGAGCCCTCTGGGCAAATTTCTCTGGAAGGGCTCCTTTATTTTTTTCTTTTTTCTTCTTTTTTTTTTTGAGATGGAGTCTCACTCTGTCACCCAAGTTGGAGTGCAGTGGTGCCATCTTGGCTCACTGCAAGCTCTACCTCCCGGGTTCACGCTATTCTCCTGCCTCAGCCTCCTGAGTAGCTGGGACTACAGGCGCCCGCCACCACGCCCGGCTAATTTTTTGTATTTTTAGTAGAGACGGGGTTTCACTGTGTTAGCCACGATGGTCTTGATCTCCTGACCTCTTGATCCGCCAGCCTCGGCCTCCCAAAGTGCTGGGATTACAGGCGTGAGCCACCGCGCCTGGCTCCTTTACCTTTTTTCAAACACGCACACACAATGCTATTCCTTCCATCAGGTGACAGCTCAAGTCAGAGTACACCCATGAGCAGGGGTAGTGCTGAGTGTTGTTTTTCTTAAGTTCAACTTGTTTTCTGTTGCCTTTTGCTCTTTCCTCATTCCTATGGGTCACATGAGTCATTAACCCCTCAATAAACTAAAAAACTGATGATCTCTGATTCTGAGAAAGGTTCAGGTGAAATAAATATTGCATATGTTAATTAACTGCAGTTCCCTGAGTCTACAGTTAACAGCCCTGTTGATTTATCATCATCTATTAGTAGGAAGGTAGCCGTTGCTTAGACTTTCAAATTGATTTTTGGGCTTCTTTAGCCAGGTCTTGAAGATGTTTGTGCATTATTTAGACAACAAAGACCTAAGGAAAGTATCCAAAAAACACATGAGATTTATGCAAACCCATTGGTATCCATTATTATGACCATGAACAATGAGGATGACATTGATGGTATAAACAGCCCTTGTAAATTTTAAACTGTAGGCCGGGCACGGTGGCTCAAACCTGTAATCCCAGCACTTTGGGAGGCTGAGGCAGGCAGATCATTTGAGGTCAGGAGTTCAAGACCAGCCAGGCCAACATGTTAAAATCCTGTCTCTACTAAAAATAGGAAAAAAAAAATTAGTCAGGCGTTGTAGCGCATGCCCGTAATCCCAGCTACTCTGGAGGCTGAGGCAGGAGAATCACTCGAACCCGGGAGGCAAGATCGCACCACTGCAGCCTGGACGACAGAGTGAGACTTTCTCAAAAAAACTATACATATATATTTTAAACTGCATGTCCACATGTTCTTTTATTTTATCCTGACAATCTGGGGACACATATTATCCAGATAAATATTACCCTCTTTTTACAAATGAAAAAATTTAAACGAAGCACCCAAGTGATTTGATATAAAACAAATTAGCCCTGTCTTACTGAAGTTTACTGTTTTTTTGAAAGGAGATAATAATCTTGACCTTCTATTTCTCCAGAGTTCTATTTGTAACACAGATCTATTACCTGGGCACACAATAAATGTGTGCTGATATTGGTATTGGTGTAACGGTGGCTCAGCATTTATCTGAAACAAGTCTGGTATTACCATGATTTCTTTTCCTTGAGCTGTCTAGTGCAAAGAACATTTTCCTACTTTGGATTTAGTCATGCCCCCTTTCAAGCACTGGGCCTTGTGCTTATCTCAGATCCAAATGTAATCTCATGTCAGCATGTTTTGCAGTAACAGAGTAACTCTGTCTATTCATGATTAGATGGTAAACATCACTTGTTAGGGTATGGCGGACAGACAGCATATGTAATTTGGAGGCTCACAGGTTTTCCCGGCTTGTGAAAAGACCATTTCCTCAGGACTCAGTCATCAATTGATAACACAAAGTTGTTGTTGTTGTTGTTGTTTTTTGAGATGGAGTCTTGGTCTGTCGCCCAGGCTGGAGTGCAGTGGTGCAATCTCGGCTCACTGCAAGCTCCACCTCCCGGGTTCACGCCATTCTCCTGCCTCAGCCTCCCAAGTAACTGGGACTACAGGCGCCCATCACCACACCCGACTAATTTTTTGTATTTTTAGTGGAGATGGGGTTTCGCCGTGTTAGCCAGGATGGTCTCGATCTCCTGACCTCGTGATCCACCCGCCTCGGCCTCCCAAAGTGCTGGGATTACAGGCGTGAGACACCGCACCCGGCCTACAAAGTAGAACGACTTTTTTTGTCTCAGTGGATTGGCCTGGGAGAGGTTACATTTGTTACCTTTCCAACATGACTCCACTTGTTCATTCTGTGGCATAATGTGGTTAAAAAAAAAAAAATCATAGGAATTTGCAGCCGGAAAGTTTGGCCTCAAGTTCCAATTCAACAAATTACTCCTAATCATGTGACCATGGGCAAGCCATTTAATCCACCAGAGCCTCAATTCTCTCAGCTATAAAATGCAAATAATACAAACACACAGGTGTTGCTGGGATCAAATGGAACTGTATACATACACAAACACGTTTTTCTTTTTTATTTTCTTCTTAATATAATTTTTTTCTTTTCTTTTTTTTTAAGACAGAGTTTTGGTTTGTTGTGCAGGCTGGAGTGCAGTGGCATGATCACAGCAGCCTCGATCTCCTGGGCTTAGACGATCCTCCTGCCTCAGTCTGATGAGTAGCTGGGATCACAGGTATGTATCACCATGCCAGGCTAATTTTAAAATTATTTGTAGACAGCTGGACATGGTGGTTCACGCCTGTAATCCCAGCACTTTCTTGGAAGCCGAGACAGGCAGATTGCTTGAGGCCAGGAGTTCAAGACCAGCCTGGCCAACATGGCAAAACCCTATCTCTACTAAAAATACAAAAACTAGCTGGGCGTGGTGGCAGACACCTGTAGCTGCAGCTACTCGGGACCCTAAGGCAGGAGAAATGCTTGAACCCAGGAGGCAGAGTCTCAAAATTTTGAGAATGAGGCTCAAAAAATAAATAAACAGGCCAGGCACAGTGGCACACGCCTGTAATCTCAGCTACTCGGGAGGGTGAGGCAGGAGAATCGCTTGAACCTGGGAGGCGGAGGTTGCACTGCAGCCGAGATTGCACCACTGCACTCCAGCCTGGGCGACAGAGTGAGACTCCATCTCAAAAAAGAAAAAAAAAAAAGCTCCAGGGAATCTTGTTAATGAATGTGCCAATGTGTTGAGGCAAAGAACATGTATGCACAACTACTAGTTTTATGTCCTCCCACTGACTGGTATCAAAGTTCTTCATTAGGGAACTTGTGGGCAAATTAGAGGGAGGTAAAGGAGTTTTCTTGATTACCTCCCAGAATTCCTGCATCTGTTGCAGCACATGACGGGTTCTGAAACGACTTTGATAGCTTCAGCAATGTTAAGGCCATTCACTGCTCCTGCAAGACGGTGTTGAGTTTGTTGATCTCTGGATCAGTGGTTTGCCTAATTTTAAGTTTCATTTTTTGAGGCTGGGTACAGTGGCTCATGCCTGTAATTCCAGCACTTTGGGAGGCGGAGGCGGGTGGGTCACCTGAGGTCAAGGGAGGCTGAGGCAGGAGAATCACTTGAACCTAGGAGGTGGAGGTTGCAGTGAGCTGAGACTGTGCCATTGCACTCCAGACTGGGTAACAAGAGGAAAACTCCATCTCAAAAAAAAAAAAAGTTTAATTTTTTATTTTTTGGATCCAATTCACTTGATTTAATTTTTTTTTTTTTGATAGAGTCTCGTTCTGTCACCCAGGCTGGAGTAGAGTGGCACAATCTCGGCTCACTGCAGCCTTCGCCTCCTGGTTTCAGGTGATCCTCCTGCCTCAGCCTCCCAAGTAGCTGGTACTACAGGTGCATGCCA